>NC_000002.12:5767575-6070606 GCF_000001405.40 Homo sapiens | reverse complement strand
TTATTATGATTATTCACAACTGTGTTGGCAACTTTTCCTTAACCTTGATAGGATGTTCCAAATCTGAAAAGCTATTTCTACAGCCAGAAACACAGAAACAGCAGTTGGAGTTTGAAAAGCTATAATGAAGCAGAGAAATATAACAAAGGAAGATGTTTGCCCCAAGAAAGAGTGTAAATAAGAAGCATACTTCTTATGTATGGGCTTCATCTTAAATGCACCTGAACCAAATTTTATTCCTGGGTATTAAGTCCTAATTTTTAGGAAAGCATTCTTTCATAGAAATCTTCTCACTATTCAAAGAAATAGAAAAAAATAGGGTTTAAAGAATGAGACTAGGTAAAATGACAGCCTGCTGTCTTTTGAGAACAGAGACTGAATTATAAAGAGTGAATTATAAAGGCATCTGCAACTATTATTTGTCATTTTATTCCTTTACAGGTTTCTAGCAGAAAGAGACTGTGGTTAAAATGTCTGTGTGTGTCCATGTGTGTGTATGCGTGTACCACTTGTCAACACCACACGTATACACACAGAGAGACAGGAAGAGCCAGGAGGTTAGCAGAATTCTGGAATAACAAAACCTCCTTGAAAAATGGAATCAATTATCCAAATCTGATTCTAACATATTTACGTATTTCAACAAAGATCACTATTTTATTTACTTCATCATGTTATAAAACAATAAGCTATTCCTAAGCATGACCAAAGCTCCTGCTATGTCTATGCACTCAAATATTACCAATCCATAGCAAGAAGGAGCTGAGAAATGTTAACTGGATTACTCCTTTCCTTATCCAATGCCTAAGCTGATGAGCTGATTAAAGAAGTCATTAAAGAGAAACCTCACTGGTCATATATGACCCATGCTTTGAACTTACCAATGCATTAGATATTTCAGACAGTTATTCACGAGAGTCAGTCCTGGTTTTGAATTCAGTGTGGGTGAGGGGGCTGCTGACTTAGGGAGCCTGCAGGGACCCCGCGGCCTACTGCTAGGCAACAGCCCCTCCCCAGCACAGCAAACATACAGAAGGCAAAATGAATGACCTCATCTACAAATCAGCTATTTGATATGCAGATGGGACCGCAGGCCTCTTCAGTAACACAGCACTTCTCAGGCAGCAGGTGCAGCAAAGGAGTGAGTCGCCTTTCCTCATTTCAAAAGCTGGGCTGCCTCACCCTCTCCCTCTGGCCCTTACCAATTTCTGAAGCCCTATTATCTTCATTTTTTATTTAGATGGTCCTTTTACAGCACTAGGGTCAGCCCTCTGCGCTTATTCAGAGGCCGAACCTTAAGTATAGACATGAAGCAGGATTTAGAAGCCACAGGAGTCACTGAGGAAGAATAGCATCATCCAGATGCTTCATAGTAAAGAATATGGCAACACACAAGCGTGGGAGATCTAGCCACAGGGCATCTCTACCCATGCTACACCCACATCTCCAGCGACACAGCTCTCCTTGAAAACAGTAATTATTGACGCTTATAACACAAGTGGAGTTTGCATTGCCATTTTTGTTGGAAATGGAAACCTAAGTTGAAGATAGAATTAAAAATATTCGTTATGAATAGCTTTATTGTTATTATTTACTTATTTATTTATTTATTTTTGAGATGGAGTCTCGCTCTTGTCGCCCAGCTGGAATGCAGTGGTGTGATCTCGGCTCACTGCAACCTCCGCCTCCCGGGTTCAACAATTCTCCTGCCTCAGCCTCTTGAGTAGCTGGGATTACAGGCGCGCACCACCATGCCTGGCTAATTTTTGTACTTTTAGTAGAGACGGGGTTTTGCCATGTTGGCCAGACTGGTCCTGAAATGAATAGCTTTCTTTAGTGGTCACCATTGTGTTTGGCAGAACTGATGGATGCCTTGGGGCAGAATTACAGCTTCCTGAGCGTAGGATGCAGGAGCTTTTCAGCCACCAAGTGAAAAATCAACAGTTAATCTCATATGCCACCCCCAACTCCCTGGACTCCACACCAGTGGAGAGGTCCTTCACGTGCTTACTACGGCCGTAAAGTGCAATGTCGTATAATTTATACTGTCTGTGGTTGTAGGTTATGTCCTGAAAGTCATAAACTATTAGAGTTTTATGGCTCTGCTGCAGCTATTAACTAAATGAAAGAGTTATTCATTTGAAATCTGGAATCTGTACAATGCCCAAGCTTAAATTTATCAAGATCCACTAGTATAGAATATGTGAAAATATTAAAGTTAAAAGATTATGCACAGAGGGAGCAGGGAGTGCAATGAGAAGGGAGTGGAGTGCTGCCACACAGAGAAGCTCTGGGAAATTTCCACCCCACACTTATATTTACATTTCTAGAGGGTAGCACGTACTATCCCTCAGTTTAATACAATCGTTGGCTTGGATTGGTTTGTGTGTTTGCTGTGAATCAAGTAAAGGGACTATCAGTTTATTTTGACTTATTTCTGCACTATACACACACAAATGCACACACTTAACACACAGTGTGTGTGCATATATATAGAGAGAGAGAGAGAAAGAGAAAGGAGGAGGGGCAGACAGAGACAGAGGCAAAGAAAAAGAGAGATGGAGATACAGAGAAAGGGAAGTGAAATATTAATATCTGGCTCTAGTGTAAATATTTGCACTGCCTTATTATAGGAGTCAGCAATTTCCTTTCCTATTGCTTATACATTTATCCATTTTTAGGGCCTATGATTCTGTCTTTTAAAATTAAATATAAATAAGTTCCAAAAAAATGCTGCTTCTGCTGACTCTGGGCTATGGGTGCACATAGATAGCATTTTGCTCCACACCTGGACAGCAGGTATGTTTTCAAAGCGTCATTAGCCTTGGAGAAATCTTTGCTACTGATCAAAACCACAGTTTAGGGTTTACTTAAAAGAGCAAAAGTGTGATACTCGGCAGGCATGGTCAAGGGTGACTGAGACCCTGTGGATCTTCTTTTTATCCATCAAACCAAGAGTCAAAGAAAACATTACTGGAGCCTCCACATGATAATGAAGAGCAGGTGAGGGCATTTTCAGATGTCGATCATTACTCTCTGTTACGGACTGAATTTTCATTTCCCTCCAGAATTCATATATTGAAGCTATAACACTCAGTGTGGCTGTATTTGGAGATAAGGCCTCTAAGGGAGTAATTAAGGTTAGTGAGGTCATACAAGAGGGGCTCTGATCCGAAAGAATGAGTGAGATACCCGAAAGTTCTCCCCAACTCCTGTCCCCATCTGAACACACCTGCAGATGTGTTTCAGGACACACCTGTGTCCTGAAAGGACATCAGGACACACCTGTGTCCTGAAAGGACATCAGGACACAGAGAGAAGATGGCCCTCCGCAAGCTGGGAGGAGGGCGGTCACCAGAACCACAATCAGCTGGCACCTTGACCTTGGACGTTCAGCTCCCGGAACTTGAGAAATAAATTTCTGTTGTTGAAACCACCCAGCCTGTGGTATTCTGTTAGTGCAACCAGAGCAGACTAAGATGCTCTTCTCATGTGAAAATCTTTTCCATAAAATCTGAGAAACTAATTTTTAACCTTTATATGCAGTACATAGCATGATTACACTCTGGGAAGCTGAAAAATCAACACATGAACTGAACCGAACCTGTGTTTTGTATGTTTTGTGTAGAAAAGTAAAAGTAATAAGAACTCTTTTAAAAGCCTCAAAGCCAATGAAAAACAATCCTAATAATAAATATCTGTACCATATGTATGATGCTTACCTTACCTTTTAAGGCATTTTTTTAAGATCACTGTGGGATAAAAGAAGTGTGGAGCAGACATGGATCTCCAGGAGCTGCTCAGCGAGTTCAGTTAAAAATAAAAAATAAAAATAACTAAGTATAGATGGGACGGCAGGAAAGCTAGAGCAGCCCCTGGCACGTGGCAGAAACTTCACTTAGTGTCTTTTTTAACCTCATATGCAGCAACTTTCAAAAATAAGTGCTGTTCTCCCATTTTACAGTTGAGAAAAATTGAGGACCAGCAACGTGAGATGATATTACTCACCCAAGATCATTGATGAACACTGGAGGGACTGGGATCCAAATCCATGACATTCTCACTTCACTGTTCTACCAAGTAAGTGCCTGTTAGGTTCTCAAGATTTTCTGGGGCAGAAAAGAGAACTGTTTCATTTTACTGTCCGGGACCTCAACAACCGGTTAGCTTTAGACAGATGAAGACGAAGAAACAGAACATTATGTGTGAGAAGAAAAGGAGTGAACAAAGATACAAAGTTGTAAAAGCACAGAGTCCTTCCAGAGCCCTGACCAAATACATTTGGTCATAAATGTCATAAAAAGGATGCAGAGAGCATTTTGGTATAGGTGGTGCCTGATGAACAGGTTATGGGGTTTGTTCAAGACTGGTGAGCCATTAGAAGCGTCTGGAAATAGAGCTTCTGAAAGAGCACATTACAACTTACACTGAGGGCTAAAATTTACCTTTCTCAAGGAGACAGACCAGGTGTCTTACAAGTTGGTGTCCCCAAAAACAGAGGTAGAAGAACATACTGAATATTGAGGAATTTTTTTGCATTCACTTTTACTTTACTTTTGTTTCCATTTGTTTTCTCTCGGTGAGGGGCTAGAGGGTAAGCACTGAGCAGTCACAGCCATGTGTCTTTTCTTCTGTGTCATATGTACCACTTTGAAAGTCCCTTCATGAGGTAATGTACTTGTTCCTGGGACAAGGCGATGCCCCTTCTCTGTAAACTCCTGGACTAGGTGCTCAGTACAGCTCTGTTGAGCACAAAGATAAGGGGAATTACAGCAGGGGCAGAGTGCAAAGCACTCCGGACAAATTACCTGTGACTTCAGAAATGGGTGTTCAAATATAAAAATCTCAGGTCTGGACACTATTATGGAATCTGGGGATGGGGGTATAAAGGTTACAAAATGTAACACCAGAATTCTCTGGAGAGTAAGAATATGATTTACCACTTTTAAACCAAAAATCATATTTATCATTGATGACATAATATAAAGGAATGATTGAACATTTATTCTAATCTGAATTTCTCTGCCTATTGAATATAAAAACATGTACTGATATATACATTTCATTTGAAGTAAACCCCTGAGCCCAGGACTAAAATGCTTTTAGAGAATTATATTTATTTCAACAACATCATGGTGCTGGTTAAAACAAATAAAATGAGTGCATGTTCCTACATTCAGGCACAACGAGAGAATGTGAACATTAAAACAACGAAGACGTGATCATGAGTCCACGATCTAGGTGCAACTCTCAAATCCTGCTTTGCAGAATCAAACAATGCAGGTGATTTCCCACAACTGTGATACGTTTGCTTCTCACCTGCTTGACTACTGGTAAAGTTCAACTGAAATACAGCAAAAGATGCATCCAATTTATAAATATTTTGTGAAGCATTGTGCAGTATAGTGCAAGAATATCATAAGCTAGGGGTCTTATTTCTAAAGTGAAACCAGCCAATTCCAGATGGGAAAGTCCCCGAAGAGGTCTTGCCAACATGCTTGTGCGTTCATGGTGAGGCTCACAAAGCTGGAGGCCACATCTTTCTCACCTCTCACTTATCCAGGAGAATGAGACAAATCTTTCTTTACTTTTTCTAAACTCAGATTATTTATTTAAATGTTTTCAAATCTGGCACAATTCCAAGGCACATTTTTGCCAGCAATTTTCTCTCTTTTCTTCCCCTAAGCCCATGTGTATTTTAAGCAAATTCTCATCCATATGGTCCTCATTTTTGGTCTCTTAATTCATCTATATGTAGCTCAAAATGTTATTTGATATCTTTTTCTTTAGGTACATATTAAGGTTTGTATGCTTATTTGGGGGTTGCATATTAAAGTTTGTTACTTATTTTTTTTTTAATTTGTTTCCTTTCAGAGAAATAGAAAGCTTTATTTGGGCATTATGCAAAATAGCTATGTGTTAAGAGATTTGAGCAGTTTCTCCTCTGCAACCCAAGTAAGACTAACATATATGGTGGACTCATAATGTCAAGTCTGGAACTGGGTAGCTGATATGTTTTATCTCATTCGATCGTTGTGAAGACCCTGGGAAAAAGTCACCTTCCTCAACATGCAGGTGGACTCACTGCACAGTGAAGATATCTGAGGCACAAGACTATTCAGCTGAGCAGCCATGACTTCAACCACTCTGCCTCCCAAAGCCCATGCTACTTCTGTGATATCTCACTGCCTGGTATCGTGTCTAATTTGGAAATATGCAAGCATTATGTGGCTGCATGTTTATATAGAGTTCAATTAATATGTGTCCTTTGGGAAGATTCCAGGCAAAATCTTGGCTCCTTTCTGGAGAGTCATAATTTCCTATACCCCCATTGAACAGGGAGATCCATTAATTCCTTTTTTCTTCCAAGAGACCTCTGATTTTCAAAGGGCCCGTTTGATAGCTGCATCAGTGGATCAGTAAAATCCTGGAGATGCGGTGGAAATTCAGGAAACGAGGCATGCAAATCAGTCCCCTTGTCTTTTGGAATTTTTGCTACCTCTTTTTAAAAAGAGAATAATCATGAGTGCCCTATGCATTTATTGCTAAAGAGATGCTAAAGTGATCTCTGTAGTAATTGCTACAGAAATCACAGGAGGGCAGTTTTCACACTTCGTTCTCCACTCTGTGTAACAGGCTTTGTGTTCTTATGCCTCAGTGTCCTATTGGCTCAAGGAACATAATTACATGTGCCTTATTTTCCTTGCAAGGATGTTGTGAGGTTAACGTAGGTAACACATAGTAAAAAGCTCTCAATAGATAAGAATGTAATGTATATGTGGATGGAGTTGTGGATGCTGCTTCAGAATTTTTATCATCCCCTGGGCTTATGGTTATACAATGATGTTTCTCTGAAAACTTATCCTGGAGTTCCAAACTGCATGAATTTTTAGAGGTAAAAATATTTCCAAGAAGTTCTTTAAGAGCTTCCAGGGTTGTGCCTCTTGGAGACAGTGGGCCTGTGCTGTAAGGACCTCTTCTCAGCAGAGCTTCTTATTCTTGTTAAGCAAGGCTGAGGGGACTCTTCATTTCACAGATAAAACCAAGGCTCAAATAAGAGAAGCTTCTTGCCCTCCTGTTTCCCAGAGCTGCAAGCATAGATACACACGCATTCCTGACACAACAGAATGGACACACCACTTTTTACAAGGCTAATGTGACTAGAACTGATATCAAAAGCATACAAAACAAAACTTTACGAAGAATTCAGAAGTTATATTTCAACAACAGCAGTGAATAAAATAAGACTAAAATAGTGAGCAGCATTAATTGGGTTTAAGCTATGTGATCAAGATTATAGGATTCCTCCTACCCTATCGGGTAGAGGTTGATACCAGAAAGCGAGGCTACAGCAGTGAAGTAAATGTTTATACTAAGGGACTCAGTGAATAGTCAGGTTAAACTCAAATTCAGGTCTATTCTGATCCCAGCATCATTATATTTGGATGCTTTGTTTTCTGGTTTTTCAGGAATCAGAACTGGAATTTAGAGGGAATTTAGGGTGAAGATTTTATGTTGTGGTTAGGAATCAAGGCAGTTCATGGGTTGCCTAAGTTATGGCTGTTGTTGAATATTCCAATTACACACCTGCTATATTTCAAACATGAAAATGATTTGTGTAGGCTGGTTTACATAGGAGTGACTTCAATAAAGGAAATATGTTCTTTGATTTTTTATTTGCTTGACAAGTGGCTTTCAAATTTCGGTTTTATTAATTGCTCTCAAAACCCACAATTTAGGTAAAACTAATTACATTTAATTTTAATCATTTGGTTAGCTTTCTTTTAATTTTAATGGTACTGAAAACAATCACTCTTATCTATATGTGTCATATATGATATGACAATAGGAATACCAGGAGACATCTATCTACTCCTTCAAAATTTGATCTAACTTGATTTCTAATGAAGGGTTTGCTCTTGCAAGAAATTTCCTTGACAAATCTTTTTCCCAGGGATCAATTTCTTTCTTGGTTCTATTCCTTCTGACATCTTTTATAACTTCTACAATAAGGAGTGACCAATGTTAATTACACTGTAAATGCATACTATGGAATTCACGCTTTGATCAAGGCAGGCATGGCATTTGCTGTACCATAGGGTGGCAACACATGGTGCAGAAGGAGTTAATTTGGGAGGAGTGGTCTAGGCTCAAAACAAGAGGCTATTGTTAGCTATCTGCTGTGATTGAGACTTTGGACAGAGTGGAAAACATAGCACCAAACACCCTAATTGCTAATAGAAGAATGAATCAGGAATCAGAAAGTCAACAGTATGGCCAAGTCCTAAGACATAAAGAAGCCAAATTCTGAAATGGTGCATGGAAAATCAGCTGCAAGGCAGCTACTGGGATTTTGAGCAAGTCCGTGTTTGCTGGTCTTGCCAGATCACAGTGGCTCTATCTGAAGGAGATCCAAAAATCTGTAGGTGTCTGCTGATAAGTCTCCTTGATCCCTGATTATCATCCCTGAATGTTCACTAAGTGATCAAGCAATATCTGACATGAATGTAAGATGTTTCCCCATGATACACCTATTTTGGAGTAAAATGAAACTCCGTTTATTAAAAACGAGGATTAGACCACACTCGAAATTGTGAGATCCCTGCCTTACTCAAGACCATCTTGCAGGAACTCTCAAGGAAGGTGACAGATCACACAAGGAATGCCTTGGCCATTATTCTCTTCAGCTTTGTGGCACCGTTCCATCTCTTTTTGCATAATGTTGTGTAAAATTTGGGCAAGCTGATTAATCTCTCCTTAGATCCATTTGCCCCTTATTTAAATAGTGGTTAGCGTCTCTCATGCAAGGTTTAAAAATAACAAACCTGTTTGAAGGGCGTGGTATGTAGCAGATGCATAAGTTTTGATAAATCAATTTCTTTCTCTTCTTTCTTTTCCTAACTTCTATTCCAAAAAGTCATTTAGAATTCAAGAGAAACTAGAAAGGATGGGCATATGTCATTTCTATGCTGCCCACCTCCTCCACCAGCCAGAGACCTTTATAAGACAGCATGTCATTTATTGCATGTTCCTTGTATGCTACTTCAATGTCTCTAGCCTCTTGAAGGCTCAGAAGACAGCAACAACCCAAACAGTCCAAGTAGGCTAGCAACCGTAAAGGAGGTTGCTGTGCCTCCCCCATATCGGAGAACCAGCGGAAAGTCATTAAAGGAGCTGAAACTAAATCTCAATTACACAAGGCTCCAGGTAATTTAATCTCTGGTTTGAAAAAAAAATTGTCTTAATTCTCTGATAGTGGCATATTATTCCTTCCCTCCTTCCTTCCAATAGTACAAAGGAGCCCCATGTATCTCAGTGTCTTCACGGGAGGCCAGCAGCAGCTGCCACTGTGGATCAATGTGCTCCTGGGCTGTCCTGTACCAGTAGTGGGACCAGACAAGAAAGCTTGTCACCTTTGATTACTCACCCTACCCTAGTGCTAAAGAAACAAGATGTGAAGAATAGCCTCTCAAGAACATTTGATCCAGCCTGCAAAATCACTGAAACTTTAACCCTTCCCTGCTGGAAATTCATGTATGGTCCTCAGGGGTGTTTTCTATGGAATGTCATTCTCAATCAATGGCCTAAACACAGACGCTGAAACATTTCAGACTCCACAGGAAAACCATCCTTTATTAAGAATAGACAGATCGTGGACAAAACTAACTTCACAGAATTTTCCTTTGGCAGTGCACTATAGTCAGAACATTGGACTGGGCAGCAAGAAATCTGGTTTCTGAGCTTGGCTTGTCCTCTACTAGCTGTGTGTGCCACCCTTCTCCCATCTGTCCAATGAAGAAGTTGGAGAGAATGGGATCTAGTGTCCTTCCAGATCTGAAATTCCCTATATAGCATAGTTGCAGAGATCCAGGGCTTAGAGTTGCACAGACATGGTTTAATCTCAGCTCCAGTGTGTATTGGCAAGTTACCACAGTTTTTGAGTTTATAAGCACATAGGGATGATAAGAGTACGTACTACTTAGGATTATTTTAAGGCTTAAACAAGATAACTTAATCACGGTATTCAGGTCTGTGGTTGGGCTAAAGAAATAATTTAATAAATTGTAAAACTATACTTATAATTGCTTATAGGATCTGTTTAACTATTGATCATTTCCAATAAATGTATAAACAAGACTACTTTAAAGTGGGTTGTGTAATAAAGACATTCAACTTGCTGAGAAAGATTTGAGGATTTACATTTCTGCAAATACTCTCACATTACTGAGTCAGAAAATGTACAGAGAAAAATAAACAAGTAGAGAAAACAAATAAGCAAGAACCAGGCCCTCTAGGCTGGGCAGTGCAAGGGCCCTGCAGCTTCGGTTGGGTGTGCACCAGCCTCCCCATTCCCTTCAGCATTCTCATCCATGAACAGTCTGCACAAATCAAGGAAGCAACTTGTAGAAATTTACAGACTCCATTTACAGTCAACCTGCATCGAAAAGCCAAAGAGAAGAGTCAATGCAATTAACCCAGAGTGAAATCCTGCTTCTAAAAAATTCTCCCACTCTAATCTTGGATTTATAGTACAAGGTTTTCACTGTAATGGCTCTTGTAAATTAATTGCAGACACAATTGTCTACGGGCATTCTCAGAATAAGTGGCAAGTAGTTAATTGCACCCCAAATTAGCCAATTCTGCCCATAATCAACCATTTGAAGACAATTAATTGCATGCATAATATTTGCACCTGCAACTAATTGGAGACCCTTATATTGTTCGTGGAATAAATAAATAAATAAATGCATAACAACAACAACAAAAGAACCAGGGGCTACTCTTAAAATGTAGTCTTTTATAGTTTGAGGTTCTGGAGAGCTGGTACAGGGATAAAGCTTAGGAAACACTAAACTGTGTTGCAGCTGCTTAAATGGAAAAGCAAGTTTTTCACTGCAGTTTTTAACTGATAAACAAAAATTGTATATATTTATGGCATACAACATGATGTTTTGTGTATGCATACATTGTAGAATGGCTAAATCAAGCTAATTAACATATGCTCTACCTCATGTCCTTTTTATTTACTTGTGATTGGAAAAGCAATTTTGAATCATCTAGGATGAGCAAAGTTTACAAGACATTATTTTTTGCTTATTTTACCTTTTCCCCCTTCCTGTTACTAACATGAACTACTGGTACTTAAACTTAATTTTTTCAGCTTATCTAATTTTAAAATTTAAGTTATCTAAGGTTTGGAAATATTAAAGCCATCTCACATATTGAAATAATGGTGTTGTTTTAAAAGAAAGATTCTCTTATTTTTGCTATGCTTCACCCATAGACTAACTAAACTTGCTAGCCGCAAAAAAACAGATGTTCTTTCAAGCCAATACAGCATTAGAACAATAACCACATATGGATCATTATGTCAGCTGGTGTCTGGTTGTGAACTAGCAAATTCTCTTTTCACCCTTAAAAAATAAATTTAATACTAATAACAATAATGGCAATATTAATGGCAATAGTAACAATAACATAATCACCATGTAGTAAATACTTTGCCTCAGCTCATAAATCACAGCTCATAAATCACAGAGCTCCTAAATCAGAGAGATATAATTTAAACTTAGAGAACTTTATTTATGTAAAGTGCTGAACACAGTGCCTGAGACACAGTAGATGCTCAATTTAGATTAGACAAAATATTTACATCCCTTTTAATTTTGATGTTTATTCTCTTTAGCGGCTATGTTGAGGATGAAACAATAGAGCTAAGAATATATACTACGTGCTCAGTATGTGGTCATTACTGTCCTAAGTGCTTGACATGGAGTCAACCAATTTAAACTCCTTAACAAGGGCATTAGACAAATACTATTATTATCTCCATTTTGAAGATGATAAAACTAAGGCAGAGAAATGTTAAATAACACGCTTAAAGAAAGATAACTAGCAAGAGACCAAGATGGAAAATTCAAATACTGACATTACAGAAAGCCCCGACTTAAATTCAGGCATACGTGATCAATTAATCCTTGACTAAGGTGCCAAGATTACACAATGGGGAAGGATTGTCTCTTCAACAAATGGTGTCAAGAGAAATGAATATCCGCATGCAAAAAAAGAAAAAAGAAATTGAATTCTTTTCTGACACCATATACAAAAATCAACTCAAAATGGATTAAAAGCCTAAACGTATGACATGAAACTATAACATTTCTAGAAAAAAAACATAAAGGAAAAACTCTATGACATTGGTCTTGGCAATGATATTTTTTTTCTTAGATATAATACCAAAAGCACAGGCAAGAAAACAAACAAGTGAGACTACATCAAAGTAAAAAATTTCTATACAGAAAAGGATACAATCAACAAAATGAAAAGGCAGCTCACAGAATGGGATTAAATATTCATATACCACTTATCCTATTAAATAGAGGTTAATATCCAAAACTTATAAGGAACTCATGGAACTCAACAGCAAAAACATAAATAAATAAAATAACCCAACTAAAAAATAGGGTTATTTTCAAAATTTAAATAAATAGTCTGAATAGACATTTTTCCAAGACATACAAATGGCCAATGGGTAGATGAAGAGGTGTTTAAAACCACTCATCATCAGGGAAATGCAAACCAAAGCTACTATAAGGTGTCACTCACATTTTGAAGATGACTATTATCCAAAAAGTCACAAGATAACAAATGTTGGCAAGGATGTAGAGAAGAGGAAACTGTTGTGCACACTTGGTAAGAATATTTATTGGTGCAGCCATTATGAAAAACAACATGGAGGTTCCCCAAAAATTAGAAATAGAATCACCAATTATTCTTCAATAAAGTGAAAAAAAAAGTAAAATTGAAAAAAAGAAATACTAATGTGCTGGCTCTACGAAGTGTACACTTAACTAATACACTATGTTTCTTCTTATGATCTGGACAGATGGAACTACAGAAATAGAATTACTATATTACTAGTAATCCCACTTCTGGGTACAAATTTAAAGGAAATAAAATTACTATCTATATTGGAGATATATCTGCATTCCCATGTTTATTGCAGCATTATTCACCGTAGCCAAGATATGAAAACAACCTAAGACATGTCCATAGACAGATGAATGGGTAAAGAAATTGTGGTGTACATCCATATATACACACACACATACAATAGGAATCTTTTTTATCCTTAAAAAAGAAGAAAATTCTGCCATATGCAGCAACATGGATGAACCTGGAGGACGTTATGCTAAGTGAAATAAGCCAGGCACAGAAAGACAAATACTGCATGATCTCACTTACATGTGGAATCTTAAAAAGTCAAACTCATAGAAACAGAGAGTAAAAAGGTGGTTATCAGGGTTCTGGAATGGAGAGAATGGGGAGGTGTTGGTCAAAGGGTACCAACTTACAGTTACAAGATGAATACTTTCTGAACAGCTAATGTACAGCATGATGACTACAGTTAATAATGTATTGTATATCTGAAATTCACTAAGAGAGTAGATCGTAAGTATATGGATATGTTAATTAGCTTTATTGTAGAAATCACTTCACGGTGTATACATACATGAAAACATCACTTTATATACTTTAGACATACATAATTTTTATTTGTCAATTATTCCTCAATAAAGTGAAAAAAATAAAGTTAAAAACCAAATACTAACATTTTTAAGAAGTGTGTATTTAATACACTACGTTTCCTCTTATAATCTGGACAGATGAATTTGTCTGTAAAAATAGGGACATTTGCGCACGTGTATGTGTGTGCCTGTGTGTGAACACGGAAGTAATGAAGCAGTGTGTTACAAATTAGTCAATTGATTAAACACTGGCACGTGTTAAATGCTTGCTTTCTAAAATGGTAGCAAAACCACTCAGTCGTTTGGAACAAGGAGAGGGAGAAAGACTCTCTTTTCTGTCTCCACAGAAGCTACAGCCCACTGGTAAAGGTTAGTTCTGGGAGGAGTTGCTCTCAATGATGAATCAGAAAGCTGTTTGTAGAACCATCAAGATAAGTTGCTGAAAAATAAAAGCAGGAGTCGGGAGACAGAGCTAAGTATGGGGGCAGGGAAGCCCAAGCCATATGCTGACGAAAGAGAAGGAGCTCAGACAGGTGGTCACACTCCACAGTAGGGGAGACCAAGAAGGAGGAAATGAATGTCAAGGCAAGTTTACCAGGCAGGGCAGGAAGGCTACAGGGTCTGTGAGCCCAGGGGCAGCTCTGGAGCCAGTTCAATTCTGTGCTGATCCTCTCCATCTCACCAGGGACCTGCAAGTCTTTATGGAAGCCGAATGGACTTCCCACAAAAGCATTTGTTTTGTTGGGATGAAACTACACTATATTACAAGCTGAAAAATACTAAGGGTTGACTTTCTACCTTGTAGAGAGGATTTAGGCATGCCAGTTAAATACAGCATTGAAGATAATTGAACAGAGTTTATTCACAAGGAGTAAGAGGCGTTAGGGCTTCCAGGTGGCCAGTCAGGCAGATCACCACCATTAAGGAACAGAACTGACACCAAACTCCCAGCCGTCAGGGGGAAAAATAAATTAAAACTTTAAGTGGGGGAAGAGCATGTGAATTTTATTATGTGACAATGAGAAGTCTTAAAGAAACCAGTAAACGTATGTGTTTTTTCTTTAGAAATAAACTAAAACATGGCATTGTCAACCAAGTCACTGATAGAAATTTTGAACAGGGCAAAACAAATGGTAGCCACTGTGACACACGACTAGACAGCTTCATCAGCTGGTGGACATACATGTAGTAATCAAAATATTGAGAGATGGCCTTGCAGCCAGACACAAATAACTCTTTCTTTAATTTGTATTTCCCCATCTTAGCTGAGCATGACTGTCTTGCAGAATCAAGGGGCCGTATGTGCACACACTTTTCTCTACACAGGCGGAGCCCACACTCACATTTCTTTCATTTACCAGCATAGCTCCTGATCAACAAAAACAACTATGTTCGCTTAGTTTATGTTCTTAGTAAAGCTGTTTTGCCTAGTATAGTCATCTTTTCTTTCTTTTCTCCTTTTCACGTCATCTGCTTAATTAGCCATCCTGGTTTTTTTCCTAGAGATTAATGTTAAATGCATGAGTCTTGATTTTACCTTTTCTTCCATTGTGACGTATGAGAAAAGCTAGTATTGTGTATCTGATATTTACCAAGAATGCTTGTAGATTAACAAAAGTAGATGCAAGTCCTTTAAAGTCTTAGAAGATGGGATGTCCAGAAGTCCACAGTGGGCAGCTGTTCTTTTTCCTTGCACTTCCTTTGGGTCAGAGCACACTGATTTGCCTTGTGGAGCTATCTTTTAACTGGCACAGAGTGCAGACCCTCACCTACTGGAAGGGTCACTCATCTTGAAGAGCTTGTACCTTCCACATCTGAGTCTTATTCCAATCAGACGGCTCATCCATACAAATTGTGAATGTAGCTTCACAGCATTTGTTGACTACACACATTTTAGAGTTGGTGATAGATATCTAGATGACAGAGTTGTGGTCAACCGCTTTTTGCTATCTTCAGTTTTCCCCCCAAGGTCACTTTTTTAGATGCCTCTTGTTACGTACATTTATTCACGTCTCTCTCCTCCACTAGACGTTAGGCCCCCACTCTGTCTCCCTAGAATAGTAACATGAATGAGAATTGGGGAATTAATGACTGTCCACCAGAGCATCTGTTTTCCTGTCTGACACCTTTCAATACCACCCCGCCCCAAACTTGAATGGAAAGCTTGCTTAATAAAATCGGCAAGCACCCTGGCAAATACATGCTTGCTCCTGTCTCCTTAAGAAGCCACAGGGAAAGGCTACCAGGAACAGTGGCAGGGGGCAGGCAAGGGAGAAGAGACATAAACGAATGGAAGCAGAGAGAAGAAAATGACTGCATTTAGGTCAGGCTTCTCACTTTCCCCAGAGCCCCTCCACCTTCATATGTGTTCTCATTTCAGGTGTCACTATTCACAGAAACCTCTGGATTCCCAACCTCCAAGCAGCCTCTCTCCCTCCCTGCCCCTCCCTCCATCTCTCCCTCCCCCACAAAGGCCTCTGCCGTACATCATGGAGCTTCCTGAATGCCATGTGAGCATGAACTCACAGATGCATAATTTATACAGACATGCATTCGCTGACTGATGCCACTTTTTTCAGAGTCATTCAAAAGCAAACGAAAGAATTGCTCCCAGAATATGAGGCACAAATCAGATGGCAGTGGCCCCAGTGGTATTGTGCAACTTGTGCCTTAATAACGTTAAAATCTCTCTGCAGCCTCCACGGGGTTTGTTTCAAAGATCCATGTCTGAAGCCCCTGCATCTCTTTAGAGCACAAGTCACACTGAGCCCTTCCTCACGTTATTTGCAAGTGGCTCACCTTGCCCACTCTTCAAACATGACCTCATTGCCACCTGCCAGGCAGCAGCTTTGTGTGAAATGCTGTCCTATTATGTAGGAAGACGGTGGGATCTTAGAATACCTCACATCCAAACAGCCAGATTGAAAAGAGCAGATGGAAATAAGGGGGTAGGGAA
Source organism: Homo sapiens (assembly GCF_000001405.40). Lineage (NCBI taxonomy): Eukaryota > Metazoa > Chordata > Mammalia > Primates > Hominidae > Homo > Homo sapiens. Next base: position 6,054,121 of record NC_000002.12, on the reverse strand, counting down.
GAGGTCAGGGTAGGAATTAAGGACTCACTTCTCATTGCTTTAGCAGCCGTCCCCACCCCACCATACACACATTTTTAAAAACAGTTATTTAAAAAAAAATGGAAGAGAACAAAAACTCACAAATCCATTAGTCAACGACAAATGAGTCTCATACCCGGAGGCATTCCTTGTCTCAGAGTTGGTCTGAGATCGTTTTTCAACATGGGAGCTACATCGCAGTACCTTGACTGCTTCTCAATAGGGAGGCTGGGCTTTGCAGTGAGTCAAACACTGAAGATGTATTTAATCAAAATTACACTGCTCCTTGACCAAGGTTCCTGGCAGTCAGGCCTTGGAGATGAAATATTAATGAATAAGGGAGGAGACAAAGAAAGAAACCTATGGAGTGGGTTTAATATTTTGTTCCGAGATCATCCCTGTGAGGAATGAAAGACAAAACAGGTGTGAGTGAGCTTGTGGAATCTATTTGAATTATAAAGTAAGAAAAGGAAGCCAAATTTTGCCTAAGACAAGGACAGGATTTTAAACAAGTAAGGGCATTTTCAGACCTAGGCTAAGAGAAATTAGAATTAGTGCACTGTTACATTAAAAATACCCAGGGCAAACAGAAATGAGGCATATGGAGAGCCCGTGTATTACACCATTGCCCTCATGGGGAAAAAAATGGCAAATAAATTAAGATCACAATTTGTTATGCATAAACTCACTTTATATAGTATAAAGCAAAATTCTGCCCATAAGACTTGACATTTAGAATCTTGTTTTGTGGCTGCAGCAGGGATGTGAAGACATACCTTGGATTTTTACTAATAAATATTAGAGAATCCAGTGAGTTGAATAATCACACGGACTGGGCATAGTTGAATACGTGGACACTTATCAAAGGAAGAAAGCATATATGTCAAATTCAAAAACAAAGTTAGGGTTGTAACAAATACATATTTTCTGGTAAAATTGGTTTATGATGATTTTTTCTATAGGATTTGGAAAAAGAAAATAATCTATTTTTTAAGCTCACATGTATTTGGCAATAACACATCTGTAAAATGTCTAACGTGTGGGTTAAAATAATTGCAGCGCAAGTACAGTACTTTGTGCTGAGAAAGTTTCATTCTGTGATTGGAGTGAGCTATTATAAAATCCTGCTCTGGGAGCATTTAAGGAGTTATAAATTCAGCACTGAATTTATATAGTCCCTTGCCCTTCACGGACCATCACTTACTCCCTTAGTGAAGCTGGAATGGAAGAACGGAGCTGCAAGCCTCTTTCACGCAGCACTGTTTCCCTTTACCGTGCAGTCTATGTGAAACATCTGTTGGTTTTACCAAGAGACAAGCCTCAGAGGATATAGGGCAGGCTTTGCAACTCATGAAACAAGGTGTCTAAGTTCTTGCGGTTTTCCAGACACCTTCAAGTTATACAGAAAGGTAAATGCAAAGGCAAACATCACGCCCGTGTGAGGCTATGCTGTGTGGTACTGATGCAGGACCATGGCAGGCAGGGTCCTCTTCTCCAGCCAGCATCTGCCCCCTCCTCACACTTCATCGTGACTAGCAGAGATAAAGTGTTGGAAGCTTTCTGACAATGGCTGGAATGTTTCATCAGTGACCAGAAAGAAGTAATTGCTCTTCAGTAATTTTTGGTTTCAGAGCATGGATCTGCCACACAGATTTGCCACACACAGCTCCAGTTTGGCATTCAGTAAAGAAGCCGGTTACATTAATTCAAATTAGCTTCAAGGAGAAGCTCAATTAATGATAAAGTGAAGAAATGTGCTGGATTTCCCTGCACCAAAGGCTGCTTCTCAGCACACAGCACAGCGGGCTAGCTTCTACTATGCAATATCTTCTACTTCATTTGGGAGACTGTTATACATGTGAGACAAATTGCAAGAGATTCAAAAGGAAACTAGTAGATGAATGCTGCAAAGGGAGATATTCACTGAAGCCTGTGGAAGTAAGGCCAGGACCTAGCTGTGGAAGACAATTCCACCAGATTTTCATTTTGAGGACCGCTTGGGTCTAATTGACACAGGCTTGAACTGAAAGCAATACCATTCCTGATGTTGACTGTTGCTACTCACATGGCGCATTAGGTGGAATCAACTGGACAAAGGAATGAATCCTGAAAGAACCTGCATACTTGGAACAGAAGTGGTTGTTTACAGATCAAGCACACTGGGAAGAAATGGCTGAAAGAAAACGTTGGGGCTTTTTCTTCTAGGTGACCCTTAGCACACTGCACACTGGAGGCCAAAACCAGCATATCACCCACTTTCGTAAGTGGAGTTTTATAGGACAGCAGCCGTACCCATGGAGGGACACACCGCCTACAGCTGACTTCAACTCACAGCACTGGAGTTGAGAAGTTTCAACAAAGACCTTGTGTCCTGCAAAAACAAGCACATTTACTCTCTGGATCTTTATAGAAAGAGTTTGACAACCTCTGTTAATAGGCAATGGACAGCTGTTACAATTTGTCTCTCCATAAGGATACGACAATTAATGAAAGAGGACAGAAATCAAAGAGTGAAATTTCAAGATTGTTCAAGATTTTTCCAGCTCAATAAATCTGGGATCTCTTAACTTCTTTAGAAAGTCACCTAACCAACAAACCTGTATTAAACCACGGGCTAGGCAGTCATTGGATTAAATACTTCCTTGATCAAAGTGATAGGCATTGTAAAATTATTTCCTACTTTGGATTCTTTAAATAATTGTGTGCAGAAGATTGTATAGGTTGTGTAGATTTTGCAGAAATACATAGATTGCTGAATGGGAGCAGAAGAGTTAATTCTTTTTTTTTTTAACTTTTATTTTAGGTTCAGAGTTACTTGTGCAGGTTGGTTATACAGGTAAACTCATGTCATGGGGGTTTGTGGTACAGACTACTTCATTTCTCAGATGCTAAGCCTAGTACCCAATAGTTATTTTTTGTGATCTTCTTCCTCCTCCCACCCTCCACCTTCAAGTAGGCCTCAGTATCTGTTGTTCCCCTCTTTGTGTCCATGTGTTCTCATCATTTACCTCCCACTTACAAGTGAGAACATGTGGTATTTGGTTTTCTGTTCCTGCAGTTCCCGCATTAGTTTGCTAAGGATGATGGTCTCCAACTCCATCCATGCTCCTACAAAAAGACATGATCTTGGTTTTTTTTTGGCTGCATAGTATTCCACGGTGTATATGTACCACATTTTCTTTATCCAATCTACCCTTGATGGGCATTTAAGTTGATTCTATGTCTTTGCTATGATGAGTAGAACTGCAATAAACATACATGTGCCTGTGTCTTTATGATGAAATGATTTTTATTTCTTTGGGTATATATCCAGTAATGGAATTGCTGGATCAAATGGTAGTTCTGATTTTAGCTCTGTGAAAAATAGCCACGCTGCTTCCCAGAATAGTTGAACTAATTTACGTTCCCACCAACAACGTATAAGCATTCCCTTTTCTCTGCAACCTTGCCAGCATCTATAACTCTTGACTTTTTAATATTATAATAGCTATTCTGACTGCTGTGAAATGGTGTCTTGTTGTGGTTTTATTTGCATTGCTCTAATAATCAGTGATATTGAGCTTTATTCATATGCTTTTTGGCTGCTTGTATATTGTCTTCTGAAAGTGTCTACTTATATCCTTCACCCACTTTTTAATGGGGCTGTTGTTTTCTTGTAAATTTGTTTAAGTTTCTTCTAGATGGTGGATAGTAGACCTTGTCATATGCATAGTTTGCAAATATTTTCTCCCATTCTGTAGCTTGCCTGTTTATTCTTCTGATAGTTTCTTTTGCTGTGCAGAAGCTCTTAAGATTAATTAGATCTCATTTGTCAATTCTTGATTTTGCTGTGATTGCTTTTGTTGCCTTCATCATGAAATCTTTACCAGTTCCTATGTCCAGAATGGTATTGCCTAGGTTGTCTTCCAGGGTTTTTAGAGTTTTGGGTTTTACATTTAAATGTTTCATATATCTCGGGTTGATTTTTGTACATTATGTAAGGAAGGGGTCCAGTTTCAATTTTCTGCATAGGGCTAGGCAGTTATCCCAGCACCATTGATTGAATAGGGAGTCCTTTCCCCATTGCTTTTTTTGTCAGCTTTGTGGAAGATCAGATAGTTGTAAGTTTGCAGACTTATTTCTGGTCTCTCTATTCTATTCCATTGGTCAATGCATCTGTTTGTGTACCAGTACCATGCTGTTTTGGTTACTGTAGCCCTGTAGTATAGTTTGAAGTTGAGTAGCATGATGCCTCCAGCTTTGTTCTTTTTGCTTAGAATTGCCTTGGCTAATCGGCCTATTTTTTGGTTCCGTATGAATTTTAGAATAGTTTTTTTCTAGTTCTGTGAAGAATGCCATTGGTAGCTTGATAGAAATACCATTGAATCTGTAAATTGCTTTGGGCAGTATGGCCATTTTAATGATATTTATTCTTCCTATCTATAAGCATGGGATGTTTTTCCATTTGTTTGTGTCATCTCTGATTTTGTTGAGCAATGTTTTGTAATTCTCATTGTAGAGATATTTCGCCTCCCTGGTTAGCTATATTCTTAAGTATTTTATTCTTTTTGTGGCAATTGTGATAGGGATTGCATTCCTGATTTGGCTCTCAGCTTGACTGTTGTGGTGTAATTTTTCTATGTTGATTTTGTGTTCTGAAACTTTGCTGAAGTTGTTTATCAGCTGAAGGAGCTTTTGGATAGAGACTATGGGGTTCTCTAGATATAGAATCATGGATAATCAAAGCAGGGATAGTTTGATTTCTCTCTCCCTATTTGGATGCCCTTTCTTCCTTTCTTTTGCTTGATTGCTCTGGAAAAGACTTCCAATACTATGTTGAATAGGAGTGCTGAGAGAAGGCATCCTTGTTTTGTGCTGGTTTTCAAGGGAGCTGCTTCTAGCTTTTGCCCATTCAGTATGTCATAGTTGACTCATTATTTTCAAGTGTGTTCTTTCAATACCTGGTTTATTGAGAGTTTTTAACATGAAGAAATATTGAATTTTATCAAAAGGCTTTTCTGCAACTGTTGAAACTATCGTATGGTTTTTGTTTTTAGTTCTGTTCATGTGATGAAACACATTTATTGATTTGTGTATGTTGAACCAACTTAGCATTTTATGGATAAAGCCTATTTGATCATGGTGGATAAGCTTTTTGATGTGCTGCTGGATTTGGTTTGCCTGTATTTCACTGAGTATTTTTGTATCAATGTTCATCAAAAATAATGGCCTGAAGTTTTCTTTCTTTGTTTTGTCTCTGGTAGCTTTTAGTACCAGGATGATGCTGGCCTCTTAGAATGAGTTCAGGAAGATTACTTCCCCCTCAATTTTTTGGAATAGTTTCAGTAGGAATGTTTCTGTAGGTGGTCTATTTACTCTTTCGATAGTTTCTTTTCCTTTGCAGAAGCTCTTAAGTTTAATTAGATCTCATTTGTCAATTTTTCCTTTTGTTGTGATTGCTTTTGGTGTCTTCATCATGAAATCTTTGCCAGTTGCTATGTCCAGAATGGTATTGCCTAGGTTGTCTTCCAAGGACTTTAAAGTCTTGGATTTTACATTTAAGTCTTTCATCCATCTTGAGTTTATTTTTGTATATTATGTAAAAAAGGGGTCCGCTTTCAATTTCATACATCTGGCAGAATTTAGCTGTGAATCTGTAGGGTCCTGGGGGTTTTTTGGTTGGTAGGCTATTTATTGTTCATTCAATTTTGAAGCTCATTACTGGTTTGTTCAGGGAATTGATTTCTCCCTGATTCAGTCTTGGGAAGGATTCCATCTTTTCTAGGTTTTCTAGTTTGTGTGTATAGAGGTGTTCATAGTAGTCTCTTAAGGTTATTTGTATTTCTGTGGGGTCAATGGTAATATCTCCTTTTTTTTCTGAGTGTGTTTTTTGGATCTCCTCTCTTTTCTTCGTTTATAGCCTAGCTAGTGGCCTCAGTATCATATTCGTTTTTTAACAAAAGCCAACTCATAAATTTATTGATCTTTTAAATTTTGTGTGTGTGTGTATGTGTCTCTATCTCCTTCATTCAGCTCTGCTCTGACCTTGTTTTTTTTTTTTTAATCTTCTGCTAGCTTTGGGGTTGACTTTCTCTTGCTTCTTTAATTTGTTTAGTTGTGATGTTTGATTTTTTATTTGAGACTTTTCTAACTGATGTGGGCATTTAGTGCTATAATTTTCCCTCTTAACACTGTCTTGGCTGTATCCCAGAGATTCAATATTTTCTCTTTATGTTATATCTTTGTTATCATTAGTTTCAAAGAACTTCTTGATGTCTGCCTTAATTTCATTATTTACCCAGAAGTCATTCCGGAGCAGGTTGTTTAATTTCCATGTAATTTCATGATTTCAAGCAACATTTTTTTAGTCTTGATTTCTATTTTTACTGCACTGTGGTCCAAGAGTGTTTGATATGATTTTAGTTCATTTGCATTGGCTCAGGGTTGTTTTATGTTCAATTGTGTCATCAATTTTAAAGTATGTGCCATGTAGTGATGAGAAGAATGTATATTCTATTGGTTTTCAGTGGAGAGTTCTGTAGATGTCCATCAGATCCATTTGATCCAATGTTGAATTCAGGTCCTGAATACCTTTGTTAATTTTCTGCCTTGATGATCTGTTTAATACTATTAGTGTTGAAGTCTCCTCCTATTATTGTTATAGTAGTGTGGGAGTCTAAGTATATTTGAAGGTCTCCAAGAATTTGCTTTAGGAATTTGAGTGCTCCTGTATTGGGTGCATATATATTTAGGATAGTTAGGTCTTCTTGTTGAATTGAACCTTTTACCATTATGTAAAGACATTCTTTGTCTTTTTTTTAATCTTTGTTGGTTTAAAGTCTATTTTGTCTGAAATTAGGATACCAACCCATGTTTTCTTCTGATTTCCATTTGCTTGGTAGGTTTTCCTCCCTCCCTTTATTTTCACCCTGTTGATGTCATTATGTATGAGATGGGTCTCTCCTCTTGAAGATAGCACACCATTGAGTCTTACTGTTTTTTTTTTTTCAGCTGACTACTCTGTTCCTTTTTAAATAGGACATTTAGCCTGTTTACATTCAATGTTAGCATTGATATATATGACTTTGATCCAGTCTTCGTGTTGTTAGCTAGTTATTATGCAGACTTGTTTGTGTGGTTGCGTTATAGCGTCACTGGTCGGTGTACTTAAATGTGTTGTTGTATAGGCTGGTAATGACCTTTTTATATTTGTGCTTCTTTCAGGATCTCTTGTAAGGTGGTTCTGGTGGTGTCAAACCTTCTCAGCATTTGCTATTCTGAAAAGGATCTTATTTCTCCTTTGCTGAGGAAGCTTAGTTTGACTGGATATTAAATTCTTGGGTGGTTGAAGATTTTTTGTCTTTTAAGAATGTTGGGTATAGGCTGCCAATCTCTTCTGGCTTGTGGGGTTTTTGCTGAGAGGTCTGCCATTAGCCTGATGGGATTTCCTTCGTAGATGCCCTGCTTTTCCTCTCTAGCTGCTTTTAATAGTCTTTCTTTCATTTTGACCTTGGAAAGTCTGATGATTATATGTTTTGGGGATGATCTTGTGTAGAATCTTGTAGGTGTTCTCCGTATTTTGCAAATTTGACTGTTGGCCTCTCTAGCAAGGTTTGGGGAAGTTTTCATAGACAATATCCTGAAATATGTTTTCCAAGTTCTTTGCTTTCTCTCTATCCCTTTTAGGGATGCCAGTGATTTGTAGATTTGGCCTCTTTAGATAATGTCATATTTCTCAGAGGTTTTGTTCATTTTTTTTTTTCGTCTTATTTCAGAGCGTCAGTCTTCAGGTTTCAGGATTTTTTTCTCTGCTTGGTCTATTCTGCTGTTAATACTTGTGATTGCATTGTGAAATTATTGTAGTGTGTTTTTCAGCTCTATCAGATTAGTTAGGTTTTTTTATACTATTTCATCCATGAGCTCCTGTATCATTTTATTGTGATTCTTAGTTTCCTTGGATTTTGTCTTGCTGTTCTCTTGAATCTTGATGATCTTCGTTCCTATCCATATTCTGAATTCTATTTCTGTCATTTTAGCCAACTCAGCCTGGTTAACAACCATCGTTGGAGAACTAGTGTAGTCGTTGGGAGGACATACAACACTCGAGCCATTGGAGTTGTGGGAGTTCTCATGTTGGTTCTTTCTCATCTCTGCATGTGAGTGTTCCTTGAACTGCATTGTAGATTAAGGACAATCAGTAGACTTCTTGTCTTAATGTTTCCACAGGGCCCAGGCTTTGAGAAGGGTCTTTATTTGTAGCTGGCTTCTTGTCTTTGTTTTCACAAGTGAGTATGCTTGAAAGGTGTTTTTGGTGTTGAAGCTTTAGGGTGTGATCCAGTAGGTAGGTGGTGCTTAGGCATGTTGGTCAGTAGGTGCACTCTTGCTCAGTTGTGTGGCTCCCCTATATTTCCTCATATGTGCATCCGTGCTCCCTCTCAATACTCTGAAAGTGTGGACTCCTCTCCCACTTGAGTGCTGGCCATTGATTGTGACTTAGCATTCCTGGGCTGCCCAAGATAGCTCTGGGGTAATCCCAGGGTTTATGTTTCCACCCTCTCTTTGAGGCAGCAGAGGAAGGGACCTTACTCATGGTTGTGGCTGAGGGTCTTTTACTTGATTACTTGGGACTCCACCCCAGAAAGATGCAGGTCAGGAATTGCTCAGTGCAATCAGCCTGGGATGGGGCGGTAGTTCTGTGCTGTGGACCCGAGCCAGGGGTTCCCTTTCTGGTGACAAGTGGGGGAGGGGTGGGTGGCTGGGACCTGTGGCAGATAAACTGACCTCCTTTCCTTGGGTCAACTTCTGCTTATTGGAGGTGTGAATAAAATACTTGCTGTCTTTGCTCCTGCATTATTCCAAGGGTAGCAGAGGCAGTAACACTGCAGAGGCAGTGGCAGAGGGGCTTTTGGTTGCCCCTGGGGGCTCCATCTCTGAGGAACATGGAGCCACTGTTAATGGAAGTGTTCAGCCAGTGAGGTAGGCAGCTGCAGCACTGGCATGAGCTTCGGGCTTCACTTGCTGGGGAGCAGGGGGTTGAGGGCTCACTGGGAGGAGACTGGTCTCCTCTCTGTATAGTGATGGTGGTCTGCTACAGGCTCAGGTGTAGTCCTCAGGCTCTTTGTTTCTTCCCAGGTTGGGGATGGCAGGGATAAAATCACTGCTATGGGAGGGGCTGTAGATGGCTCTCTGGGCCTCTCCCCAGGACAACTCCAGGCTACTAACAGTGGGTATGTTCAGCCATGGGTGGGGCAGATGTTTTGCAGTCATGAGCCTGGGGCCCTACCTGGTGAAGAGTGGGAGGTGGGAGTTGCCAGGGAAGAGGGGCTGGACTCCTTTCTGTGTGGTGGCTGCCCTGTGCTGAAGGTACCAGTGTAGTGACCAGGTCCTTTGTTCTTTCCCCAGCCCAAGGACTTTTAAAATGAGGGTTGCGGATTGACTGCAGCTGCAGTGGTGGAGGGGTGGTGGGTTGATTCTGGCATTTCCTCCTCAAAGAAATACTGTGCTGCTTCTGATTGAAGTTGTCAGGTGAGGGCAGGGTGGTTGTGCTGGAGTCCAAGGTAGGGTGGACCTGTCCACTGAGAAGCAGTGAGGACTGAACCTGCATGGAGAATAGTCTGGCCACTTTTCCACGAGGTGACTGCTCTGTGCTGGGGGTCCTGACCAGCTCCTAGTCCTCACAGACTCCAGAACCTGGAGAGAGCAAGGGTGAGGGAGGTGAGACAGCAAAGATGGCAACCCACCCCTCCCACTGGGGGCTCTATCCCAGGGAGTTGCAGAGATGCTACTGGTTCCATAGCCCCAGCAATGGGGTGGCTGGAAACCCAGGCAGGGAGAACCTGCCCAGCAAGAAAATATGGGATCAGGAACCAACATAACAAACGGTCTGGCCACTTTTCCTCGGGCTGCAGTGTGCTGGGGGTCTGCTCCAATCCCTAGTCACCTTGGATTTTCCAGCAGCTGAAGGTGTCAATAGTGAAGGCTATGAAACAGCAAAGATGGCGACCTGCCCCACCCTCTAGGAGCTCTGTCCCGGGGAGGTGTGGACCTCTTGAGGGCCTGAACACACTGGTGGGGGTGGCAAGGGAACCCAGTTGGGAGGTCTCACTGAGTGAGGAGGAATGGGATCAGGGGCCCGCTTGCAAAAGCAGTCTGGATGCTTCCTAGAGCAACTGTGCTTTGTTGGGGGTCCGCTCCAGCCCCTAGTAGCCTCAAACTCTCCAAAGACTGAAGGCAGCAATGGCTGAGGCTGTGAAACAGCAAAGATGGGATGCTCATTCACTACCCAAATAATAAGTAATACTGACTAGGTTCCACAGAAAACTAGGCTTGACCACTTATATGGGAAGTTTGTTCACCCCTCTGTCTGGGAGCTGCATCCCACGGAGGTTTGGAACTGCTACCTGCTGGAAAACACCGGTTGGGATGTTATAGACCTCAGCTGGCAAATTTGGTCCAGTGAAGAGAATGGGATCTGACACCCACATGAAAAGTAGTCTGGCTGCCTCTTTGTAGACCTGCTGTGCTGTGCAAGGTACTGCTCCAGTTGCTGGTCACCTCATATTCCCCAGAGCCTGAAGGCAACAACGTCCAAAGCTATGAAACAGCAAAGATGGCGGCCTGACCCTCCCTCTGGCAGCTCCCTCTCAGGGAGGTGTAACGCTGCTATCCCTGCCTGGCTGAAGTTCCAAGCCAGTGGGTCTTATCCTGGGAGGTGCCTTGGAAGTGGGGCCTGCAGACCACGGCTGCTCATCCCCCTGGATTTCCTAGGGGTACAGACGGGGGTCGAACCTCCCACTTTGCCAGAGTTGCTGCTGCTTTTGCAGGGGAAGCCCAGATATCTTAAGCTCCTGGGGCTGTGCGTGTCGAACTGCAGGTACTGGTCGAGTGGGTTCATGAGGGGATCTCCTGATGCAAGCTTTGCAGAGATCTGTGGGAGAAGCATGGGTTCCCAGGGTCACTCACTCACTCGCGGCTTCCCTGAGCAGAAGAAGCTTCCCTGGCTCCATGTCACTCCCAGGTGAGCTGTTGCCCTGCCTTGTTTTTCTTTGTTTTTTTGTGGGTTATTTTCTTGATGAATCCCAATGCATGTACCCAGATACTTCAGTTGAAGGTGCAGTATTTATTAATATTTTCCCCTTCCATTTCTCTCAGTGAGAGCAGCACACACTAGCTGCTTTTAGTCAGCCATCTTGAAAAGAGTTAATTCCGATAACAAAGTGCCAATCAGCAGCTCCCACATTATTCTCCAAATTGCCAGGGCTTTGTACTATTTACGCAGGCACTTTCTATACCTTTACCCAGAAAAGTGAGCAAGAGAGAGTTTCTGGATCTTGGTAGTAGGAATACTATTAGTCTTTTCAGACTTAGGGATGCTCATTCACTACCCAAGTAATACTGACTAGGTTATACAGAAAACTAGGCTTGACTACTTATATAGAAAGTGTGCTCATCCACTAAGAAGTATAAAACCAAGCTTTAAATAAAGAATTTCTTAATTTAAAAGATGCAAAATGTTTAAATTAGGTGGTGAACTACTGTGAATTCCTAGCAAAACCAAAGGGACTGATTTGCCATTTGGATTTGGAGAAATCTCTTTTTTTTTCTGTAACATTAGGAACTTCTTTTTTTATCTTTTTTTCTTTTCTTTTCTTCTTTTTTTTTTTTTTTTTGAGACAAAGTCTTGTTCTCTCCCCCAGGCTGAAGTGCAGTGTGGCGTGATCTCGGCTCACTGCAAGCTCCACCTCCCGGGTTCACACCATTCTCCTGCCTCAGCCTCCCGACTAGCTGGGACTACAGGTGCCCACCACCACGCCTGGCTAATTTTTTTTTTTTTTTGTATTTTTAGTAGAGGCGGTGTTTCACCATGTTAGCCAAGATGGTCTCTAACTCCTGACCTCATGATCCACCCGCCTCCGCCTCCCAAAGTGCTGGGATTACAGGCATGAGCCACTGCGCCCAGCCAGGAACTTCTATTACTGTCAGAGGAAACTATAAAAGCATGCAGGAAGGAGAATGAGGCTGTGGTTGAGACATGTGTCACCCAAGTGCACCAAGTCTTTGCTTTCAGAATGTTGCCTCACTCCCATCCTAATCTTGCCTAGGATAGCCCAGGAGAGCACCTCTCTGAAGCTACCTCACTAGAAAGTCGATCTTTTAGTAGGGGGGGATGGAGACCAGCTGCTATGTGCCGCAAAGACAGTGATTTCCCCCTTTTGTAGACTTCTGAGCAATATTCCCGTTTCAGCTCGATACCACAAGCAGGTGTTCATAGGAATTCTGTGTCTGTAGTTTTTTAGCCTTTTCAAGTTTCGATCATGGGAATAAAATTGCTTCTAAGTGGTAAATATCTCTACTCTCCTTTTCTACTTTGCTAAGCCAGTTGTGACTTATTTATTCACTTTCCAACTTCCAGAATTGTATAGTAATCTCTTATTTCCTTTGTTATTTTGTTCTCTTTGCATTTGTATACAAATATATAAAAGTTGTCCTTGCTGTCATTGTAGCACAGTGTCACAAGAGAAGTAGAGATAAATCCACCATGTATATATTAGCTTGTTCTCACACTGTTAATAAAAGACATACCAGAGGATGGGTAGTTTATAAAGAAAAAGAAGTTTAATGAACTCACAGTTTCACATGGCTGGGGAGGCCTCACAGTCATGATGGAAGGCAAAGGAGGAGCAAAGGCACGTCTTACATGATGGCAGGCAAGAAAGTATGTGTAGAGGAACTCTCCTTTATAAAACAATTGACTCTCCTGAGACTTACTCACTATTAGGAGAACAGCACGGGAAAGACCTGCCCCTATGATTCAATTACCTCCCACTGGGTCTCTCCCATGACACGTGGGAATTATGGGAGCTACAATCCAAGATGAGATTTGGGTGGGGACACAGCTAAACCATATCAATGTGTAAGGTAAAGTTTGTGCCTTATTTTTTGCTTTAGTTTTATGGAAGTAGCCTGGATTGTGTCACTGCGGAAACTTTCTTTACTTTTGATCTCTTGTTTCATGCCAGTCTATTCAGCACAGTCTAATCCATGGGTAGACAGCCTCCCTGACTCACCCAACTGATCCACAAAGAGAACTGAAAAAATGAGCAGTGATAGTGGCCATCACCTTAAATGAATATAGACAGTGTTAGAGACAAAATATTAAAGTGTTCTCTGTCAATGCGGTAAATACATTTGAGAATGAGAAAATAACTTTTTAAAAACATTGCTTTTTAAACAAAGTTTCGTGGTCATTAGACCTTGATTAAAATTCGAACTTTACCAAATACTTACTAGGTCACCTTGGAAGAGTCTTTGAAGCCTCATTTTTTTTTTTTACTTGTAAAATGGGGGTTTTGTGAACAAAAATCAAGATAACAACTGTACAGTATTCAGCACTGTGTTTGACAGGTAAGTGATTCTTGAAAATATTAGGTCCATTTTTACATACTCACATGTCCAGCCTTCCTAATGGGGAATAATTTATATCAAAGAAAAATACATAATTTATTCAAATTAACCTTAAATTAGTTCTGTAAGTATTCTCTCCTTCAAATCTTGGGGACCAAGTCTTTTTTGTTGTTCTGGCTTTAAATTTCATTCAATTCCTTGGGCAGAACCTTTGGAAACTTAAAATAGCTTATTATGTTCTTTATGGAGTAACACGGGTACATTTCAGCATATAGACTCTAGTCAGAGAGACTTAAAAAATTAAATTTTCCTAAAACTGGAAAGGAACCAAACCTTACAAACATGGTTCTGAACAACGGCCATTGTAGTAATAGAGTTCCAGGAAAACAACAGAGACCACATTTTCAAAAACTCATTTCATGGCTGATTCCAGAGCGAGGTAGAGGAGGTACAATATAAGCTTGGAACATCTTTTTATACTACACATACTGTATATCTGCTACACTATTTCCATATAGGTAACATTATAAATATGTAAAAGCTGTGTATTTCTGACTTCATCATTTGCCAACTCTGAGACCTCAAGAAAGTCACCTCCCATAAGGTTTCCATCTTTTATTTGTACAGTTGGACTGACCACAGCTCCTCCCTCATGGTGTTGTTGTGAAGATTGTGTGGGACTGTACGTGGACACCTGGCTCCCCATAACTGATCATTGTTACCATAACCCAGAATTTCTCTTGTGATCAAGGCATTGTGTGGGGGTTGTCATGTGATGAGCTTTCTCTTTTCTGAGCATTGATCATCACCAAGAACATGGGTTTTTACTTCTTTGCATGGTCCTGTTCCCTAGTGTGGCTACTGCCATTACTCAGTGTTCCAGCTACTCACCTGCGGGGCAACTTGCCCTTCATAGTCCTCGCAGGAGGGCACTTTCCTGCCAAGTCTGGGAAAGGACCTGCTAAGTAGAAGCCAGACCAGCCACAGAGAGCCAGTGCGTGGCTTGGGAAGGCCGTCACTCTCAGGGAGAATGACTTCTTGTGTGTTGTTCAGAAGCATCAAATAATCACTTGAGCTGAGATGAGAGGCACTGTGAGCTTTCACAAAGACAGGCAAGCCAAGAACCTAAGAAGTAATATGGAATAGAGAGAAATACAGATTTATATTCAAATTATTATTACCATCCTGCTCCTAATGAATAGAATACGCTTTCTCTAGTCAGCACTAGTTTATGGTACCAGAAGTTGAATCACGTGCTTGAACAGGAAAACCCAATGCCCGCGTGAATCCCCACCATATACAGAGAGGGATGAGAACCAAGACCTGAGGCTTTCGGAAGGAGAATAAGACCAGAAAAGGGAGCAAAGAATTAACAAAGGTGGAAGCGGCTACTTTAAGTAGCAGCAAAAGTGACTCAGAAAAAACCACAGTTTTTAATCCTCTCTCCCAACCTGTCACAAGTTAAGGTTGTTTTATTTTCTTAACAAAAGCAAATATTTTAAATTGGTCAGAGAAAGAAAAAAGGAATAATTATTTATTAAAGGCTCTAAGAACAAGTTTCATAAGAGAGAGTTAGACACTATGAGCCAACCATAGCAGCAATCTTTCTAAGAAATAAATTTAGCGCACAAAAATGTACCATTATGACTCTAATTCAGAAAAAAAAAATGAAGATGAGTTTTCATTCATTTTTCATCCAAATCCTTTGGGCCCCTGTCACATTATTTGCTACCTGCCAAGTACTGGAGACTTGGATCTCCAATGACAATCTCTCTCTTTCCCTCACTCAAATGCAGGGCAAAACAAAAACAAAAACAAACAAACAGAAAAAAACAGGAAAATCAAAATACTCTCTTCCATAAATAGCTTTATTTCCAAATTAACTTTCTCTGTGCTTCATTGCTCGTGGGAACACCTACTAGGCCTCATTCTGAATAATTTTGGAGTAATCTTGTACCACATTCTTGCCTTTCAGAGAGGCACCTAAGGAATTCCTCTGTGCTCCTTTTAGGCAAAAAGATAATTCATATTTGTAAGAAGTTTCTGCATTTTCTTCTTTGGTCTCTGATACTCCTGTCCTAATAACTTGTAATTACTTTGCCTTTGAAGAGTGAGAGAAGGTGCTGTTCAGAGCATAGTCCCTTTTTTTCTGGGTCGCTATCTGGCATCTCTCTCATCTACATTTATAAAAAGCAGAATAGATTCTAACTAAATCCCATTTTTTCAGATAACTCTATTGAGTAAACTGATAAAGATGTTATCAGTGGGCCTGTTGTCATGTTTGATCAAGTTCTTTACAGAGCTATATAATCTCTCATAAAACCTGCTTGAATGGTATAGTTCAGAGAAATCTTTGAACAGTACTGTTTTGTTTTCTAGAATCAAGGGGGGTAGAGGAGATAGGGGGATTGCTTGAGAGGCTCCTGTTACTCACGTGGAGTGATGCTTAAATGGTTTGTTTTAGGAAAAAAAAAAACAACTCTCTTCTCATCTTTTACTGTCTTGCTATAAAATCCCACTCAAGGTACAAAATGGAACCTATTTTCACTTATTACTAGGGTGAAAAGAATGAGCCACTTCAAAATCACAGTTTTTTAAGGTTGAAATTTATTAAATGTCTATTATTTGTAGGGGACCATACCAAATATCCTACATGAATTATCTCATTTGATGCCTATGACAATGCAGGATGTTAATTCTGCTTTGGAGGTAAGGAAATTGAGGGCTGGACAGACTCGTCCAAGGTCACACAGCAGATACCTCTGAGCGTAAGAGGGGAACAGGGAAAGGAGGAAGGAGAAATAAAGCAGCTCTGTGTGGAGATGAAGTTCTGTGTATTTATGTCAGTTAGGGCTCTCATGGGAAACACACCCCCAGTAGGAGAATTCAGTAAGCTTTATTTACTGAGGGACTACCAATGTTTGGGTGGCTACAGAGGCATGGGGCTGCTGGCAGCTGAGCTTTTACCCTTCCTAAACCTGAGGGAGGAGGATGAGGGGAGAGAGACCTGCGGAGTCACAGAGTCATGGAGAATGACATTCTTTGAAAAGATGGACGACCTTCAGTCTGAGCAAGCAGCCACCCCGAGGCCACCTTGCTGGCATAGATTCACGACCTTGCTCTTCCCAGCTAGCCCATCAGGAGAACCTTCCTGCAGTCCACAGGCCACGGAGGTCCTGCTCACACCACCCTGACTCAGCCTCTCAAGCAGCCTATGGTGGGTACAGGACCCCAAGATCTATTCCCGTTTTCACCCAGAGCCCCCAGTACTCCCCATCAGTTTCAGCCACACTGGGCTCCCTGGCTCCTGCCTTGTGGCTCCTGTCCCTTTCACACAGGGATCCTTGTCTCTCTTGGTCTCATTTAGAGGGACAGAGCTAACCTGGAGTGATGACAGAGAAGGGGCCTGTTTCCAGGGCATGTGCAGTGGAGCTAAATCTGGATGAAAAGGAGTAGCAACATCGGGAGACTGAGGCAGGGTGGGCTGAGAGGGGGGTGGGCCATGGAGACCATCACTGTCCACCTTGTTTGGATATTTGACACTTGAATAAAGTCCTGGGACATTTACTCCTGCTTTTGGCCATCAGATATTCCTACCATTTCCCCATAAATAGAACTTTTTTGGGTGGACAATCAGGAGGCTGTCCCACACGCCTTTACTCCTCCACTGAGGGATTATTTCATTGGTTTATCCATTCACTGTCATTCATTTATCCATTCAATCAGCACATGTTATGAGCATGTATCACTTACTATTTGCACAAAGATCATTGTAATATGATCTATCTTTAAAGCATCTGCAAGCTACAAATAAAATTTTAGTGATCCTCACAAATAATTTTAATATTTTAAAAAGTGGGAAAACCCATGCAGATGGGATAGATAAAACGTATTAACTGTTGAAAAAACAAGGTTATTTTTAATCCTCATATCAGAAGTTCAAGGTTCAAGTTCTTCTCTTGTGGAGAATTGCCTAGCACCATCTTCCTAGAAACTCGGAGTAATTCTGCCCTAGACTTAACTGTCGACTCTGAATTCCTCTAGAAAGTGATGCTCTGATGGACAGAGTCCGATATCAGATGATACAGTGACTTCTACCATTCATGAGCTGGCTCTTGCGTTTACCTCTGCTTTCACCATTATATTTCCGTCCAAGGCTTCCTTCTGGCTTCTGTATTCTTTCAGGGACTGGGTGGGTTCCAGCCAGTCAATAGTCGACCAGAGATGGTGTCAGCTGCTTATGAGGAGTAGGAGACTTAAGCAAGTTAAGTGATGTCCCCATGCCGCACAGCAAGCCAAGGCTAAGACAAGGCCATAGGTCCCCAGTGCACACTCCATCATCCCACTCTCACTCAAAACTAGATAAGATGAAGCTAGATACAGGAAAGCTAATCTTCCCTCTGATTAAGTTAAGACAAGTCCATAATGAAAATTGATGCCCAATGGTTGCCAGGCACTGTCCCTTCTCTTTCTCTCTTAAAACCTCCAGGAAACTGCTCACTGCATTTGAGAAATGTGTCTCTGCATGTCTGTTTTCCTTACCCTCTTGTGAGTCCTGGGGACCACAACCTGTGTCTTATTTATGTTTGTATCTTTAGTAGAAAACTTTGCCTGATATGTCGAGGGCATGTATTAAATGCTCATTGAGGGAATGCTTGCACTCGTTCTTTCCTTTCTTAAAAATAATATTCACAAACCTTTAGTGACCAGACCCACAGCAAAAATTATTAAATGCTATTACTGGATGCCCCTTTCTCAAACAATTTCTACTAGTACTTCGTGAGAATATTAGCTCAGTTCCCATTTTACAGACAAGCAAATAGAGGCTACGGCTGGTTGAACAATAACAGCTAACGCTTCTTGATCTGACACTGTGTCAGGCACCATCTGGAGCACGCTCCCTGTAATGCTTCATTTAGTCTTTATGATGACCCTATGAGAAGATGAAATTATGGTCTTCATTATTTCATATGATGAAACTGAAGCACAGAGATGTTAAATAAATTGCCCAAGGTCACAAAGCCATTAACAAGAAGGCAGGATAGGAGGACAGTTAGTTCGACTTGAGGACTCGAGTCCTTAATGGCTTCATTGTACTGTCTTTAATGACATACCAAAGACTCAGAGATAGCCAGGGACCACGAGTTTTTCCTTTTGTTAATGACTTGGCTTATGATGCTGAAAATGTCTCCATCTTTCAGAATCTGGTTTCCTTATCTCTGAGATGTTATACCAACATCCACTTCCCTAATACAGGTCTGACTTTCTCCTAGACTGCCCCCAAGCCTACATAAAAAACATACATGTATAAGCCACTCTTTGGCTTTCAAAATGCCAAAATCTCAACGGAATCATTTTATCCTCTACATTTTTAAATATACTAAGCAACTAAGCACCATTTATCCAGCCCTGGGCTCAAGAGAAATACTTTTTCAATGTTTGAGAGTCAGCGTAACATTGAGAAAAAAACTAAGGGTATAAAATTGTCTTTTTTTACCTCTTAATATCTGTGTGACCTTGGGTACTTCATGTCAGTTCTATGTATTTGATATTCATCATCTGCAAAATAATAACAGTGACAACAATAATAATTAACAATGAATTATTTTAAAAATGAGAGAATGATACACAGCTTTTTAAAACAATAAGAACCAATTAAATGCTAACTTATGATTACTATTTATACAGATTCAGTTAGTTCACCCCGTTAGAACACAGACAGAATTCCAAAGGTTTAACTGAGTAAGTAACCTAAGTAGTGGATGGCAGTCTGTATCCTCAGATTGTTCATTTACTGGTCAATGTGCAGATACGGGGTTTACAGGACATAGGAGAAAGACCTCACACTCTGGAATGAAATACTGTTATGTGACCTTGGGCAAGAGGTTTCACATTTCAAAATATCCATGGATGTTTACACTAAGGGGTTAAATAACTTTCAGAATTGTCGTGGTCATAGAATGTGATGCCCAAAATACAGTGTCTGGCTCAGGTTAGGACTGCATAAATATATATTTTCTTCCTCACTTTGGATAGAACTGTTTTCATGAGTGAAGAGATCTCAAGCAACTTTTAAAATTCCAAGTTGAATAGAGTATCATTATTAACAAATAACACTACTAGCCTTCCTCTCCCCTCCTTTGCCAACACTCTAATTGTTTCATTGATTTCAGACTCCATTTGTGAGATGGGAATGCCCCATGAGAAAGCCTCAACACAATGCTGTTTCCTCACAAAATAAAGACATGCCTATTTGATTGAAGGAGAGAGTACATTTACTAGCTCCTGATGGAAGCCAACTTGTCTCCTCTCATATGGACCTTCAATGTAAATGTGTATCTCTTTTATAACTTACATAAAAACTAGCTTTATGCTTGAAATAATAGCATTAGAATAGCTTTAGGGAGCCAAAAGTCCTGGTTTTAATTTTACTTTGACAACTCTTATTCCTGATACCATGGGAAAATCTTTATCATTTCATGAGCCTCAGTCTACTCATCTACAAAATGGGGATTAAATGGGTCAAAATATGTAAAAGTTTATAACATAATAACTCATACATTGCAGGAAGTTTATAAATGTACATTTTCTATCATCTTCCCCCGTAAGACCATACTTTAAATTTAACATAACTATATAGATCCCATAATGACTAGCAATATGCCCTGCACAAAATATACTCTTGAGAAATGTTTATGAAATTAAACTAAATTTAAAATATATAGAGAGAATACAAATGTTTTTAATACATCATTATTTTAAATTACAAAAAATACAAGCTTAAGTCCTAAAATTAATTTTATATATTTTGAATTTTATGTATTATAATTATAACTAAAAATCCACAGTGCTCAAACTTTTTTTGTTGTTGTCGTTGGTTGGTTCATTTTTTTTTTCAGCCAATCTCACATGAGGCCACAGAGTGTCAAGGAAAGAATAAACAATTTGGAGCCAAAGTTGAATTTAAATTTAGCATATTTCATTGGCTCAAAGATACCATTAATTATGAGATGAACATATACAATTGTTACAAAGACTGTACTGCCAATACACTAAGGCATGATTGCTAATGCATTAAGTGCACAATGAATACTTATTTCAGAGAAGTTAATATGGAAGAAAACATGACCCAATGAAATGTTATTTAACTTACTTGATCCCCATTTTCTCCATCAGAAAAATAAGTCTAACAATAATAACTAAGAGGATCTTGAAAGAATCACATGAAGAAAGGGTATGACAGTCCACTTCAAATTATAAAACACGGAAAATATTGTTTATAGACAACAATCTCACTTGATGAGAAGCTCAGTTTGGAGATATGTAATGTCTTCTATCTTCCTGATCTATTTTTCATTGGTTGTTTATGTAATGCCATGACCAAGAAGTAACAGGTTTTGTGTCAGTTTCACTGTAAAATGACAACATATAATCATGATAGATCACCTGAATTTGTGTTACTTTGCCTTTGGAGTAAACTTCTTAAAGATTTTTTTTTTCTTAATCTAGTTTCCAGTAATTATTCAAACACAAAAGTAATTGTTTAATTATTATTCAAGAAAAACTTTATATCCTATTTAGGTTACTCATTTAGAAGAATTGACCTTAGATTTTTAAACAAATCCAAAGAAAACAAATCAGAAAGCAAAACCCACAAAAAAAATCTAGAAAATTACCCAGGTCAGGGAAAGAATTGGATGATTTACATGGCAAACTAATCTTGAAATTTTTTTCTATAAGTCTGGGATATTAGATTTGAACATTTTTACAGAAACCTCAACAGGTCCATTTGACTTCAAAGTTTGGGACTGAAAATAGGAGACACACTTTCTAGGCTTCCTGATCCTCTGTGTGTCAGGAGACATACCTAAAGAATTGCATGCCATATGAGTTAAATAGTTGGATGTTGCAGATTCATTGTCTTGTGGGGTTTTGCCAATACCTCCTGATGTGACACGCAAGGGTACCAAGAAATAGTATGATTCAGCTTTGTGAGTCCCTCCTGTTTCTGATTTTGTAACTCCATTTCTGCTGCCCCTGGAAAGATGGTCATCATTTGGTAAATTTGATTCATTTTTGGAGGTTCAATGAGCAAAGGAAATGCAAATGGTTTACAACTTACAAGGACACACTGTACCGCAGAATGCCACAACAAAGGCATTAACAAAGTCATTGTGACTTTTGACGGGGATAAGTTTTAAAACTTAGGAGACAGCAAAGTGCTGGGCACATTCTACCATGTGTTCCTGGACTCTTCCAGGTTTGTCTCCTGAATAACTCCGATAATTCAAAGTACCTTAAGATTACTTCCCCTCATTCTCAAGCCTTTAAGTAGGGTGTTTTCTTCATCAAGTACATCTTCCTCAGTGCTTTCATGTTAAAATCCTAAATATGCTTTAAATTTCAAACTCATTTTTCTTTCTTCCATAAAACCTTCTTGTCTCCGTGCAACCTCTATCCCATAAAGCATTCCATTTAACATGTCCTTGATACATCCAGAATAGCTCTTATCCTAGTTGCTCAGGGATTTAGGGCTATGTTTCTCTTATAGCTTTAAATTTCTCTGTTTTATTTATAGTTATAATCCTAGGGCTTATGTACAGATTTATTCAATATTTGTTGGCTAATTTTGATTCTCTTTTGCAATTGGGATGAGGAAAGAGACTGTAAATGAGTGTCATAAAGCAATAGTTTTCATGGAATAGGTGATGTTCACTGGGCTGCTACCTTCCCTTGCCCAACTACCTCCTAGTCCAACTAACTCCATGCCTCTATTCCTGTTAAAGAAAAAGAATAGCAAAATCCAAAAAAGTGAGGGTGATATTATAAAAGAGAGACCATTAAATCTGCAAACCTCATGCTTTGTTCTTATTTGCAATGCACTTAAAACATACCTCAATTTTCTGCATGTTAGGTTTGGCCATGCTGTAGCTGAGAGCTGTTGCCATCAGCCCATGCTCAAAGAATTTCCCACAGAAATTGTTTCAAACTTCCCCCATGTTCTCCTAGTCACAAAACACCCTCTTGTCTTCAGAAAATCACTTCCTGTTTTATCAGTCTATGGCAGCATTTCTCAGCATTGCACTACTGACATCATGAATCAGATAATTCTTGGTTTTGCGGGCTGCATGTGCATTGTAAAATGTTTAGCAGTATCTTTGATTTCTACCCACTAGATACCAGTAACAATCTCATGGCAATCAAAAGTATCTCCATACATTGCCTAATCTCCACTGGGAGAGAAGAGATCCCCCCAGTTTTAGAGTAACGAGTTTATAGAGACTCCTCTGGCTAAGCCTCCTCAACTTACATAACTGAGACTCTTAAAATAGGAGAGATGAAAGGAGCCACGGAGATTCACTGGTGCAACCACATATTACAGATAAGCCTATAACAGCTAAGCGTTTTCCCCAAATAGACTAACAGTGCAAGACCAATGCATCTAAAATATCAGTGTGACTGTGTCCTTCTAGTATTGAAAATTCTTCACTGGCTCTTCGTACCTCACAAGAGAATATCATAAAGTCCCTTTTATTGATTCACAGTGTCTTCTCTTGTGGTTCTACCTGTCCAGCTTCATAGCTTCCTCAAGCTACTTGCAGAGAGTGGAATGTAGTGTGCTCTCTCACTCATTGGCATGAGATGTTCCTAGCAAACATCTCTGTCCCTCAGTGTCATATTTTGACATTTCTCTGCATATTTGTCAGCTTCTCACCATAAGAATGTAAGATCCATAAGAGCAAATGTCTGGTCTGCCTTCCTTATAATTTCCTCACCAGCACCTTACTCCACAAAGTTGGTAGAAAAATGACTGGAAGCCTCTATATTTTGGCTAATATTTATCTACCTGAAATGCCCCTTAGAAATTCAGTCCAACCTCATCAAAGAGCACACAAAGACACAAATATTCTCCTCTTTTATCAGAATGGATCCTGTGAGTTTCTCCTAAAAACCTTAATGGCTGGGTTGTTCACCTGTCAGTCAGCCAGATGCTCATTCTCAACACCATTGATTTCTAAGAGCAAGTACCAAACGACACCACACTTGTAACCTTAGTGTTTAGTGCCAGTGTTTGGCTCATATTAAATATTTCATTTAAAATGGATGTCTGTATCCCTTACTTCTTCCTTTTCTTTTTTGAGTACAACAGAAGTCGTGTCTCATCCTTCTGGGTATTTTTCATAGTGCGTAGCACAATACCTGGCAAAAAGTAAAGAATTACTTAACATGCTACATCTGTTTCTTCTTCGTCATTGCTTAAAGGTTTTGGGGAGTGCTAGACCGGAAGTTTCAGCTAAGTTTTCTCAGGAATAGCATACATCGTTCATGGGTTTCAGGGTGCTTAGCCACTGTGACCAACACTGCCAGTGCCCTGCACAGACTCTCTTAAGTCCCTCTCACTGCTTTAGTATTTGCCGTTCCCAGCTTCAGGGTGTTTCTGAATGCAAGGTCTGTACCTGCAACTCTTTACTGAGGACTGCCCTTAGCTACCGAGGGCCTTAATACCTTTATGCTGCTATAAAGGAATACCTGAGGCTGGGTAATTTACAAATTTAAGAGATTTATTTGGCTCGTAATTCTGCAGGTTATCCAAAAAGCACAGGGTCACCATCTGCTTCTGATGAGGTCCTCAGCAAGCTTCCAGTCATGGTGGAAGAGGGAGGGGAGCCTGCATGTGCAGAGACCACATGTAGAGAGATAGGAAGCAAGACAGAGAAGGGGGAGGTGCAGGCTCTTATAACAACCAGCTCCCATGGGAACTAATAAAGCAAGAACTCACTCAGTGTTTTCAGAGGACATTAATCTGTTCATGAGGCATCCATCCCCATGACCAAACACCTTCCATTATGTCTCACCTCTAACATCAGGGAATAAATTCCAACATGAGATTTGGAAGCGTCAAACATTTAAACTATATCATGGAGTCTCGTTAACTACTGGTGCAGGAAAGGGGACATTCTTGGAGGGCCCCACACCCACTCCCAATTCCTGCATCCAAGCATAGGGGAACACAGAAGCTCAACTGCCTCACCTCAGGTTCAAACACCAGGAGCACAGCTTACACTCGCACTCCCTTCTGGGCTGGACTGAAGCAACCCTCTGGGCACTTTGCCTGAAATTACACGCTGGCCTTGTTTCTTTCCCCTTCCTCTCTTCCCCCCCTCCCCCAATTCCTCATTTGTTTCCCTTGGAAGCAATTTCTTTATAAATCATTGACACAGAAACTCTTATCTCAGGGTCTGCTTCTGACAGCAAACCCAGGACAACATCTTCCTCTCTCCTAATTGTTAACCAGCAGGGGAGGGAGTGAGGAGCATATCTGAATCACTTGAGGACATGACTGGGTACATAATTTGTGAGGCTGTCTTAGTCCATTCAGCTGCTATAACAAAAGCCCATGAGCTGGGTGGGTTATAAACAGCAGAAATTTACTTCTCATCATTCTGGAGGCAGGGGAGTCCAAGATCAAGGTGCCAGCCAATCCAGTGTCTGAGGAGGCATCTTCTTGCTGTGTCCTTGTGTGATGAAAGGGGAAAGGGGGCTCTCTGGAGCCTCTTTTCTAGGGGCTCTAATCCTATCCGTTAAGACTCTGCCCTGATGCCTTAATCACCTCCCAAAGGCCTTACCTCCTAACACCAACATTATGGGGATTCGAATTTCAACATATGTGTTTTGGGGGATGTAAACATTCAGACCATAGCAGGAGCTGAGTGTGTCTGAAAATCTGGGTCTCTTGTTCTTATTATGAATTTCAATATCAGCAACAGCAGAGCATTGATCTAAGTGTGGTTTCCTTCTGGGCCTGGGTACTTGTGTGACTGCCCAGATTGCATGCCCATGAGGTCAGCCCTACCTAATAGACTTCGTCA
The DNA here is from genome assembly GCF_000001405.40 of Homo sapiens. Classification (NCBI taxonomy): domain Eukaryota; kingdom Metazoa; phylum Chordata; class Mammalia; order Primates; family Hominidae; genus Homo; species Homo sapiens. Next base: position 6,028,850 of record NC_000002.12, on the reverse strand, counting down.
ATCTCCCATATCCAGCTACTTTTCCACAACCACCAACAACCAATAACACATGTGCACAGCCTTTGTATGGATGCTTTTTCCTCTCTCTAAACAGCATTTATTTAAAGTATTATCGTATAAAAATAGCTGTAAAAAATGGAAGACATATGGGGAAATTTTAAAATATCAATAGCTTCAGCAAAATGATCTATGACACATGAGGGAGCTTTAAGATTCATTGCCTGTGGGCAAAATTCTGGACACATAGTAGTCACTCAATAAATGCTCATTGATTGGCTGATAAGGTTTCAAATATTTGACATTTTTAATTGGTTTCCTTTGCACTTGGCACTGTTGGAAACACATAGGATTGGAATATATGAAAGTTAGAAAGGACCGAGGACCTCAGTAACCATAATTCAAAAATCTGATTTTGCGGATCTGAGACTAATATATTTTAATGATTTCCCTACAGTCATATATCTGAGATACAGTAACAAAGAATTATGTTGCTCGTCATTTTTTAAGAGCCATAGGGTATAAGTTATAATTGTTTATGGGATTCTTATTAATATAAACTTAAGAATTACGAAAGGGACAGTGAAGCTCTGTTAAAAGACAAGTTTGAAAGTGGACTATTTACCTATAGCCATACAACAATGAGTTACTACAAAATTTAGCTGCTGAATACAACAAACATTTAGTCTGAAGAAAGAATTTAGACATGCTGGGATGGGAGTACAGAGAAATTCTATGTGAAATGGGTGAGGTCTCTAGATAAAGAAACTCAGAGTTCATGTGAAGAGAAAATCCCCTGCTTCAGATAAAGAACTAGATCTTAACTGTGGGCAATTTGGAATAAAATGAATGCCTGTGAAAGTCACATAATCCATGGTTTTACTTTCAGGAGGTAAGTATCAGCTCTGTGCATGAGGAATTGAAGAGAAGAGGGAAGTGCTATGATTAAAGATGCCCTGCAAAAATTATTGGTGAGAGGAATGAAGGTATAAACTAAAGACACAGCAATGGATAGGAGAGGACCAATGTGGGAGCTACCATGGAGGCAGAATGGGTCAGACTTGGCAGTGGGTTGACTAGAGGCTTGGCAGTAGCCAGGAAGAAAGAAGGGAAGTTAAAATGAACTGCAGGTGTTACAGCCATGAAATGAAATAGCATCTCAGCTCCCAGCAAGCAAGGCCCATTCTTCTTACAAAACCCCTTACAGATTCCTATACTTCCTCTAAAGAACGTTTGCTTGAGATAAGGTAGCAGATAAGTTGTTCCTAGGAAGTACAGCAAGTGCAAGAAGGACAAGCTAAGGTTTTTGAGCCAATCTTTTTGGTATTGATGAGAATACTGAATTCTGGTTTCAGGAGCTCAATCATTGGAGCTTCATTTACAGATTCAGGGGCCAGGGTAGATCTATTGGTGATCTAGACAAGAGCTATCCTGTCAGAGGGGTAGTAAAATTATGTGAAAAGACAAGTGCAGGACATACTGGTTACCTAAAGCCCCATAACCAATTACCCCAAATCTTAGCAGCTTAAAACAACACACAATGCCTGAGGGCCAAGAGTCAGGGAGTGACTTAGCAGGTGCTCTGGCCCAGAGTCTTTCACAGGCTGAGTCAAGCAGTCCTGTGAAGGCTTTATCTGTGATTCCAAGGAGCTAATTCATATGGCTGGAGGCTGGAGGCCTCAGTTGTTTGTCATGTGAGCCTCTCCACAGGGCAACTGTCTTCCATGAATCAAGTGATAAAAATGGGAGAGAAAGAGAGAGCAGGAGAGTGAGACAAAGAAAGTAAGTGAAACAGAAAGGCAGAAAGAGAAAGGCAGACAGAGAGAGAAAAAAAAGAGAGAGAAAAGAGAGAGACAGACAGACAGAGATGGAAGAGATGCAGAGACAAGCACATACCAGAGGGAGATCAAGCAGGAAGCTGATGAAACTTTTACGACCTATCTCCAAAGTCAGACACAATCGTTCCTCCTTATTTTGCTAGAAACAAGTCCATCCCACACTCAAGAAGAGGGAAATTAAACTCTACCTCTTGAAACAAGAGTATCTTAAAATGTAGAAATATATTTTTAAAACCACCACAATGGGTGAGCTGGACTGCAAATGAAAAAGTGTCAGGAAGATGGAGAAGACTCTGGAAAGAGAAAAAGGAGGAAAATTAGGATTAATAGATCCCTTGGCAAACACAGACAGAGGAGGGGAGTACAAATCCCTCTATACATAGCTCTGATGCCGTGTTGAGCTTAATACCTTATTGCTGCAAGAAAGAAGTGGAGAGTTCCATGCCAACATGTATTTGCCAGGTATGTGAACCAATAGCCAAGTGCCTCATCTTCCTATACAATTAGGTGATATTTCAGCTGACCCATTTTTAAAAAAAATTTCCCTCCCCAAAATTGCTACAGAACCATACTCCATTATCATATAATAAGGAAATGGCTTAGGTATTTCTTTCTCAAATCTCTTTAAATAGACAAGTTGCAAAAACAAACATGGCAACAACCTGGGCTCTTGTAAGTGCCTGCCATTTCCCGGGCTACCGGGCTTGTGCATCCTCTTCAATGCTCATCTTGCAGACTTGTCCCTGCAAGGGGCTGCTATGTCTGCATCTGCAGCGGCTCATTGATTCTGCTCTTTTGGCCAAGAACAACTGATGGACATGCAAAATACATGCTTGGGTGACTAATAAATAACCACGTGCAATGTCTTGGCTCCCAAATGAATTTCCATAACTCATTTAACCTTGGATGCTTGGCCAAGACAGTATGTTCTTATTGTTTCCCCTACTTTTCCAGGTATAACAAAAGTTAAGACATAAATAACAATTGTAAAGGATTTATAGCTAAAACATCTCAGATGTTTGTTGTATTTGTCACTGGCTGGAAGAAATAGAAGACACTCTGAGGTAGCGGATGAAGCCCTAGATTTCAGTCCAAAGCCCTGGATTGACAACTGGCTTGGTGGCCACTTAAGTGAAAACTCTGGGAAGGTTGATCCTTGGGAGCATGAGATGAGTGCTCTTTTTTGCTTGTCCATTGGTGGACTTTGGTTGGCAGTTGCCAGTTTCGTAACAACCTCTCTTTTACAGATCCTCTGGCGGCGGATGCATTTCAGTTTCAACCGGTTCTGCCTCGGTAGCAAGCTGTGGAGGAGTTTCTCCTCACTTAAACCTCCAGGGATTATTCAATTATTTGTTTATTTATTTTGGCACCCACATATTAATCTGACTCTTAGTTTGTAATATCTTCTGCCAAGAAATCGGATTAGAAGCAACAATCCCTTGGGCTTTAGTCAAATGTGGCTTTCCCTTGAATCCATCATGTGCCTTAGAAAGGAGACTTAGCACTTCTCTCTTTACAGGAGGCTTCCCTGCTCCCCTGGCTTTCCTGTCAACCTCTTGCTCCCTGTGTTATCTTAGTCTAAGGGGTGCCACCATAAATAGGGTTCACAGAGTACTGTTCTAATATCCTGGCCATTGACAGATTGTGTGGTTCCCCCAGGGCCTTCAATATGAAGCCACTGAAAAGCATGATGGAGTAAAAATGAAGGCCCTATTTGGCTAGTCTTCACTCCACAAAAGAAAATTTTTAAAAAAATCAGATGCATAGTGTTCAATTTGATTCCTGTGTCCTGAACACAACATTTGTCTTTAATGCCGGAGGTTTCTTAGAATGTAAAAAAGCATGTTTCAGCAAAGGGAGGCCAATTTTCAAAATCACTCATTTGGCAAATGCACCAGCTTTCAAGCTGAAAAGCCCTGCTTCTGGTTCCTCACAGTTTACCTAATCCAAAAGCAGTGGTAATCATGTTAAAAAAAAAAAAAAAAAGTTATCAGCTCTGCCAATAGCCTTGGGCTTTGCTTGCTTCCACAGTAACATACACAAAGAGAGATGGTGACAGTGGGTTTCTTATGCAATTGAAATGCACAGCCATCCATATAGAACATGCATGTCTGTTTGAAGAGCTACCGGGCACAAAATTTATGGCACCCTTGATTTTACAACTGCACCACCCTCACTATAAATACTTTCATGGGATCAGCCAGTTTATTTCTTGGCTAATAACTGATCCATTCAAGCAGAAATGTCTGAATAAAGAGTTCTACTACTACCAGATGCGGTATTTGATCAGACTATAATGAACATATCTCATTTTACTAACACTAGGATAACTGACATAATAAATTTCTCATTGTTGTATGGATTGAGTTCTTCCTAAAAAAAATTAAAAAAAAAACTTGGAAGAAGACTAGCACTTTTATAATTTGGGCTGGCCTTCAAAGTCTACAGGAATCTCTATAAATCTGCTTTCCAGCGTTATAAAATGATGCGTCCTCAGCATACTCTTCTCTTTCTTGATGTGGAATTGCATGTGCCTACCAGAGCAGAATCAATGAGGGATGAAAATGCTACAAGGATATCTTGCTACAGCCATTCTCTCCTAAACCATCAATTTGCAAGAGATTGACTAATTAAATCATGCCTTGGGTCTTTCTTTCAACAGGAAAATGCAGTTAGCTAATCTGAGCTCATATACTAATAATAGAAATAGGCATCTTCACATAGAAGACATTATCTGGAGTCTCACAAAATATTCTCACTTGTTTGTATTTAATGCCTAAGGTGAGCATTGCCTTTTTCCAACCTCATGTCAAACACATGTTTAACATAGAATAGTCCCTTAAGAAACTGTAGGGTCAGTGTGGACCAAAGGATGCTAATGGCTGCTGTTGGGTGGCACGGCCGGGTGTTGGTTCCCTGGGACTGTCATAACAAAATACCACAAACTGGGTGAATTGAAACAACAGAAATTTATTGCCTCATAGTTCTGGAGGGCAGATATCAGGGTATCACCAGGGCTATGATTCCTCTGAAACCTAAAGATGAGAATCCTTCCTTCCACCTTCTCCCTCTGGTGTCGGGTGGCAGTACTTGGTGTTCCTTGGTGTACTGCTGCATCAGTCCAGTCTCTGCCTCCATTGTCTATGGTTGTCTTCCCTCTGTGTGTCTGAGTTTACACATGGCGTGCTCCTCTTTGTGTTTCCTCTTCTTAAAAGGACATTAGTCATATTGGATTAAGGGTCAATCCTACTCTGTTATGACCTCCTCTTAACTAATTATATCTACAATAATCCTATTTTCAAATACAATCACATTCTAAGGCATTGGTGGTTAGGACATCCACATATCTTTATAAGGGAAAAAATTCAATCCATAGAAGGCTACCTATGCCCTAGCTGGTTTTGGTTTCCATTTAACAACGAGGATTATACACAGATTTGGTGTATATCAGTCAGATGAATACCTTTGTCAGTGCTTTGTCAGAAAGAATGGCAAGCAAAGATGTCTGTATCCAGTCCTATTGGCACTAACAGATCCCAAGCAACCAAGTGCAATGTTACCACTTCCCATTTACCCTGGGACTCTCCCAGGGAATCATCAGTGGGTTCCAGGTGGATATGGGAAGGGGCACCACTGACTGAGCAGAAGAAACTCCACCCATTGCTGTTACCTTCATGAATCATCATTCTCAGGGGATTTTGATTCAGGAATCCAGTCTAGTCTTTGCGCCTAGAATTGTTTTATCTCAGAAGAGAAAATCATGCTGACTCAATTCTTCATACCCAAACCATAATCTAAGTATGTTCGTTTTTCATAGAAAACCTGTGCCACAGAAGCTGGAATGTCCATTTCAGTGTGAATGTGAATTTATTTTCTGTAGGCTGAGCTATACAGGAAGTGAAATCAGAAATTGCCTTAGTGAGACTGGAAACTAAAGGAGGGAAGACAGTTGGCAGTTCAGTTATTATGTTATGAAAGTCTGGGACAGCCACCTTCTTAGATTTGTTTCATATAAAAATGGATAATAAAATAATGAGTATAGCTGACTTTTATTACACAGTTACTTTATGTTAAGCATTGTACTAAGTATTTTTTGCACATTAACATTTTTTAGTCTTTTCAACAATGGTATGAAGTAGATGATATTATTATTCTCGTTTTACAGATCAAGACACAGACAGGTGAAGTGCCTTCCTCAGTATTCACAGTTAATAAAAGGCAGCCCCACAGTGAGAACTCTTATCGGCTGGTTTCCAGAAGCCAAACTCTTTTTTATTTTTTTGGAGACAGTCTCACTGTTGCCCAGGCTGCTCATTGCAACCTCTCTCACTGAAATCTCTGCTCACTGCAACCTCCGCCTCCCTGGCTCAAGTGATTCTCCTGCCTCAGCCTCCCAAGTAGCTGGGATTACAGGCACCCACCACCACGCCCAGCTAATTTTTGTATTTTTAGTAGAGATGGGGTTTCACCATGTTGGCCAGGCTAGTTTCAAACTCCTGACCTCAAAAGATCCTCCCACCTCGGCCTCCCAAAGTGCTGGGATTACAGGCATGAGCCACCATGCCCATCCCCAGAAGCCAAACTCTTAATCAGCATGTTACTCTGTCTGCAGAAAGTCCCTTCCCTGGTCAGTGGTAGATTCACACTGCTGGCTGCTCCCCACTGCCAGTCTCTGATTCTACATTTCTGTGCTGATTTCATGTCCTGCTCTTGACAAACACTAATTAGTTAATATCCATGATTGGTCCAAAGAGAAGTCTTACTATTCTTCTTTCTGGATTGAAAGACATTTTGTTTTTCATTTCTGTGCTGTGAAAGGAAAGTAAATCTTGGGACCCCAAACTCACTAAGCCGAATGGAAAAGTCAAGCTGGAAACTGGGTCAGGCAAACTTGCCTCCCATTTGATTCCTAAATAACATGGCTACAAAGATAAAAAGCTACATACCTCCCCCACATTTTGCCCACAGGGAAATTCCTGGTGGCCCTCAAGATCTTTACCCTAAAGCATTTCTACTAACGTTCACCATGGCAATGTAAATTGATAGCTTATCTTCACAGGTGCGGGGACAGAGGACAGAACTCAGAGTCATCCTTCTGCTAACCTGAGACAAATGCATATCTGATTGTTTCCTCTGCCCTATTGTCATTGTCTACATTACCTTATATAAATATTCAGATTCCCTGAGCCAGACAAAGGCATGAATGACCATTTTCCCTATCACCTCTCACATGAAAATTGTGTATTTCCCCAGTATCCACATTTTTCTCTTTAAATATTGAAGCCCTCAAAATCATCTTTGGAGAAAGCCATAGACTTATCTTCCAGGCACGCATCCTTAACTTTGGCAAGTAAACCTCTTAAAGTGAATGCTACTTGCTTTGGTCATTTTCTGATTTACAGTGCATGACACAAAATAGATTCTTTTGCTCAGTGACTGGTAGTAATAAGTGGCAGGAAGAAAAAATGAATTAGCATTAGAGGCCATGGAGTGACAAGGAAAGCCATGTTAGATAGGATGGTCATGGAGATGATATCTGAATTTAAACCTAAACTAAGTGAGAGGAGACATGAAAACAGCACTAGCAAAGTGCCCTAAGGTGCACAAGGAACCACAGTGAGTGTGCCACCCAGAGCAGGAAAGAATGATAGATGGGGGCAGAGGGTAGCTGAGCCCAGGGACAGGAGCTTCTTACACATCTCAGGGGTGATGGGAATATACGGAAGGTTTTGCACAAAGACATGTTATTTGACTTATGTTTATAAATAATAATTTAGGCTATACTAAAAAATACGTTATAGGGTCAAGAGTAAAAGCAGGGTGTATTCGGTCTGTTCTCACACTGCTATAAAAAAATACCTGAAACTGGGTCGTTTATAAAGAAAAGAGGTTTAATTGGCTCATGGTTCTGCAGGCTGTACAGGCTTCTGCGTCTGGGGAGGCCTCAGGAAACTTCCAATCATGGCAGAAGGCAAAGGGGAAGCTGCCACATCTTACATGGCCAAGGCAGGAGGAAGAGGGCGAAAGGGAAGGTGTCACACGCTTTTAAACAACCAGGTCTTATGAGAACTCACTCACTGTCACAAATACAGCAAAGGGGAAATCCACCCCCATGATCCAATCACCTCCCACCAGGCCCTTTCTCCAACACTGGGGATTGAAATTCAACATGAGATTGGAGCAGGGACACAAATCCAAATCATACCACAGGGAGAACAGGAAAACCCTCTTGCAATGATGGTGGCTTCCCCGGGCCTGGTTGATGTAGGAGGAACACAGACTTCACATATGTGGCAGCTGCTGGAACCACAGGGACCCTTTGACAGATATTCCATCCGTCTTCCCATTAGAAGGGCAGAACTTCGCTTCTTGGAGATCTGTCTGCTACTTGCATGAACTCTCCCCAACAATTGGCATTGTAACACCTCCCCTCTAGTTAGGGACTCCAAACCCGTTCAGGACCAAGGGGTGGTGGCCACCTGGCCTCCATATGAGTGTGTCTTGAACCAGAGTGTGCATCATATTTTATCCACAGGCCTCACTGCAATGGAAGGAGCGAAGAGAAAGCCCTCATCATAACCAACAAAAAAGTCTAAGGACTTTTGAGAATGACTACTCTGGTCATCTTTGGGAATTTTCTCTGATTGTGCCATCTCCAAGCCATCCCTCCCTCCTCTGAACACCTATTTCACTTACAGATGATTAAACAAAATGTAGCATTTAGTGGTGCCCCTGTTATTTCATGTGTGTGCACTACACCTACCTGAGTGCACACACATGAAGTAGCATGAACAGCAGCAAGGTCCATTTCACCCTCATCATCCTAAAAATAATTAATATTTATCAGGCACCTACGGTATGCCAGATACTATTCTAAATGCTTTACATATATCAAATCATTTAATCCTCATGACAAAACTATGAGGTGGATACGATGATTTTTCATAACTTTCTGATGATGAAGAGACTGAATTATATGAAGATTACAACACTGGATGAAGATACCCCTCAACCCAAGCAGTTTTCCCCGGACTTCTACTCTTCCACTGAGACACACGGCTTCTTGTGTTGACCAGCACAGCAATGAGCACTGAATGTAGAGAGATGACTAAAAGCAGATCTCTTACTTATGGGTTAACTAGCCAGTAATAAAATATTTTAACAGTGCATTTACAATTATGCTGGAAGGGGAAATATGAGAGAGTAGAAGATGAACACACTCAGAATGTGTGAACTCTGTTGCTCGGCCCCTCCAGGAGCCAGCCTGAAGACAGATCACACAGACCTGGGCTCGGACCCTTCACTCTGTCCATGGCCTCCATATTCAATCATGTACCATCACTCAGCATCCTGACCTTGGTCTGCTAATTAACTCAGTAAATGTTTATAAAGTATGCACCAGGTAGTACGGGCCTCATTGCCAACTCCCTGGGCTGTGGCTTCACTCAGGCCTGTAGCTTCTATTCTGTACCACACCTGTGGACTTCAGTTTTGGCATTTCTTCTCAACTACAATGTGGATGCTTCCCTAGGGTTATATTATTTGAACCAGGCCACTGCCTTCCCAAGAAGGCAAATAAGTTGAGATATGGAAAGTGATTTAAAAATAAAATATAAGACTGAAAGTTCCAGTGACAAGTACACATTCCAATAAATGGTGGTGGTGGCTAGAAGGACACACACGTCCTGCCTGCACCTAATTCTCCCGTTGTTTCTGTACATGGTGACTCCTTCAGAACTGCTCTGAATTCTATCTGTTCCTAATTCCTTACTTCCCTACAAAGCTTAAAAATAGTACATTTTCTCTCCATATTTCCTAATATACTGTGAATTAAACTTACAAAGCCAGCTAATCAATAAATAGCAATCCAACATCTCAATGCTATGTAGGCTGTGCACAAGATACAAGAAGAAAATATGTTCTTATTTTTCATATCATCTCAATTGCCTTTCAATATTAACACCATTTATTCTACAAGCACTTATTAAGCACCCACTATTAATGATACACTATTTTGGGCAACTGAGAAACAGCAGCAAAGAAGGCAGACAAAACTTCCTGCCTTCGTGTAACTTACCATCTAAAAGAGAAACAAATGACTATGGAGAATTCTGATACTGACGACAGAAATAAAGAAAATTAAACAAGGTAAGAGAATGAAGAGTAAAAGATGGCAGACAGGCTGTTCTTAAAGGTTGTATTAGGGTTCCCCAGAAGGACAGAACTACTAGGGCATGTATATATATGAAATATATATGTATGAAATATATATGAAATATATATGAAATATATGTATGAAATATATATGAAATATATATGAAATATATGTATGAAATATATATGAATATATATATGTGAAAGAGAGTTTATTAGGAAGAATTGGCTCAGAAGATTACAAGGCAAAGCCCACCATAGACTTTCTGCAAGATGAGGAAAGAGAGAAGCTGGAAATAATTTAGGCCAAGTCCGAAAGCCTCAGAACCAGGGAAGCAAACAGTGCATCCTTCAGTCTACCGCTGAAGTCCCGAGAGCCCCTGGGGAAGCAGCTGGTGCAAGTCCCAGAATCCAAAGGCCAAAGAATCTGGAGTCTGATGTCCAAGGGCAGGAGGGGCAAAAGCAAGTGTCTGGCATGGGAAGGAAAAAGATAAACAGAAAACTCAGCAAGCTACTCATCCCCCTTCTTCTACCTGCTCTGTTCCAGCTTCACTGGCAGCCGATTGGATAGTGCCCACCCACATTGAGGGTAGGTCTTTCTGTCCCAGTCCACTGACTAAGATGTCAACCTCCTCTGGCAGCACACTCCCAGACACACCCAGAAACAATACTTTACCAGCCATCTAGTCATCCTTCAATCCAATCAAGTTGACACCTAATATTAACCATCCCAAGTAATGTTCCACAAAGGCCCCTCTGAGAGCACAAAGGTACAGAGCTTGTCACGTGATTGTCTGGCAGAAGAACGTTCCAAACCATGAAACTGCAATTGCACCAGTCCAAGCGCAGATCTGAGCTTGCATGCTGAAAAGACAGAATAAAGATGCTCCGTGGTTGGCTGTACAGTACAGCCTAGAGTATGGCAGGGAGTCAAGTTGGAAATGTAACTGGAAGCCAAATGTCTTAAGTATCTTACAGACCAGGATCAGCTATTTGGATTTCATTCTAATTGCACAGAGAAGCCAGGCTGCGTGGCTCTGGGACACTACTCGAGAGAGTGGTATGACGTGCGTTTGAATTTTTAAAGAATTGCTCTGGCTGTTGTGTGGAGAATAGGTATGGAGAGGATACATATCTCTATGTGGAATCAGAAGTGGGAAAATCCGAGAAGAATCCACGAGGAGAAAGAAGGAGCATCAGTAAGGGTGACTTCTAGGTAAACATAAAAGACATAAAAGAGGTACAAACACATGTTTTGTTCTTAACTCTGTTCTATCTGATTGAAAAGAAACCGCCTACACCAGTAATTATAATACTGTGTTTGATGTGCTTATAATAGATAAACATGTAATTTGTGTGATCATAACAGTGCACCGGAGGAGGTGGAAATGGATGGAGCATCACAGGAGCAAAGTTTTTGTATACAATTGAAATCAACTTTGTATTAATCCAAAGTCGATTTTATGAATTAAGATGTTGATTTTAACCCCAGGACAACCACTAAAAAAAATTCAAAACAGCCAGGAGCAATGGCTCACACCTGTAATCCCAACACTTTGGGAGGCTGAGGCAGGAAAATCATTTGAGGCCAGGAGTTCAAGACCAGCCTGGGCAACATAGAAAGACACTATCTCTACAAAAGAAATGCATTTAAATTAGCTGGGTGTGGTGGTGCCTTCCTATACTCCCAGCTACTCAGGAAGATCAGGTGGGAGGATCCCTTGAGCCCAGGAGATCAAGACTGCAGTCCGCATTCCAGCCTGGGCAAGAAAGTGAGATGATATCTCAAAAAAGAAAAAGAAAGAAAAAGAGAGAGAGAGGAAAGAAAGAAAGAAAGAAAGAAAAAGAAAGAAAAAGAAAGGAAAAAGAAAGAAAGAAAGAGACAGACAGAAAGAAAGAAAGAAAGAAAGAAACTCAAAAATATAATAGAAGACAAAACAAGAAAATTAAAGTGTTATACAAGAAAATACGTACTTAACATAAAATAAGTCAGGATAGTGGAGCAAAGAAGACATAAAAATAAAATGGTTCACAGAAAGAACTACAAATGAAATTAGGATGCACTTTAAGATGAATGAAGACAGAAACAGAACATAAAAACACTTCTGGGATACAGCTATAGTAGAACTGAGAGAAAAAAATGTACATGTTAATGCCTATGTTTAAAGTGAAGGAGAACGCTAATAAATATCTAAATACTCTCCTTAAAAAACTAGAAAAAGAAATGAACTAAATATTAGAAAAACAATAGACAATGTAACAAAACCAAAAGTTGGTATTTTGAAAAGATGAACAGAATTGATAAACTAGACTGAGCAAGAAAAGAGAGAAAACCTGCAGTTCTGTAAAAGTAAAGAGATCAAATCTGTAATTAAAAAACAAAACAAAGCAAAAAAAATTCCCCACAAAGAAAAACCAGGACTGGCTGGCTTTATGAGTGTTTTCCACCAAATATATATATATGTGTATATATATATGTGTGTGTGTGTGTGTGTGTGTATATATATGTATATATGTGTGTGTGTGTGTGTGTATATATATACATATATATGTGTGTGTATGTATATATATGTGTGTATATATACATATATATGTATATATACATATATGTGTGTGTATGTGTGTGTGTGTGTGTGTGTGTATATATATATATATATATATATAGAGAGAGAGAGAGAGAGAGAGAGAGACAGAATCTTGCTCTGTTGCCCAGGCTGGAGTCCAGTGGCACGATCTCAGCTCACTGCAACCTCCTCCTTCTGGGTTAAAATAATTCTGCCTCAGCCTCCTGAGTAGCTGGGATTACAGGCACCTGCCACCATGCTTGGCTAATTTTTGTATTTTTCCAACAAATATTTAAAGAAGAATTAACGCCAACCCTTCACAAACTATTTCAAAAAGTAAAAAAGGAGGAAACACTTCTCGTATTCTATGAGGCCAGTATTACCCTGATACCAAGATTAGACAAAGACATCACAATAAAAGAAAATTACAGGCCAAAATTCCTAAAAAGTGTAGATGAGATGCAACAATCTACAGCGAAATACCATCAAACCAAATCTAGTAAAATACGTAAAGGATTATATACCATGACTAACTGGTATTTAACACAGGAGTGCAAGATTGGCTCAACATACCAAAGTTAATCAATGTAATAATGCACTATATTCGTAGAATAAAGGAAAAATATCACATGATAATCTCAACTGATGCAGAAAAAAGTGACAATATTACTCATTTTCACCAGAAAAACATTCACAAGAAATTGAAGAAAACTTTCTCAACATGATAAAGAATATCTTTTAAAAAACTAAGTTAATATCCAACTTTATGGCAAAAGACTGACAGATTTTCTCCTAAATTAGAAACAAGACAAGATTTCCACTATCGCCACGTATATTAAATATTTTACTGGAGGTTCCAGCTTGGACAATTAGCAAGAAAAGGAAATAAAAGTCATACATACTGAAAAAGAAAAAAAGAAAAAACCTTTTGTGCAAATGGTATAATCTTTAATATAAAAATTCCTAAAGAAGCTGAAAAATTATTATAACAAATAAGTGAATTCAAGGCTGCAAAATATATGACAAATACACAGCAATAAATTATAGTTCTATACGTTAACAATTAACAGTTGAAATATGAAGTTAAAATTATTTTATTTACAATGGCATCAAAAAATAAAATTATTAACATAAAAATTACTAAAGTACAAGTTTTATACACTGAAGACTACCAAAATAAATGCCTGAATTAAAGAAGACCTAAACAAATAGAAAAGTATCCCTTATTCATGGTTTGGAAAACACAACATTGTTAAAATCCCACACTGTCTCTAGATTTATTTATTTATTATTATTATTATTATTTGAATCGGTGTCTCGCTCTGTCACCCAGGCTGGAGAGCAGTGGTGCGATCTTGGCTCACTGCAACCTCTGCCTCCCGGGTTCAAGCAATTTCCCTGCCTCAGCCTCCCAAGTAGCTGGTACTATAGGCATGCACCACCACAGCCGGCTAATTATTTTTGCATTTTAGTAGAGACAGGGTTTCACTATGTTGGCCAGGCTGGTCTCAAACTCCTGACTTCAGATGATCCACCTAACTCGGCCTCCCAAAGTGCTGAGATTACAGACATAAGCTTGTCTACAGATTTAATGCAGCCTCTATATAAATTGTATATAAATTGTAGCTTTTTGTATAAATTAACAAATGAATCCTAGGATTCATATGAATATGCAAAAGACCCAGTATAGCCAGTGTTTTAGAGAATAAAGTGAAAGAACTCACATTTCCAAAAGCTTAAACAATGTGGTCCTGATATGAGGATAAACAAACAATATCAATAGAATGGAATTGAGAATCCATCTATTTATGATGAATTCGTTTTTAACAAGGCATCAGAAAAACTCAGTGGGAAAAAAACAGTCCTGTTAGGAAACGATGCTAGAAAACTGAATACCCACATGTCTATTTCACACCATATAGAAAAATTAACTCCAAGCTGATCACAGACTTAACTATAGAACTGAAACTGTAAAACTCACAGCAGGAAACATAAGAGTAAAACTTGGTGATCTTGATTTAGGTAATAGTCACTTAAATATAATAGCAAAAGGTCAAGTGACTAAACAAAATACAGATACATTTGACTTTATCAAAATGAAAAACTTCTGTGCTTCAAAATACAACTTCAAAAAGTGAAAAAACAATTCACAGAATGTGAGAAAAATATTTGTAAATTATGCATATGATATGAGATTGTATCCAGAACAATATATATATATAATTTGTGAATATATATGTGTACATATATATATACAAATAAATTCTTACAACTGAACAATAAAATGACAGTCTATTTTTTAATAAAAAAAGGATCTCAATACACATGTTTTCACAGAAAAACAGACAACAGCTATGGCGTAAAGGTGAAGAAGTTGGGACCCTCAAATATTGCTAATATGAAAGCAGAATGATATTTATTTGGGAAAATATGTTATCACTTCCTCAAAATATTAAACAGAGTTATCATACTACTCAGTATTCTACTCTTAGTGGAACTCCAAGAGAACTGAAAACATATGTTCATACAAACACTTACACAAAGATATTCATAAGAGCATTATTCCTAATAGCCAAAAAAAGAGAAACAATCCAAATGTGAATCAACTGGTGAATAGGTAAATAAAATGCAGTATATTCATAAAATGAAAACTTTTTTATTTAGCCTTGGAAAGGAATGGAGTAATGTACATGCTACAACACAACTAACTTTGAAAACGTTATGCCAAGTGAAAGGATCAAAAACAAAATGGTCACATATTATATGATGCCATTTTCTGTTTTGATTCCATTTATATTTTATAATGTATAAATGGAATCAAAACAGAAAGTATGTTAGAGGTTGTCTGGGGTTTGGTGGAGGGAGGATGGGGAACAATTGCTTGTGAGTATGAGGTTTCTCTGGGGGGTGATGAAAATGTTTTGAAATTAAATAGTGGACTACTTTGTGAATACTATAATAAAAATATTGAATTTTGATCATCACAACAATAAATTTTAGGGGACGTAATTCATAAGTTAATGTAAATTATTGGCATTACAAAAACATAGCCTTTTATTGGCTTACAATTCTGTAAGTACAGCCATGATATGGCTGGGTTCTCTGCTTAGGGTCTCATAAGGCAAAATTCAAGGTGGTGTCAGGCTGAGCTCTCCTCTGAAACTTGGGATCCTCTTCTGTGCTAGATTTTGTAGTTGGCAAAATTCAGTTGCTTAGAAAGGAATAGCACTGTGGTCACTGTGTCTTTCCTTGCTGTCAACCAGAGGCCACTCTCAGCTCCCAAGGGCCACCCACATTCCCTGCCACTTGGTCCTCTTCATTTCAACGCCAGCAATGGGCAAAATCTTCCTTGAGAAAATGCTCTCGCACACTTCAGAACTCTTTATTCAGGATGAACCTTGTCTCTTTTGATTAGGTCAGTGCTGTCCAGGGCGATCTCCCTTTTATAAGCTGGCTGTGCTATAATAACCTGCCTTCTTCATGGGAATGATATTCCATCCCATTTGCAGTCCCAGAGATTGTACCTGGTGCGTACACATAGGGCTGATTGTCTGAGTGGACATCTTATCCTTCTGCCAATCACAAATTGCTTGCTTAAAGCCGTCCTGGTTTTATGCTCATCCCACCCTGTTTTTCTCTTCAGTGTTGCTCTGCATACACTCTTCAGCACAGTCACACAGTCTAGCAAGGAGCAGCAACTTTAGTGAGACTCTAATGGTGTTTTTAGACTAAAAACCAAAGGCATCAGAACCATGCCAGTCACCCTCACTCTGAGGATATGTGCAGGTCAACGCACTCAACATTCCTTCTCACATGTATTCTAGGCATCGTGCTCAACGTTAAAGCCTTCTAGGCATGCTCCTATGATTGTTCTAGAAATCTTAGTCTTATTTTCTATATTTGGAAATACAACCCTTAGAAGAATTATGTGTGTTTATGTGTATGTGATGGAGATAACATGTGTGTGGGTGAGAAAGACAAAGATGACTGACAGAAACATTGCTTTATTGCTGCTATTGCTTCAAGCCATTCTGCTCAAAAATGGGAAATAACATGAAAATCAATAGAACATAATAAAAGTCATCACCGAAGTGAAGAAGGCTGCAGCACAGCAGGCGTATTTCCTGGAATGCTGGTAATTTCTTTCCCTGTTTTCTCTCTCTACTCTCCACAATATGCCTAGCTTCTGAAAACCCAAGGGGCGGGGTGAGCCTTAATTGCAGCCACATGGAGCCTTGGAGGGCTTGGCTTATTGACGTGGCCTCCCTGCAAGAAGCAGAGGCACTGGCCAAATGACTATAATTGACCCAGACAGCAATCACAGAACATTTTGGCTTTGCAAAGTAGTTTTATTCACCAGTCATGATATAAGATAAAAACTGTGGGCCTATGACTTGTCTTCAAAGAAATGTTCTTACCTGTTTTGCAAAAGCATAGTTGGGTTAACTTTTCTCATCTATATAATATGGGGAGATGAAATTCACCCTGGTTTTATAAGTCGCATATAAAAGATATGTCTTTTTTGAAATGTGTGTTTACTTACATAAGAATCCGATTTTAATTAATAACATGTGATGCTTTTATAGGTTACAATTTTTTTTGCTATGGGGCAGTCAGAAGATTTTACTTGATACATTGTAAAAACCCTAAAACAACTCTTTGAGATGCATTTAATCTTCATTCTTTTCTAGATCAGAAAAGTAAAGCTCTCTAGATGTTACGGCTACTTACACATGCTAAAAGTTAAGTGAACTGCAAGGCCTTCAATTTGCATTGACTGCTTTTCACTTTCTGCAGCACCACCGGCCTCTGTTATTCGTCAAGACACCGACGCATTGCTTTCCCAGGAACTTTAATAAGACAATGCTGCATTTTATCAAAGAAACATTTTACAAATTTATTATTGCGCATTCTTTGTCTAGTGGAAAAGACATTTATAACTAGATGTACCTTGAATCATTTTGTAATACGGAATACTAAGCGTGTGGTTCTCACTCATAGGTGGGAATTGAACAATGTAAACACTTGGACACAGGGCGGGGAACATCACACCCCGGGGCCTGTCGTGGGGTGGGGGAGCAGGGGGAGGGATAGCATTAGGAGAGATACGTAAAGTAAATGATGAGTTAATGGGTGCAGCAAACCAACATGGCATATGTATACCTGTGTAACAAACCTGCACGTTGTTCACATGTACCCGAGAACTTAAAGTATTAAAAAAAAAGAAAAATACTAAGCATGTGGAATGAGTGAATTCCTAACAAAACTATCCAACTGCATATAATGCACTAGTAATTGTACATTTTCTTTCTAAGGAACCATTTCAGAATCTTTTCAGACCAAGTTTTGACATAAAGAAGTGTAACTGATTATCCAATAATTGTGCCAATCTTTAGAGCTTTTACTATGGCCATGAAACCAAATACCCAGATGACAATTACCTCAGTTTTTTTAAAGTGTAGCTAGACTCATTCTCTGTAGCAGTTGCTAAGAAGTCATCAAAGCTTGTTCTAAGATCCTTGATCTATCACCCGTCTTTGAACTTCAAAAAAGAGGAGAGTAGAAATTGATCAAAGCTAGAAATAGGGGAAGGCAGGGTGTGGAGTGCCTAGGAATGAAGACTACATTAGCACAAGTGATGGAGATGGTCTCGGTGCCACAGGGAAAGGGCAGGTGTCTATCGAGAAAAGAAATTGGAAGCTGATTCATTCCCCCACTCCCTCATGGAAATAAGCTGCCAGCACATTCGGGAGCTAACTCATGCAGACACCTGCTTTCTTCTGAGGTGGAGCATGAAGAACTCTCAGGAGGTTCCTGGATTTCACTTGGGGTAGGGGCGTGGGTGCCTGCGTTGTCGTAGAGATGTGTTTGCATTGTTCCTGGGTGGCTGTATTTCATTGGGAGGCTGTGGGAGGGTATGCATTTCCCTTCAAAGATGTCTCTATTCCACTGGGAGGTGCGTGCATTGTTAGAACAGTGAGAATGCCTGGTAGTTCTTGTTGGCAAGGGGAGACTCCCAGGAAACCAGCTGAACCAAAGATGGTGGATCACCCATACCAGGAACAAATGCATTATTCAATGACAGGAGGACAGGAAGAAGACAGAGGATCAGTTATACCTTAAATAAACCCACAACGAGTGCTCCAAGGTGAGCCAGCCAGCATTTTGGAACCGCACAGAGGTCACTAACCACATAGGACATTGCCCTTGCAGCACCTCTTTAGAGGAATTATAGGTAATACCCAGAAGACGTAATGTAAGATGAAACCTAAGAGCACGTTACCCCTGCTTTCCTCTGAAGGCTGCAGAGACTGAGTCAGACATAAACCGTGTGATTATGGATCATTTCAAACAAATATGTGAGACAAAAGTATTTATTTATACTAGCCTGGAATTTTTAGTAACTGAAAATGAGTTCATTTTAATGCCTGAACATGATCAAAAAGCTACTGAAACTACCCATTCAGGGATATCAGAAAGAAATAAAAAACAATGAATTGGGTTTGAAGATGGTGATGAGAGAAAGATAAACTTTCTTAACTTGCCTGTCAAGTTCAGCTCGTGCAATGTGTCAGTCACAGATAGCCATGAAGGCACGCAAATATATTTAAGTAGAGAATGCTGTAATAGTATGTGAGGAATATTGCCCTCTAGAATTGGGCTTTATTTAAAAAAGAGATATCATTCATATCTACGTCTATTGACCCTGTTCCTTCTCTTTGCCTTCCATTTCTATCTTCCCTACTCTTCCGTGTTTCACGAATCTATATTCAGTCCAGAATATTGAGTTCCTGCTATGTATTCAGCACTATATTATGGAATATACAGGAACACAAAAGCATCTGTCCACAGGAAATATGATGACAGCTTGGCTCAAAATAATGATTACTTAATAAAAATAAAAGATGCAGTCTTCTTAGTAATTTTGTTCGAAGGCTTTGGTTATAAAATGAAGAATACCAAATCTTCAAAATATTTTATGCAGTCATTTTACTGATGAAATACATTTGTGTGCATGGCCAATTGGGTTTTATTATGCAAAAAAAAAAAAAAACTGGCGATTGAAGTAACAGAAACATAAAAGGGAAAAAACATGCTTTGGTGAGTCTATGCTTCTTTAAAGGCAATAATTACTTTTTTACTAAAAAAAAAATCAACATCATTACAATTGTGTATTAGAAGAAGTGTGTTCTAGGAGTTAAGAGCCCTGGGTTTTAATCTTGGCTCGCTTTAGCTATCTATTTGATCTTGAATCATTTTTCAACATCTCAGAGCCTACTTTCTCATCTGTAACCAGCAGCTCTAAACCTAAACATACTCTTTCAGATTTTCAAAGTTAGGAAAGCAGTTTAATTTCCTGTTTTGCAATCTACATATTTTAATGCTTATGTTGGGTCTTTTCCATGACAATTCCAGGAGGTAAGCAAATTCACTCATATCAAGTCTCCTACTGCATCTTTTCCAAAAGATAAACTGAATTTTAGGGTAACAGATGTTTGCTTATTATAGGAAGACAATGCTGTAAAATTCAGGCAGCTTGGTACATTTGTTTCCAAGCAGGAGAGTTTAAGACATTTTGAGTATTTGTAAAGCATCAGTGCTTCTGGCTGGACAAGATGTGGCCTTTGTCCATTATTTTTTTCTCTGTGGCATGAGATCACCATAGCAGTGGTCATTTAGAGAAAGGTAAACTGAATAGAGGCTATATGAAGGATACCTACCACTGTCAAAAATATGGCTATTTTTAATGAGGCATGATCTTTTCACTTGAAGTTGCATTTTACCAGCAGGGAAACTTTTTTCAGATTGTTATGCTCTGGGTTCTGCAGGTTAGCTAGCTAAACTCCAATGTGATTGGCATGCAGAGTCCCTTAAAACTGTCAGGCCACCTTGCAATTAGGCATAATGCCACTCTAACAGATGGCGTGAATGATGCCAGCCAGCCAATACGTATCAGCATTGAACATTCAGAGAGAATTTCCTCTTTCAGAATGTCAGAATATGGGTCTATGGCATAGCTAGCAATGAAGGATTTCACACAACACACAAATTTTAGACAGAATAATACTGCTTTTGCATAGGGCTAGATATAGAACAAGAGAATCATAGGCTCAGTCTCTCAGGGTTAAGAGGCAGTTTAAAGCCAATGAATTTTAATGCCCCACATGATAATTCATTCATTCATTTATTTATTCAACAAATATTGAATATCCATAATGAGTTAGGCACTGTCTAACTATCTGCCCGGCCACTGGGCCATAACATCACCTAGCCTAGCCTTGACTAAATCCACCATCAAAGAACTCACTACTGTTACACTCAATATCCTAGTTATCCTCCACAGAATAACTTAAATACTGACCACATTCTACAGCATCCAGACCCAAATCCATTGCTCCCCTTGGAATTGGTTCTAAGATATCAGACAATAAATGCTTTAAGTGGAGTTGCGAAATTGTTTAATGCTTTCGCTTGAAATATGAATGTAACTCATTATTCGATGCTATCACCTTCTAACTTGAATCAACTTTTATGAAACTTAACAGGCTTTGCAATTCTCTGAGAGACAACAAAAAGCCTGTAGTTTTGAAAATATCCACATTGTGACCTTGTAGGGTGACATGACATAAGAAGCAGCAATTTCTGCATCAGGTGTGGTTTACAAAAAGAATATAAATTTCCTAGCTTGGTGTCTTGGGGGAGCTATTTAGTTTTTCTGACGCTCCATATGCTGCAAAGTGGAGATATGACTGTAGTGGAGATATGGGTATGTGGATATGGAAAAGTGGAGATATGGAGATGTATAATTTACATCTATTCCTTTCTTTGGCAAACATATTTCATAAGGATTGTGAACAAACCAACCACCATAGGACATAATTAACTATGGAATGTGGAGAGTTCATATTCTAATAGGTAAATAGTCCATATTGCCGTTGGACTATTTGATTAATCCATAGATAAATAATCCAAATTGCTATTGGACTATTTTCTGAGCAAGTTGTTTCACCAGGGTGAAGGTCACATTGAGGATATTTTCAGAACTACAGGGTGAAGCAACTTGCTCAGAAAATATTTGTGGAATAAAGGAGAAACTTAACCACAAAAGATGGAAGAAACCCTATGATTAAATGTAGGTATGTCTGTCTATGTCTGGAAAATGGTGCATCTCTGTATAGAAAAGAGAGTGAAAGAAAACTTCCTAAAAGGAAAAAAAGAAGAGGTTGAACCTATACATATGTTTTAAGCCATTTGGGCTGCTATAACAAAATAACAGTACTACATGTTCTCACTTATAAGTGGGAGCTGAATGATGAGAACACGTAGACACACTGGGGGAAACAACACACATTGGGCCCTGTTGGAGGGTGCAGGGGTGGGGGGGGGAGAGCATCAGGAAGAATAGTTAAGGGATGCTGGGCTTAATACCTGGGTTATGGAATGATCTAATCTGTGCAGCAAACCACCATGGCACACTTTTACCTAAGTAACAAATCTGCACATTCTGCACATGTACTCCTGAACTTAAAAGCCTGGGGGGAAAAAAACTTTGGGCAATTTATAAAAAACTAAAGTTTGTTGCTCACAGTTCTGGAGGCCAGAAAGTCCAAGATCAAGGTGCTGGCAGATCCATTGTCTGGTGAGGGCCTGTTCCTCACAGATGGTGCCTTCTATGTGTCCTCACATGGAGAAAAAGCAAAAGGGCTTTTGCAGGCCTCAACTATAAGGACACTAGTTTCATTTACGACGATGGAGCCTCAATGACCTAATCACCTTCTAAAAGCCCCGCCTCCTAATAGCACCACATTGGGTATTAAGTCTCAAGATGAATCGTGAAGGCACACAAACACTGAGACCACAGCAAGGACCATGAGCCAAGCCTAGAACAGAACTGCATGGAATGGATCAAAGGAATGATTGTGAGGAAGAGTGGTCCTCAATGGAAGTTATTTCAGAATCACCAAAGATTCCTTCCAAATACCCACACTTACATTTGGCCTCCTCCTTCTGCACCTTTATGTGATATTGCTACACAATATATTAGACTATTGGAAGAGGAAAAGAGGGAATTGAACCATATTCTCCAAGGCACCCAGATGGCCCCAAAGCCATATATGCCTTTTTCTCCCCTGCCTACTCTCTCCATGTAAAGCAAGGATAAAAATCACTGAAGGAAGCAAGGGTCTTCTTCTCAGTTGCTCTCTGGTCCGGACCCCATGGGTCATGCTTGATCTCCTGGAGAGGTTGAATCCTTGAGATATGAATGACATTGTGCCTGCGGTTTGATGTACAGGAAATGTTCTTCTGCAGAAAACACTGAGTATGCCAGTTTTGGTATGAGTGAGGTGGACATCAACAATGGTGATAATTCCAGCACAGGCCATTAATGAGAGTGCCTTCTCCTTTATTGTAAGCATATGTGGTGCTTTTGATATTAGATGGTGTTATGCACTAAACTGTGCTCCCTACAGATTCATATGTTGAAGTCCTAAAGCCCATACCTTATTTGTGACATCATTTGAAAAGAGGGTTATTGCAGATGTAGTCAGTTAAGATGAGGTCATGCTTGGGTAATGTGGGTCCGTGGTCTAATCCTTATAAAAGGGGAACATTTGGAGACAGACACATAGACATAGATCTACAAGCCAAGGACCACCAAAGATGGCCAGCAAATCAGCAGAAGTTGAGAGGTCCTGGAACAGATTCTTCCTCAGAGCCCCCAGCAGGAACTAATCCTGCCAACACCTTGATATCAAACTTCTAGCCTCCACACTTCTGAGAAAATAAGTTTCTGTTGCTTAAGCCACCAGTTTGTGGTTTTTTGTTACAGCATCTTGAGCAAACTAATATAGATGGCAAGGGAGACATTTCTATAATCAGCCAACTGGAAACAGAGGGGAATGGCAGATGCTCCATGGAAACCAAGGGGATTGCTTCAAATGTGCCATAGGGCTTCCAGTGGGATGGGAGAGACGGTGGATTTTATAGCATGAATGTAGACAGAGCCAGCAAGAAGTATTAATGAAAGTTTTGAATCCTAGTTTTACAAACTGGTTTATATAATCTTGACTTGAAGACATTTAGGTTCATCTATTCTGTAATCATCCCAGGTTTCTCCCCAACCTCTCCCTCCTCTGCTGCATTTAATCAGTTTCCAAAACTCATAAAATCTGTCACGGTAACAGCCCTGTTATCTGACCCTTCTTCTCCCCTCTCACTACTCCTACCTTTTGGAGAATGTCACCCCTTCTTGCCGTGACCAGTGAAGTTGTCTCTTGTTCTCTCTGAAGTCAACCTTCCACATTCTCTCATTTGCCTTTCCAAATGCAATTGCTAATGGATGTTGAGAGCTTGCTAAAGTCTACAGAAAAGTCCAAACTCCTTAGCCTGTATACGAGACTGCTGGGATCTTTTTTCTCTCTGGAGTATGTAACGGTTAAGAACACAAGTTGTCTGAGATGAACATGCATTTCTACACTTCTTAGCTCTGTAACCTTGAGCTCTTTATGTAACCATGAGCGTTGCTCCCATTGTTATAAAATCAAATAGCGACAGTGTCTCTCTAGGTTTGTTGGGCGAAGTGAGTGAGTTTATAATTTTACTATTAAAGAGCGTAACTTAAAACACAGCTGCTTAATAGATGTAGTTTATAATCATCTCATGTTTAAAATCTTTTCGCTCCCTCTTCTTCTAGCCATCCCAAAATGCTTATATTCCCAGAATGAGCCAAGCTGTATAGTTTCTCAGACTTTTAGTGTGTGCTTCCTGGCCCTTATTTGCCTTGAAAATATTGACTGCTGTTTAGAAATTGTCTCAATTATATCTTTTTTAATGAATGTTTTCCTGAGCCCTACAGGTGGAACTGACCACACCCTGGCTGTGCCCCAGTATGTTTTTTTCTACAGACTTCTTTCTTGGCACTGAGAATTTACCACCAGAAGGGTTGGCTTATGTTAATCTCCCTTATGGACCAAGTCTTTGAATTTGACCAGCTTTAGAAGGTTCTCATTACATACTTATTTTTAATCAATACAATTTTGAATCTATATTTTATGACCATTAATGATAAAATTACCATGTCTTGTCCTCCACAGTGATTAGCTCCAAACAGCTTGCTGAGTGGATAAATGAATGAAAAGTGCATCTGGGAAAATATTCTTATAAAGTTTGCTGTGTTCACACATAAAGTAACAGAACCAGAATAAACAGCTCCAGGCTTCCAACAGTCAAGCCAATGCCTCTGGCCCTAAATCACACACAGGCCAATGTAAAAACACACAGGAACACATTGGTTATAGAGAAACATAAAATTTAGCCACTTACACGTATCTCACTTCTGCACCTACATTCTCCTTATTACATGGAATTCATCATCTTATCATCCTCATTACTCTTTAGAATGTGAGAAAAATACTCCAAGTTGAGTCAACATTGAATATTATAAGTTTTTGCTTATATTCCAAGAGTCTCATGCATCTTTTTCCCAAAAGCCATAGAAAGAAACTAGACTTTAGGGATTATTGACTTGTTGAAGAAGCCATCTTATCAGAATGGCCATTTCTTCAAGAGGGAAAAAAGCCATCATCAGCCAATGCTAGTATGCAGGTATCCTTGTCCACTCTAGGAGTACCTTAGAAGCAGATGGCAACTTAGTGATCAAATACAGTTCAGGTATTCAGGTATTAGACACAGAAATTTGTATCATTCACACTGGATTATATCTTCCCGTAGTCCATTCTCACACTGCTAATAAAGACATATCCAAGACTGGGTAATTTATAAAGGAAAGAGGTTTAATTGACTCACAGTTTCACATGGCTGGGGAGGCCTCACAATCATGGCTGAAGATGAATGAGGAGCAAAGTCCTATCTTACATGGCGGCAGGCAAGAGAGCTTGTGCAGGGAAACTGTCATTTATAAAACCATCAGATCTCATGAGACTTATTCACAACCACGGGAGTAGTATGGGGTAAACTGCCTCCATGATTCAATTATCTCCACCTGGCCCCACCCTTGACATGTGAGGATTATTATAATTCAAAGTGAGATGTGGGTGGGAACACAGCCAAACCATATCAATTACATATTAGCATATACTTCTAATCTGTAGCACTAAACATAATTGTAACTATTTGTAAACTTCATTTAAGGCAAGCTTGTCCAACCTGGGGCCTGCAGACCACATGCAACCCAGGATGGCTTTGAATGCAGCCCAGCACAAATTCGTAAACTTTCCTAAACCATTATGATATTTTTGGGAACATCACACACTGGGGCCTGTCGTGGGGTGGGTGGAGAGGGGAGGGATAGCATTAGGAGATATACCTAATGTAAATGACAAGTTAATGGGTGCAGCACACCAACATGGCACATGTATACATATGTAACAAACCTGCACGTTGTGCACATGTACCCTAGAACTTAAAGTATAATAATAATAAAAAAATTGCTCAAGCAATGAAAAAAATTATGATATTTTTGACAGGTTTTTTTTTTTTTAGCTCATCAGCTATCATTAGTGTTGGTGTATTTTATGTATGGCCCAAGACAATTTTTCTTCTTGTGATGTGGCCCAGGGAAGCTAAAAGATTGAACACCACAGAGTTAAGGTGATGATCTCTCTGCCTGCTAAAATTCCAATTCCTAAGACAGACATGAGCTTAGATATGCTACGTACTATAAGTATAAATACATAAAAATAACACAAATAAGTGGATTAACAAAGAAATTTGCCTCTGGACTGCATCAGGTGTGGTGGGGGTGGAGGAGGCAGTGAGCTTCTGGCATTTTTTGTTTACTCATCTCAGTTACTTCAACTAAAATTCAGTCCTCGAATGTTCATTGTGTATGTAACTCCTTTCTATATGCTAAGTAAACTCAGGACAAAGTGTTGGGTAGGCATCAATTCTAAAACAATGTTCTAGATCTTGGGATTTTCCTTTTATTCATTCTGGTTCATGGCCTATGCAAATATTATGTTAAAAAGCATACCTCAGCAACTTAATGAGAGATTAAGTAACTTTCAAGTTATTACAAATACAAATGAAAAACCATCCAGAAGGACTGAAAGAAATGGTGCAGAATCTATGTTGAATTTCTATATGCTGATTATTATTCAAATAAATGTAAACAGATACCACATCCAAAGTGCTCAGTATAGTGCCTGTCTCATATTGGCACTTAAGAATTGTTGTTTTCTTCCCCTTGCAGGAAAATATTTTAATGATCGGCTTCCCATTTCTCTTCCTTCTCTTCTTCTCATCAGTATGAGGCTTGGCTCTTCTGGAGAGTAGTGAAAAGTTTTGTTGAAGTGAGAGCCTTTGCTCTAGGGTCAAGAGCAAATACCCAATTTTTGGCAAAACATTAAGCCTAGTTTCCAGGGGCGAGACAGAGAGAGAGTTAACCTGCAGTTTATCTGTATTGACAATGATAGGTTCTGATTCAAAGGCAATGTGATTGACATCTTCTATGCCACCAATGGATACAGATTTGATGACCTTGAAACTCTGTCTGCTAAGACAATTGTTGGAACTCAGAGACAAATCTTTCAGTTTCAAAAGCATTACCTGCTATTGTCCATGAGCATACATCAATTTGTGAAGTATTACCTATTTGAAGACAGAATGAGAAAAATTCTTCTCTTTGATATTTTTCTTATACTCACTGGATACTTATACATACATACATACATATATATATGTATATATATAATTTTAAAATAAAGACATAAAGACAAAAGAACATGAGTGTTTGTTAAAGCCTATATCTGGCTAACAGCCTCAGAAATCAAAGCCTACACCGCTGAAAGACATAATGTAATTTAAAAATCATTTAGGAATTTAAGATGCATTTACAACAACTACAAGGCCAGTGGAACTAAAAGGATTATATTTTTTATGCATTTGTGAGATGTCTGTCTGAAAATAGATAAGAAGGGCCCTCCCCCATCTCATTTTCCCTGTAGTAAAGAAATTCCAAGCACGAACATTCAGAAAACAGTGTTGTTTTCTCCTTGGTGCTGCTTTGTGACACTTTTTTTAACAGTCCCAGCCAAGTACTTCTCTTGGTGTAACCAACTGAACACTACAACTCTCAGAGGGAAAACAATAAACAGAAAAAGACGCATCTGTGTGTGCCGAGAAGTACTGGAGATTTCATACCACTTCCTGGATAAGTTTTTAAAAAGGAGTACAAAGGATGGCAGAAAAACTTTAAAAAAAATGTAGTAGGAGATTTAAAACACACTTGACAGCTGAGCATAGCACAATTGCGATGGCTGAAAGCTGAGTCATTGTGGATCAAGCCCATGCAACCTGGAATATAGGAAGAAAAGAACCGAGAGGTAAACAAGATGAGAGGACAGGGATTGATGATGGCTGGCAGGGATCAAAAATCTCAATCAAAAAATGTTTGGCATTTCTGTGCAGGATATCAACTATCCGTCCATTCATTTCTCCATTCATTCATTCATTTGAAAATATACATGAGGCAATTTCTATCTTCCAGGCATAGTGTTAGGCTGTAGGGAAGAACTTAATGAGTAACACAAAAGTATCCTGCTGTCATGGGGTTTTATTTCTAATAGGAGAAGAAACATCATAAACAAGCAAACAACTGAAGAAATAGGATATTGTGAGATAGTGACAAATGCTTTAAAGTAAATAAAACAAGGTAAAGTGTTAAGGGAGACTCTGGAAACTCCCTTTAGATCATGCAATCAGGGTCAACCTGTGTGGGATAGCAGAGCACTGAATGTCGAGAAGGGGAATGAGCCACAGGAAGGTAAATGAAAAGGGAGATGGTCCTAGGTACAGAAAAAAGGGGACACAGAGGTGCTGGGTGGGGACTGTGCCAGCAATTAGTGACACTGGGCATCATTTGGGAGACCCAGACCCAAGGGTTTATAAAGACCTGCATATGTAAAGATGAGACTCCAAAATGTTTACCAGATCCATACCCAAACTGATTCTGTTGGTGTTTTAATAAAAGAAAAATCGTATATGCATTTATTTAGTTTGCGTGAGTCATCCGATGATCACCTACAAAGGCAAACAACACTAGACTTATACTTTGCCTCAACGTTAAGTGCTAAAAAGCTTATCCAGCACAGCTCTAGAATTTTGGAGTAGGAAATTTGAGGTCTAAGAATTACAGTTAGTCAAATTGTTTTACATTATCATCAGATATACAAGTGCTTTGAAAAAACATCAACCTGGTATCTTTTTGGAAGATAATGTTGGCAAAAGAAATAAATTCTATTGCTGAGTATTGGGAAGTATTAGGTATTATATAAAATATATACATAATTGGTTAAACAGAAGGTTTTCAACAGACCTAACTTCTAGAATTTTTCCTTGAGTGAATTAAAGATCATCTCAGCAAAACATATCCTGTTGTATTGGCCACAGTAAAATCTCTGTTCAACAAATGTTGTTCGTGATCGTATTAGAAGTTTAAAAGTAAGCGGTTTCAGCACGAATTTTTTTCTTGTTACATGAACATTATTGTAACAATACCATAGAAATGTATCAGGAACAGCCTTTTTTTAGACAATATATACATTAAATTATGATCTCTGATACAAAAATATCACAAGAGTGTGTTCTAGTTACTATGACTATGTGACAAACCACTTAAAATGTAGCAGCTTAAAGCAAAATCAACATTTATTTATTTTTCTCAAAAATCTGCCATTGGGGAGGGTCTACATGATGACACCATGTCTCTGCTTCTGCTGGAGGAGGCTGAGCTGGCTCAAGGCTGGGCACTGCAGTGGTTTTAAGGCTTGCAGACTCACAAAACTGGTGTTACTACTGGGGATAGCTTGGGCTCCTCAACTTCTCCCCCTCTATGTGGCGTCTCCAGTCCAGTAGCAGCAGAATGAACACTCATTATGTGAGACTTCTGGACTCCCTTTGTGCATAGCCCAAGGGAGACGTTATGGTTTGAATGCTGGTATCCTTCCAAATTCATATATTGAAACCCTACCCCACCAATGTGATGGTATTAGGAGGTGGGGCCTTTGAGAGCTAATTAGGATGAGATGAGGTTATGAGGATAGAGCCCTCATGAAAAGGATTAGTGGCCTTACAAGAGTCACAACAGAGCTTGTTACCTCTTTTGCTCTCTCCCTACCACCTGGAAACACAGCCAGAAGGTGGCCATCTGCAAGTCAGGAAGAGAGCTCTCATCAGAACCTGACCATGCTGGCTCCTGGTCTCAGACTTCCAGCTTCCAGACTGTGAAGAATAAATGATGGCTGTTTCTAAGCCACCCAGTTACAGTAATTTGTTATAGTAACCCCAACGGACCAAGATGTCAGAGAGGGAGCAGGAGGAAACCTATGTGACCTACTCTTGGAGGAAGTCAGGCAGGATACTTTGCACCCTCTTTCATAGAATGCTCCAGAGTGTCAGCAAACATTCTGGGAAGGGTGTGAAATTCTATCTGATCAGAGCCCTGTTAAAGGCCTTACAAAAGAATTTTAACATCTTTGGTGCCTGAAGGAAAATGTTAAAAGTAAAACACCCAAATGCAATGCTGACAGGTATTTCTTTTGTGATTTTACTTTTCTCAATTTTCTTTTTTTCTTTTTTTTTTTTTTTTGAGACGGAGTCTCGCTCTGTCGCCCAGGCTGGAGTACAGGGGCGCGATCTCGGCTCACTGCAAGCTCCGCCTCCCGGGTTCACGCCATTCTCCTGCCTCAGCCTCCCAAGTAGCTGGGACTACAGGCGCCCGCCACTACGCCCGGCTAATTTTTTGTATTTTTTTTAGTAGAGACGGGGTTTCACCGTTTTAGCCGGGATGGTCTCGATCTCCTGACCTCGTGATCCGCCCGCCTCGGCCTCCCAAAGTGCTGGGATTACAGGCGTGAGCCACCGCGCCCGGCCCTCAATTTTCTTAAACATCATTCTTTTTCCAACACAAAAAGAATGAAAATTAGAAATGACACAGCTACGTAAGCCTTTCCTTAATGCCTGCTGCTAACGATTCCCCTACGCCCCCTCTCCAGTCTTTCTCTTCATGTATCCTATTTCTTTATCATCCAAATCCATGTATTTCTTAACAATAATATACAATCTACAGGCAGTTTGACATAAGCTGATATCAAGCCATGAGGAGGTAAAACACGTAATGGAAAGATGTATGTTCCCATCTGTCATTCACCAGGTGCATGAACTTGGGAAGTCTATCTAACTCCTTTGAGACTCCTTATTCATGAAAGGAAACTCAAACTGCCTAACTCACTGAAATATTGTGAGGATTAATCAGATAATTTATATACAATTGCTGGAGAATGCATACATACAAAAAGTAGGTACCCAATAAATATTGCCTGGATTTAAAGCTTTACCATGCTTCACATAGGCCAAAATGACTTCTGTATTTTTCTAGGTGATGGATCATTAATGTGGACTCAGCAGAGCAACAAATTTGAAACTAGCACAATTGTCTGTTCTTTGCATTCGTAGAAAACATACATTAAACATCAAGGTACAACACTAAAAATAGGGCAACATTTTAGCTATTATAACTCTGCACTGGAATTTCCTATTTTAGAGCAAAATGGTACACTTCCATTTACCCGGATAACATTCATCTTGTAATCACCAATTTCAAAAGGTGATAATTAATATGTAGCTTTCAACAAGCTTGACATGAGAAAAAGCACCAATTAGTCAACATGGTGCTCCAGGTACAGAATGCCAGGAGCCATGCTACATAGGGTGTGCAAAGCCCTTTGTATTCCAGCAGAATCAGACTCATTCTCACTAATGACAAGGGAGTCCATTGTGAGTTAGCAAATTTCACAAATTAGCAAGTAAGAAAAAAACATAATTAAAAGAATTAGGGACACTGAATCATGGTGTGTGCAGTGTTCATTTATTTTGACAAGTATAATTTAATTTTACTTATTTATGGTAATATTTCATAGTATACTAATGAATGCACTCTTGTCTCTTTTGTAAATGTAATGAAATATTAGTAATATGAGACCTCAGTGCTGCTCTCTGTTATGAAATTGCTCCTGACAGGTGAGGTAGGACCACCACAGTTGGGTTTGCACTGGAATGGTAATTGCATTGGTGGCATAGCGGTGTGAAAGTGAGTGAGTATTCACTGAGGGACTAACATGAAGGTGTGCAAAGTTCACTGCTAAGTGAATACACAAAATTTAAAGAGACATATTAGGTGTAATGTTTATAGTAGTCTTCTGGTACACTCTAAAACTATTTCTTCTTTGGGAAATTGGAATCACCATTTTTTAAAAAGGCATTTTTATATGCTGAGAAGCACTACTTCTTCCAGAGTCTTATTTCTATCAAAGAATCCCTCTTTCTCCAAGACAAGAAGGCTGAAAAACTTAGAAATAGTCTTTTCTGTTTCATTTTCTCCCCTACACATTCATTGACAATTCCTCACCGTTCTTTTCCTTTTTCTTTTCCTTTTTTTTAAAGACAGGGTCTCCCTCTGTCACCCAGGCTAGAGTGCAGTGGTGTGATCATGGCTCACTGAAGACTTGACCTCCTGGGCTCAGGTAATCCTTCCATCTTATCCTCCAGAGTAGCTGGGACTACAGGCATGTGCCACCACCTTTAATGTTTTTGCATTTTTCATAGAAATGGGGTTTTACCATGTTGCCCAGACTGGTCTCAAACTCCTGGACTCAAGAGATCTGCTCACCCTGGCCTCCACAAGTGCTGGGATTATAGGACTGAGCCACTGCACCTGGCCACCTTTTTTGTTTGTTTGTTTGTTTTTAGCTTTATTGGTGTATCATTGACGAATTGAAATTTTATTTATTTAACTTGTACAAGGTGTTGTTTTTATATATGTATACATTTTGAAATATCCCCACAACCCAGCTAATTAATACATCTATTGCCTCACCTAGTAACCAGTGGATAGGGCTGTATGCTAGTAGGACAGACACTTTCTATGGTGTCTGAAAATCATATATCCACTCTCTCCCCATGTTAACTTTCTGGACTTGACTTGTTTCTGGATCTCTCATATCTCTCTACATGCTTGCTCCAAGTCTACCTTCCTAGTTTTCTTCTTGTTTGCTTTAAATTTTATTATTGACCAGTATTATATAGTTATATCTTGCTACTGTTATTCTCACTGCATGTAGACTTGGTTTTTAGCTGTTCTGGAGTGTTTCTGACTTACCTTCATCCCAGCCCTGACATTCCTCTTGAGCTCCAGGCACTGGTGGGTGGTTAACTAGCCCACTCCTCCTGAGTGTCTCATTGGTGTCTCATACTGAAATTGACTCACACTGAAATCATGATGTCATCTCTAAACAGTGTCTTTTTTTTCCTGTATTCCTTGGTTTAACAACCAGCATCATTTCCATGCAAGGTAGCCAAAGCAGACTCCAACTCCCCTAACTCCAGCGACCTGCTCAGCCCCATTTATGTGCTTCTTCCATAACTTGAGAGTCTATCATCACTGTTTAGCCCAGTCCTTCAGTGCCTCTTTTCTTTTTCTTTAGCGTCCTCTCAGCTTGTCGGATTCTTTCCTCCCATGAAGTCCATCCTTTCACACAGCCATCGAAGGGCACTAGCTCAGTCTCAAGGTTCCTCTCGAAGCTTCTCAGTTGAAATCTTCAACAGCTCCTCAAGTCCTTGAGTAAAAGCCCAAGTTTTTGCTGTAGAATGAGAAGTCCTTCATGATCTTCTAAATTCTGTTTTTCTCCTACTTCAATTCCCACTATTCATCCAACAGGTCCTTACACTGCTCAAATGCCACCTTCTCTGAATTTAACTCCTAC
Source organism: Homo sapiens (assembly GCF_000001405.40). Taxonomy (NCBI): domain Eukaryota; kingdom Metazoa; phylum Chordata; class Mammalia; order Primates; family Hominidae; genus Homo; species Homo sapiens. Next base: position 5,995,517 of record NC_000002.12, on the reverse strand, counting down.
TTCCAAGACTCATAAACAAATCTCTCTCCCAATTCTCAGGATGCTGTCCTATAACTGTCTACTACTTGTCTTCCTCCCCCACTGGATTGTGTATTTCAAGAGCAAGAATCTTGTCTTATGGATCATTTTAGCCCTGGTATTTTTTTTTCCTGTGTCTGGCACATAGCAGACATTGCTTGTGTGAGTAAGCAAATAAATTGATTATATTATTTCATAGTTTCCTGATATAACACCAAGCTAAAATAAATTGCTGTCTTTTATCACATATGATCTAATTTCTAATCTCACATTTGGACAGTATATTTGGCTCTGTGTCGAGCCTACTGGCATCTTTAACCAGGCAGCACCTGGCAAAACAGAAACAAAATAATGCAACAGAAGAAAAAGAAGTAAAAACTCAGCCAGGGCCCGAGTTGCCTCCTCATTCACTGCCTCCTGGATTCACTATCCCACCATTTAACACTTGAACTTTCAGCTGCTGAGATTTGGAACGAGGATGCTTAATTAGTCAACAAGACATGACAACATTCTGTTACAGTGAGATTACATACACCTATGGGTGTTAGGAGACACGTAGTAAAACCCAGCAACTTCAGAGACCTGAAAAGAGTGTTATCTTCCGGCAGCACATGGGAGAATGCTCCAAGAGATAAAACACACAAGACGAATGGTGTCTCTAATTGAAAAGCAATGGAAGAATGGAGCCCGTAGAATTCCAAATACATTTTCCCTCCCAGTGTCCCTAGATGAGTATGGTGAGCTGGATTAACAAAGAGTTGTGAATATCTTTAAATAGAGAAAATAATGTACATTTCTAAAGGGACTGACTCCAGGGACCATAAAAATCTGTGCAGACATCACATCACTGTATTATAATTTCTATTCCGTTTATAATTCATTATTTATTCCACAGTATTAATGCAAGATGCATATGTCTTTATTGGTTAAAGGAGGAGAAGGATGTTTAGGAACCTCTGGGAATTCCTTTCCACATAATGATGCTTCTAATTGTGGTACAACTCAGAGTAGAACAGAAAATTGATGCTCCACAGGTTCGGGAACAGGTTCCCATGGCCTTAGGAGTGCAGAGCTGATCTCTGTGTAACCCAGTTGACCCAGATTGGATCTGTCTTTCTTGTACTTTGCCACCTTCACATCAGCGACTTCTTCAGGGGGATCTATGTGGGCACCTCTCTTTTGGCTGACTATGCTAGTTTGACCATAATGGCATAAAGCACACTCTACAAAGCATTTTCCTCCCCAGTCCTGGAGGCAAGCAGAGCAAAGCACCTTTGAATGTTAGCTTCCTTACCAGTCATTGATTGAATAAACATTACGGTCAGCTGTGTCCAGACTCTGGCGAGAGAACAGAGAAGATGTTCCAGTGAGGGAGCTGACAATAACCCTGTCAGCAAATAGGCATATGACACAAGCATCAGTGCAAAGAAAGCCTAAGAAAATAGGGCTACAGATGGGGAAGAAGGGTATATTGAGAGTCAGATGATCAGAGTAGTTCTGAGAAAGCAATGTTAAAGCAATGATACAATAAAGTAGCTATGGAAAAAGCTATGTGACACCAGCCCACCGAACATTTCTCCACCCTCCACACCCAGAACCTTATACCTCCTCTCCTTCTCTTCTGGGGTTTCCACTTTGCCAGTACAAGTCCAAGGCTCTAACAGACCTCAGCCTCAACCTCTCTCTCACTCTCCCTCTCTCTACTCTCAGGAGACTGTCTGTGGAAAACACTAACACCATGATCATAATTAAATTGATACGGCCCAGCCGGGTGCGGTGGCTCATGCCTGTAATCCCAGCATTTTGGGAGGCCGAGGTGGGCAGATCACCTGAGGTCGGGTGTTCGAGACCAGCCTGACCAACATGGAGAAACCTCATCTCTACCAAAAATGCAAAATTAGCCGGGCATGGTGGCACATGCTTGTAATCCCAGAAACGGGAGGCTGAGGCAAGAGAATTGCTTGAACCCAGGAGGCAGAGGTTGCGGTGAGCCAAGATTGCACCACTGCACTCCAGCCTGGGCAACAAGAGTGAAACTTCATTTCAATCAATCAATCAATCAATCCATCAATAATTATATGGCCAAAGCCTTGGCATTCAGAAAGGGTGATTTAAAATTTCTAAATCTCTTCTCTCTCTACAAAGTTTGACTTTCAAAACTAAGTCTGACTAAGGAGATCAAGAAAATCCACCTTTAAAATATAGAATTCATCAAGACACTTTGTTCTCAGATGAGAATCGACTCCCTCCTGCTGTGGGCAACACCCTCTGTGGCTCATTCTTGGGAGGAACAGGCTAGAAAGGAACATAATTTCAGGGGCAAATAAAAACATATCAATTTACTATCCTTCCAAGTTTATTCTATTATTCTGTGTGTCTCTAAGCAAGGACTCAGCCAGGCACAAAGACTGTCATCTTTGTCCTTAAAAGATGCCTTTACTTCTCCTGTAGAAAGGGGAAGGAGACAGGCAGCCAAGGAGTCAGGTTCAATGTTGTCTTTATTCATATGGGCTCCATGAGCAACTTCTTACCTACTGGCGTCTTCCACAGTGAAGTTGTTGCCGTCCACAGGCAGTGAAGGCTGGAATGACTCCCCTTCCTCCTGATGAATGAACTTTTACAGGGAATCAGAAAAGGCTTCTTTCAGACACTCATTCCTAGTTTACAATAGGGGAATCCATTTGCCTCAGAGCTCAGTGAGGTGGAGGTAGAGAGGTGGTCCATAGCAAATCTAAACAACTTCCACACTCTATAAACAAGCAGGGACTGGTTACTTGGCCATTTGAGATGTCCTTGGGAATGGACTTTAATTTAAGCAGTCAAGGTAAACCCCAGCCTCCCTGATGACTGTTGAGAAGTCTGCTATCAGACTAATTTGTTTTTCTTTATTGGGAGTCTGTTTTATCTCAGGGTGTGTGTGTGTGTGTGTGTGTGTGTGTGTGTGTGTGTGTGTGTTTAATCATGTCTTGTATTGGGTAGCATGTAATTTCACTGTAATGAGTTTAGGTATGTACTCAATAGGACTTATTTTTCTTAGGACTTACTAAGATTCCTGATTCTCCAGACTCCATTCTTTCATAAGTTGTGGGAAAAAATATTTATTATTTCTATGAATATTGGTTCTCTTCCACTTTTTTCTGTTTTCTTTCTTTGGTCCTCTAATTAGAGGTAGGTTTATAACAGGTAACCTATGAGGTTTCTAACAGGTAAACTATGAGGTTTCTAACAGGTAAACTATGAGGTAAAATCTCTGTATCTCTTTTTGTTCAATATGGGATAAATTATTCTAATCTATTCTACCACCCATTAATTCTTTTTTTCATGGGCATCATATGTGCTGTTCCTCTCATTTGAATTATCCCAATTTCAACGATTACATTTTTAAAGGGTTCCATTTGATTTTTTTCTAAAATCTATCTTGTATTTTGAAGCATCCTTTGTCTTTTCTGACAACTACGTTTCCTTTTTAAAACGTCTTTAAGCATTTTAAGCATACTTGTTCCACATGAATTTGGGGTGTGGGGATGCCAGGGAGTTCATTTTTCAGGAGTGGTTTGCATGTGTTTCCAGCAGGTGCGCCAGAGGTTCACAACCTTGATAATCTCAGTTCCAGCCCTAATCCTTTATGAGTTAGGTCCATGGTAACAAATGTTCAGGGAAGTTCCCGCCGCCTGTATTTTACTCAATCCCCGCTGACACCCACGTAGACACAGCCTGGGATTCATTCCAGCCCTCTGAGCTAGTAGGCAGGTTTTTTTCTTGCATACTTTTCAGTGAGGGTGTAGCCCAGCCAGGGCCAGGCTTAGTTGGGTAGGTGGAGCAGAAGGTGGGAGTAAGTTTTGATTTCTGACCCAAGGATTCAAGCACCCAACTTTTGTCTCCTGTGGTGATTGCCCCCAATTCCCCAATGCACAAATTGGAAAAGCATTCCTGTCCCCTGCATTCCTGTGTCCTCCCAGTATCTCCCGACACTTTGTTCTTCCCTCTGGCTGCTCAGAGTCCCTCTCCGGAACTCAGCCAAGCATTCAAATAATGCTTCTAGTCATGCACACAGAATTTCCAGGAGGTGTCAGAGGCAGCACCTTCAGGATACCTGCTACCACATTGTCGAAGTTGAAATAAAAGGAAATTGTTATAATTATTTTCTGTAGGGATCTCTGCAAAATTTCTAATGATACAAATACATTAATAGCATGTAATTCTCAAACTAAATAAAACAACCACTTTCTCAATGTATTATATTTTCCTTTATGTGTAATTATACTTTTATAAAATATTCACTCTGACGTGAAAAAAGCAACTTTCCATTTATTTGAAAACCAACATAGGATGATTATTTTATTTCATGAAATGTAATTGATTTTATTTGGGTCTGGCAACAATGCCTTGAGGTAGGTTTCATTTTGATTTGTTTTCTAAGAGAAAAAACTGAAAGTCAAAATAAAATGAAAAGGGAAGTTTTTATTTTCAAAATGAAATGAAAAGTCAAATTAAAATGAGCAATTCTTTCAAAATTCTAATGTTTGCATATGGCAAAGGTAAGGTCTGAACCAAGGTCTGTCTAAATCCAAAGTCAGTTCTTCTTTCGCCAGTGAGATTCCTGTTGACCTCCTTCAGGAATCCCCTGACACTCCAAGAATTCTGCCCAGACCTACTCAGGCACCATCAGTAGAGATGAGAATGGATACAATTTTCAAAAAGCCTTCCAGGCAATCCTTTTCCACTCAGGTTTGATAAACATTGCATGCTATCATGCTGTTTTTGTATGTATGACTTAAATCAGCTCTTTTTAACTAGAGATTTTATGTGAGGGTAGTCAAATCCCCTGGAGAATATCAACTACAATCCATTATTTTGTTCAAGTTGCAGAAAACAATAGTATGTGGAAGACCCGGGTGGTCAGAGTGAGGCTGGTCTTGTATGGATTGATGGAGATTGATGGGGCACTGAGGAATTTATGGGGAGAGGAGGCTTCTTTTTGAGGTTGCCACTCATCTCTACCAAGAATTTGTTTCCATGCTTGCCATTTTCTCATGCCTTTGAATTTTTACGTAATCTGGTAGTCTGGAGTACTTCAGATCTGAGCCAAGAAAGGATGGTGGGGGTAGGTGGCCAGAGAATGAAACAGAGGTGACACGTGTTTGAGGAAAGTGGATGCGGGAAAGAGAGAGACCAGAGGAGGGAGGCAGAGCTTCCACAGGATGACTCTAGTCCAGAGAATCAGAGGGTGAATCGCTACCTTGAAAAATTTCTTGCTCTGTCTGAATCTTCATCTCCTCATTTGTGGAATGGGGATAAAAAACACTGCCTTGAAGAAGAAAATGAATGGAATGTGCTTTGAGGAGAATGGGGTAATGATGCTGATTGTGTCCTTGGAGCAAATAGGAACACAGCATGGTAGTGATGACGGCAAGGATGCCATTTCCCCTGGCTCAGACCAGTTAGGGAAAGGAGAGGTTGCAGGGGGCTTTATCTGAGGCCTTGCGATATTAGTCACACAGAAGCTCCCCAGAACCATCTCCATGTTCAGCACTGCCCACCTACCTCATTCTACTCTGAGCCTGCACCAAGCTACACATGAGAAAGGGTCAGACATCCCGAGTTCAAGGCAAGTGAGAGGGCTTGTGATAAGCCCCTTACTTGCACTTACAAGACCAAACTGCCTGAAGCATGGGGCATATCACCTGCAGCATACAGCGCACAGCACTACAAGAGGCCTTGAAAATGTACTTTGCCAAGCCTGGGAGAGGAAAGGCATTCCTAGTGGAGGGACATGTGCAAAGATGAAAAGGCCTGAAGGCAGCCTCTTGGGGATGGGCCATGAGTGTTGAAGAGAGGGGAATAGCGACTAGGAATCTGCACAGGTGCATGGAGTGGTTGACAGCACATTTGCAAAGCCTCGAGTGCCCTGCTAAGAAGCTTATTTTATATGTGCTGGAAAATAAGAGCTTTATATATGAAAAACAAGTCTAGGGGCAGAGTGGAAGACAGACTGGAGAGTAAGGGGGTACCTGGATATAAGAAACCCATTAGGTGCATTAGAAATCACATTGGCAAGAATTGATGAATACCTAAACTTGGGCAATGGCGGTGCATGAGAGGAAAGGGGGATTCCAGAAATGTTTCAGCAGAAGAAGAAGCAGATTCAGTAAACAGATTAAGGGAATTTAGGGTCTGTGTTTGTGTGTGTGTGTGTAGGGACTGGATCGCCAGTTTGGGCTAATTGTGAGAATGCCATAGATTACACATAGGTAATTTGGAGAAGACGCAGGATGTGAAGGACAGATCAGAAGTAGAGCAAGCAAGGACACTTACTTTATTTGGATGGTTGGAGGTCGTGATGCCTGCAGAATGGGACAGAGCTGACCAGCAGGCTTTGAAACTGTCCAGGATTCAACAGAGAGGGATGAGCTCCCTAACAGTGTTTTACAAACACCAGAAGACAATTGGAAATTCAAGTCTTAGGTGTTGTGATGGTTTAGTTGATGTGACTGGTCTTAGGGATGCCCAGATACCTGGTAAAACTTTCCTACTGAGCATACCTGTGAAGGTCCTTCTGGAAGAGTTTGGCATTTGATTCAGTAAGCTGAGCAAAGAAGATCACCCTCACCAATGTGGATGGGCACCATGCAATCTGTTAAGTGCTTGAATAGAACAAAAAGGTAGAGGATGGGTGAATTTCCTCTCTGCTTGACCTGAGACATCCATCTTCATCTGTCCTTGCATGTCAGTGATCCTGGTTCTCAGGCCTTTGGGCCTGGACTGGAACACCACCACCAGCTTTGCTGGGCCTCTAGCTCTCAGGTGGCAGACGGTGGGACTTCTCTGTCTCCACCATTACTTGAGCCAATCTCTCATCATAAATATCTTTCTGCATATTCCTATATATGCTATTGGTCCTGTTTCTCTGGAAAACTCTAATACAGGTGTCAATGAGATATCCAGGAAAAGGGAGAGCCTTAGGGGAAGTAATGCAATTGGAAGAATTGTGAAACATGGCCAGTCTTAAGAAGCAGACAACCAGTGAGCATGATTAAAAAGCTACTCTAAGAAGAAACACCTACAGGGGAAAGAGGAAAGGCAGAAGACATAGAGGGGATAAGTGTCTGGGTGTGTTGTGCTCGCCCTTCTAACCACTACTCAGCCCTGGGAATGGAGAAGGGATGGGGAAGACTTGGCATATTCCAGCTCTGACCTAATGCTTAGGCCAGTCCTGTGTCATGAGGCCCAACCTGATGCAAACCGGAGAAACAGCCACAAATCAGCAAGATTGAGTGCTTTTCCTACAGAGAAAATTCTGCTAGGACCCTACAAAATGGGTTGTGTGTCTGTGCATTGGGGCATGCAGTGTGCACATGTGTGTCCCTACGAAATGGGTTGTGCGTGTGTGCACTGGGGCATGCAGTGTGCACATGTGTGTCCCTACGAAATGGGTTGTGCGTGTGTGCACTGGGGCATGCAGTGTGCACGTGTGTCCCTATGAAATGGGTTGTGTGTGTGTGCACTGGGGCATGCAGTGTGCACATGTGTGTCCCTACGAAATGGGTTGTGCGTGTGTGCACTGGGGCATGCAGTGTGCACATGTGTGTCCCTACGAAATGGGTTCTGCGTGTGTGCACTGGGACATGCACAGTGTGCACATGTGTGTGCACACGTCTGTTTAGTTTGTGAAATTGAATCCCTGACTTCAAACCTTGTTTTATCATGGAATTGAACAGATTTCTGCCCAGAGATAAACAGGTCCTGCCTGGATGTTTGATGCTTTTGTCTCTACCTATTCATCACCTCTGTTTCAAGGAATGGTATGCGCCATTTGAAAAATCAGATCTTTCTTAACAGATCTTTGTTTGTTTGTTTGCTTTTTCCAGCCACCAGATTAGTTTACACTCTGGGAGAAGGTAGATACATTTTGTTATCTGAAAAAGAGAGATAATGATCAGCTCGCAGTCTCCAAAATAGTTAACAAATGACCGTAACTGTACACAATTTATTTGAAATGCTAAAAATCATCAGGGTTTTTCAATGAGCATTTTTTTTTCTGAATACCTTCAACTGAATCATATTTTTGCTTTTAAGAATGGATTTTCAAAATGGAATTATGTGTGTCTCTGCTTTTCTTTAGGCAGTGGTGATAAATCTGTGCCTGCGAGTCTTTTATCTGAATAATTAAAATGATGTAATAAAAACGACCTCTCAGCCCCATAGACCCAGTGAGCTTTGGGTTGATAATGGAATAATCAAATAATCAGAGAACAAGGCCATTCATAGAGTTCCCGAGGAAGCGAGACCAGTGCACGGTGAAAGGTGATGTCAGGGACGATGTGGGGAGACAGAGGCAGAGGGAATCACAGCCCCCAGCACCAAGTGCAAGGTAGGACCAGAGATCATGTGTGTGACAAGGAGTCATGCATGGTGGGTGGGGAGAGGCATAGGGGAAGTGGTTGCAGAGAGAAGACCAGGCTTGGAGGAGCAGGTGTCTAATGGGGGAACGCATCAGGGGGCAGTTTCTTGGAGGGGGAGAACCACTTCACACTGTTTGCTCCATTTATAGCATCTCAGAGCATGGAGTCATTTTTCAAGCAAAGTAGCTGAGACAAGGATCTCTGACTTGCACTTTCTTTGTACGCCTGCACAAATTCTTAATGACCTTAGCTTCCCTATTCATAACATGGGCCACTTCTTCAACGGGGCACAAGGGCACTAAGGGATGGGTCGCTGGGAATCAGCCACTGTAGTTTGGATAATTTGAGCCACGGCAGGCACCAGAGGAACCTGGGCCAGGCTGGTTTCACCGCAGCCTCCCTTAGTTTTGGAGACAGCAGACACGGGTGGGAGAGGGAGACAGCACAATCAGTCCTCTCCCTGAAGGCACAGAAACATCTGTGAAGAGGACAGGGGACAGGCCCTCAAGCAAGGCCCCACACAGTTCTGGCAATAACATGGATTCCAAGGTGGTAGATGACGGCACGGGCTCACGCCCATGCGAATGGGACCAATTGGCAGAATGGAATAAGCACAGAACCACCCAAAATAACAACCACTGCAGTAACACCAAACAGAACTGGGTTGTTCAGAAAATGACAGAAGCCCATGTTACCACCATTAATTGTTTGTTACATGCTGCTGCAGAAAATAAAATTATTTTGGTAGAGGGAAATATTGTGTGTCCCAGCTTTCAGACACAGATGCAGTTTGGCGACAAAATAGAGATTAGGTCAATAAAGGGCCCTCTGGTCTTCATGCCTTGTGTCCAGGGCTGGCCGTGTGCCTGATATTCTTAGAATGAATGCTATGGATGACCTTCTTCCTTTGATAAATGAAATTGCTTGGCTCACACACTTTTTAATGTGGTTTTTATAGAGTCTTTCAGAGGAAAGGAGAAAGAGAAAGCGCGAGCGAGTCTGTGGCTGCCTTTCTTGAAAAATCACTGTGGGCCACAGCGGAACTCTGAAAGTGACAGTGTGAAGTCATTCTTGTGCTTGCCGTTTTGGATGGCAGATGGGAAGCAGGTGCGTTTCTGCAGGATGAGCTGAAGAAGAGGGGCTTAATTAAAGAACACGCTCACGGCATCCAAAAGATCTTGAATTGCCACCGTGTGGGCCTGCCTTTCCCCTTCCCCAGAATCTTTTTAACTCTTTTCATGGTGGGTCATTGTCCTCCCTGCAGCCCAAAGCAATGAGGCCGGGGCTATTATTTTCCTTGTGGACAAATGGCTCTGCAGAGCTGGCTGCCGGGCCAATGGAGCCTTCTGTGGCCACTGTGCAATTGAAATGGTTCTCAGAGAAGGGGCCTCAGCTGCTGCCTGTCTCTAATTGTTGCTGGGACCCAGCCTTCTGGTCAGCTCTGGTCCCTGCCGCTGCTGTCTACACCGACTGTTTTTCCTCCCGGCTTCCAGAGATGAGGCTTCCTTTTGTTCCTCACAGTATTGCACTTTCACGTCCCCTGCAAATGCGGGAGTTGATCTCTTTTCCGTTGTGCGAAGTCTCTGGGGGCCTCTGTTGCTCTGCTCACTACTGTCCGAAGGTGAGCTTCTTGCCACTCCTCTCCAGCCTGCCTGTGTGGGTTGCCTCATGAGCTGTGATTCAAAAGATGACAAGGAGGCACTGGAAGGAGCCCCGGAGGCCCTGGGGTCTACCGTCTGGTTGTAGGGACAGGAACATTTGAGGTCAGGAGGGGAGAGACTTTGCAGGATAATTCTGGGGCAAATCCAGGCATACGCCAAAGAATGCTGATTCCCAGTGCCTGAAAGGGGGGAAGGTTTTCGCAGCTTCCAGGAGAGGCGCCTGGTGGTAAGGAAGGGTGGGCCCACCACACTGGGACTGGGAGCCACCCCGAGGGAGAAAGTGCTGCAGTCAGACCTGCTGCTAGAGCCTGGGTCTGGGCCACATTGCCTCCAAGAACAGGATGACTCCTACCTGGCTGGCCTCTAGACCAAGTGAACTAGAAACAGGAGAAGCGCCCCTGCATCCAGTGAGCAGTGTTTCTGGAGGGCGTTGGTAGGGAGGAAGGTGGAGGTTCCAACTCACACTTTCCTCCAGGACCTGACCATCACAGAAGCTCCTACCAATGTAGCTTCCATATTTCACTGCCTAATTCTGGATTATTGATGAAAGCAAAACAAACATTATTTATTAAGCAACTGTTTACAACTGAGACCCAGGGAAGTGACATAATCTAAGATTACGTAACTAATTAGTGGCGGAGGTAACACCCTGTTATATCATCTCCTTATTTTAAAACAATTGCAAAGCATTGCAAACATTTCAAATAAGCACATCTCTGGCATTTTATGACCTTTTTATGCTTAATTCAAAAGAATGTACTTGCTTTAAATAAACATTAAGGACATGAAATACATTGATATATACACAAAAGACTGTTTATAATTCTTATGTATTAAGCTCCCATTGTGTGCTATGTGTTTTTTTATTTTCCTGCATAAGCAGCATTCTCTGCTGCAACCCAGCAAGGTAGGCATTATTGCCCCTGTTCTGCAGCTGAAGAAGCTCTCACTAAGAAGGATGAAAGCAGAAAGGCTGGGAAAAGATCCCCCACAAAGCAAATAAAGACATGGGAAGGAACACCCAGATCTGCCTGGCTTCAAAGCCAGTGGTAGTAACTTCCCTAGTGTGAACGAGCTCATCCAGGGATAAGGTTTATTTAGGAACAAAAGAGAAATCCCACCGAATCATTCCTACAGATTTTTCTTTCTTAGTCTAAGGAGTGATAGGAAAAACCGTAAAGAATGGGAAACGGTCAAGCAGAATTGGCAAGTGTTCTTGAGTCAAGACCCCTCATGAAAAGGATAAGCCATTCTCTCTGCCCAAATGTGATTCCTGTAGCTGGGTCCCAGTCAGCACGTTTTCCACTGAAATGCTGAGGAGGGGAGGGGCTCTTCCTGGGGTAGCTGTACACAGCCGTGGTGGCCAGCCTAATTCAAGTTGCACAGCGTGGACATACACACTCTCACGCTGGTGACTCCCAGGCTATTAGTTCAACAGTCCATTGAGTTTGACATCATAGATGGGGGTTGCAGGGGGTGCGCAAGGGAATAATCCGATTTGCAGAGAGGAAAAATTGTTTGTTGTGTATATACTTCCTGTCTTTATTTTCACTACTCTTTTTCACTCAGCGCTTCTAATTTCCACATGTAAACAGAGTCAGTGGAAAGCGCTTATTATCTAACGCTGTACTATCTGAAATTCCCTCTATTATTCTATGGGGCCATGTTGATCAGGACCACCCCTGAATGTAAATGATGCAGTCAGAGGCCTTGCAGTCCTGGGGCCAGGGCGGCATTTTATGTGTGCATAAACACACAGGACGTCCTGCCTACAAACCATTTTGTCCCCAGGGCTAAATATTTAAGTGTCCTCATGGTAATGATCAGAGATAAGACTTTTACCTTGCTGTGATTACAAAAGGGAGTATACATTTGCATCTATTAATAATCACCACCCTTATAAACAGCAACAACAACTTTGAATTTTTCTTGCATATTCATTTAACCTGTACTGAATGCCCATTGTGTGCTTGTACTCACTGGATTTTGTACCATATTATTCTACCCTTATACATACATGTGTAATGTGTGATGTTCATTCTCCTTTGAGGATTTTGGCACTAAAAGCTTTCCTCTATTGGGAAAAATGTGAAAATATTCCTTTGCATCCAGAGTCAACCCATTTGGAAATAGGAGCAAAGCTTCCACAGACTCCATTTTTTCTTTCTATCAAATATCCTTTGTGAGATAAAGCTCCAAGGATGGAAATTAGCCGCTTCTGTCCTGAGAATCTTCCCAACCCTATTCTTTCAAAGGATTGTCCATAAGGCTCTGGGACCACCACAATGCGGACACGCACGGCTGGCTGACGGCCTCGCTTCAATAGAAAGCCTTTTAAAACCTGCTCCCATGGTCCTGAAAAAGACTCTCTTCTTGGGGGCTTAGGCCCCGGGGAAAGGGAGCCAGGGCTCCGGAACTGCTCAGCGCAGCTCACGAACTGTTTTCGTCCACATCTGAGAAGACTCCAAAGCACTAAAAATGATGAGGGGAATTTAAAAATCATGTTTGTTCAAGGGATGGGGGGAAGGAAAGGAACAGAAGACGGAGGCAGGGGAAGAAATTTATAGCAAAAAGGTTACCTCGGCTATTTCTCCACTCTGGGGGTCATCCTAGAAACGTCCCTCCTCCAGACATGGGGGTGGTGCCAGTTGCCAATAATCCTCTCTTCCCGGAAAATAAAAACCAAGCGGTTAGCAAATGTCAAGATAAAAAAGAAAATCAGCTGAACAAGGGAACAGCCAGGATGGGCTGCTCGATGGGCGCCGGCCACGGGAGCCCCAGGTGCAATCAACAGCTCTTTAAGACTGCAGGTCATCATTTCTCTGCTTTGAAAAACCCAGCCATCTCTTGGAGAGTCAAATCGATTAGAGGCCACCTTTTGTGAAAGTGATGCTATTATTGTGGTTGTAATTTATGCAAAGACATTCTGTGGCACACGATGATTAAATTATAGTATAGAAGACAGGATTTCTATAGCGTGTTCCCTCCTCTGGATTTTGCACTTTTATCTACATTCGAATCAGGTCTGTGAAAATTTGGTGCACATGCTTTTCATTCTGGATGACAGAACATTTCCACATGTTTCTGTGTATTTTTGAAGTGGAGAGAACGGTACCGCCACTTGGAGATCCAACTGAGCCTACGAGGCAAAGGCAATGTGATTCTTTTATAAAAAGAAAAGCAGACAGAAAGGGTTATTTCCTGACACTCTTTAGGGGTGAAGCTGTGCAGGTAAAATAAAATAATAAATAAAATACACTGAAAACATAAAAGCATTGTGACTTAGCTCCCTGAACGTCAGAGACATCACCATACAGGATTGCATGTGCAGAAAGGAGACCCAAGGTTAAGATTTGCTTCTTACCTAGACAACACCTCAGCATCCTGCCTTGTGGCCATAACTAGAAAGGAGCTTCCTCTGTCTCCACGTCAGCCACCATTTTAGTGTGGTCTCTGGATACGGTAAGATGGAGGCAGACAGAGAGAAAGCCTGAGGGGCTCCCTCTGCACACGCTCAGCTGTGCCCCGCAGCCCCAGCGCCTCTCCCTAGGTGATGCATTATTCACCAGCCCCCTTCAGCTGAGTCAGGAGGAGCTGAGACAGGACAGCGCCGCGGCGAAAACGCAGACGATGACAAAGCCTGCTTTACCGACGGTCCCGGGGTATTGCAGGGAAAGGCAGCCCCCCTCCAAGGCATTACAATGTGGGCTTTTAATGGGCTATTTGCTATCTAGAAATATTTATGATGCAGCCGCTATTCGTGTGGGGTTGCTTCCTCCCTGGGCTAGCTGCCTTTTCCTCTCTCTCTCCAAATATACAGCCCTCATGAAAAATCTCTCCGGGGATCACAGGATGCTGCCGGCAGCTGGGGAGGCTCTTGCTGGGGCCGACGGGAGCCTGTGTGGCAGGGTGGCTTCTCCCTCCACCCCCTTCAGCCCTTCCAGCACCCTCGGTGCCTGCCCTCTGGATCCTTAACAAAGAAGAACCCTGCCTCCTTCAGCGCCTGAAGCCGGGGGAGGTGCAGGTTGAGCTGGGAAGAAATGGGGAGCAGGGTCCGGGCTGTTTCAGACCTTCATGGAGGACCCAGGGAAAGAAGAGCCCCCAGAGGGATTCGTGGACACAGCGTGACCTGCGGGCCCCTGGGCTGCGCCTGCCGTCCATCATGTCAGGAGGAGGAGAAGGAGAGCACGAGGCGTGTGTGTGTGTGTGTGTGTGTGTGTGTGTGTGTGTGTGTGTGTGTGTTTAAAGAATGTTAATTCATACTGAGATCCTAGGGAATATTTTCCTAACTAGGACAGACTTGGGAATAAATAACGTGCTTATATAGCTGGGTCTCCCCTCCCCTTCCTTTCTCCCACTCACTTAACACACACACACGTGTGCGCACATAGACACACGCACACACGTGCACACACATTGCTAGTTACTAAAGCTAGCCTGTGGGGCAAGGAAAAGCTGACCTTGAGAAATGCAGTTTTCAATTCCAGCTGAAGCCCACGTGAGGAGCCTGTGCCTGGCACTCCAGACAGACTGCATACGTTAGGTGGGCCACAGGCAGGCACATCCCACACGTGGACTTGGGCGAGGTGCCCTAATGTGGCAGCTGAGGAGCAATAGAGGGACCCAGGTGGAACCATTTCCACAGGCCTGGAGTGTGCACTGCAAGTCTCCAGCCTTGACAAAGATCATGGGTGTGCTGAGGTTTCTCATCCACCCGAGCCTCTGTCTACACACACAGAGTGCCTGGGAGCTGAGAAGTGTGTTTATTCTGCTCCTTTCCTCCCTCATAAATGACTGCTACCAGCACTTGGAGGAAAAGCCCAAGCTGTGTCTGAGTGAATGGAAGCAGAGTGGGCAGGCCGGCCTCACTAGCCAAGTCCAAGCCGCGACCGCGTGTGTAAGTGATTTCCATGATCTCATTCCTTAACCCTTTTTGAGATGATCCTTCTCTTCCCGAGTGCACTTAGGGAAGGCAGGTAAAATCATCTGCTTTCCTGTCTCTTTCCTTGATCTGGCTCTATCAGAGAAAGAAAGAACTGTTAGGACGCATCCAAGAGAAAAGATACCTGATCAAATTATTTCAATGAAAGAAATCCAGTTATAAGATATAAATATATACATTCGAATTCTATTATAAACATGAAAGTGTCTGTGTGGGTGCGTATCTGTAGAAAATACAAGAAGAATACATATCAACACGGAAGCAGTAATACCTCTTGGTAGTGTGATAATTATATTTGATTTTTCATACTTTTTAATTTTTTCTCAAGCAAGATATGAGTTATTATTGCTTCAACAATCAGAAAACAATTAGCTTAAAGAAACAGACAATCTGAACAGTTACCATACACATTAGCAAAGACACTGTTTAAAGTTCCACTCAAGTACCCCAGTGTTCTCAGCAGGCTTTCTATCTTCTCATTGTATTTATTCCAGTTTTCATTTTAACTCAACCCAGTGTCTTTTCTGGGCTGTGAAGATACTCGTGGTGTAAACTGCTAGTGATTCTCAGTGACTGCACTTTGCTTATGTCTTATTATATAGGAATATATGACCTCAATATTTAGCTGGGCATGTGGTCATCAGAGAGTGCAACGCTTTCCAGCACTTTTGCAGATGGGTGTGGCTTAGTGACTAAGTCCCAGCCCATCAAATATGAGCTGAGGTGATGTGTGCAACTTTAGTGTTATCAGAAGAGGCAGATCACCCAGACCTTTCCTTCTTCTCTTCTTTATGTCTGAAATCCAGCCAAAGCAGAAAGCCATTAATAACAGGACTACACTGCAACTCCATAGCTACCTGCAGGCTGACTTGCTGGAGAGCTCTGACTGAGGCTGGATGGGGAGGGGCTGCCACCCAGGACCATTCTCTCCCCAAGTTTGGCATCCAGGGGACAACTGGGTCTCTTTGTCAGCTACTTCTGGGCCTTGGGGCCAGATAGACAAACGAGTCTCCTACAAAGTCCAAGGGGCTCCTCTCTGTAACACGTTTTGAGTTTTTTGAAATTGCCCAAGAATTCCCTCACTAATAGATTACTACTTAGGAATCTTCATTTTTGGTTCTGTGTGCCATAACATACCCCGTTCTCTTTTCCCATTATTATCCTCCCCAAAACAACCACTGCCAGCCCCCTTATAAATTGTGGGAAGTGGGTGAATGTTCCCCTTTCCAAAGCTCTTGGAGCTTGTCTCTGAAATGCTTTCCTACTCAATGTCAGGAAATCAGATGTCGGTATTTACCTCAGCCTGGAATCTCCTTCCCAAGCCACCCTCCTGGGTGTGCCCTGGGCCAACACAATGATTCAGGTTACAAGGTCTGCAATAAGCTTCTGGTAACAGGACATTGTTCTGCGGTAACTGGCTATCTGGGACCTGTTAAAGGATACCCATGCTTGTTTCTCTGGAAGATTCCAGAGCTCTTCACTTCCATAATGGGTCCCCACCCAAGACTAGAAAAGCCAAGTGAAATCTCCTATCTGAATCTCTTGCTTTTGCTCTTGATGAAGAGCCATCCTTTTTTCCTCCTCCTCTCCCTTCCGTATCACCACTGTTTAGGAATATCTATAAGGAGTTCAAATCCAGTTATGCAAACCTTTGGGTTGAGGATGTCCCAGCTTTGCCCTGGCCACACCCATTCTAGGGAGGCCAAGCCATGCCTCCAGCTTCACATCTCACTGTCCAGAGCCTCCACATCCATGTCACATTTCTGCTCTGAGAACAATGCAGAAATACCACCCCTCCCCAGAGGGATTTAGGTAGGTGGCTTGCACCATCTGTCATCATCAACATGATCCAAAACCTGTTTTAAGTCATTAAAAATTTCTCTGAGTCATGGTCGTCAAAGATTCTCTTTGAGTACACAAATGTCCTAAATGTGGAGCCCTGTGACACACCATCATGTGACATTTTCTGTGGCCTCAGATACTGACCACTGATGCAACTTCCCAGTAGGATGTCTCAGTTAAGGCTCAAATCTCTATCCTCAGCCCAGGCCTCTCAGTTGTGGAAAACACCTTGGATTTGGGTGAATTAGTCATTTCCACAAAGGCAGTGGCTTCATTCCCGTAGCCACTATGGATCTCGTGCCTTGGGTGACAAGTCCTCATTCCTTGTCCCCAGGCATTCTGGCAACGTGGACCCCAGTGCCATTCATCTCCACTCTGGATGAAAGCTGTGGTTTCTTAGAAGTTCACATGTGGAAATGGGGCCTCAGTATCAGCCTCCACATCCTTCCTTCTTCAGGAAAATTCATCTTATGGGCAAATTCCAAATAACTTCAGAATCCACCAGAAGAATTATGCTTGGCCATGGTTACTCCCAGTTGAATAAAATCAGATCCTAATTTGTCTTCAACCTCCTGGCTGCAAATTTATCTCAATCATGTTTTCAGCCATTCCTCCTGGACTTGAACACAATTCCCAAAGATTCCGTAGAGTCCAAACATCAAAGGAAATGTTCTCTGTTCTTCAGCTCCAACTGTTCCCACAGAAGTACTCTCCATCCCTTTTAGATAAGCTGACTGAGCTGTTTGGACACAGGGACATGTCATCACTGTCCCCAAAGCCGTGACACTCAGTGTCCAGGGTCCTCACATTTTTCATGACCTCTATGTGCATGGGGCTGTCTTATCCCAGAGACTTGGGGTACAACCTCCACAACACCATCAACAACAAGAACATCCTCTGCATCCCCATGCCCTAGCTGTCCTTATCTCTCATCATGGAAAACTTCACACCATGACTTCTCCCTCTACTGGCAGTGTCCAGCATGCTTCCTCTCAGAAAACCCAGGCTTTCACAGATAATGGTTTGCCTTGTCTCCTAGTGGCCTAGACACTACTGCTTTTGGTCCTATCACCCAAAAACGTGAGCAAAATCTACAAAGGCAAGAGAGCACACACTCTTGGCCACAAAAGAGGGAGAAAAACATAACAGTGTCTCAGGATCTTGTTTTTCCCATGTGGTTATTAGCATTGCATCTGTATTTAGTCCATACGCTCTTGGTAAAAGAGCCTATGTTTGCTCTACTTTAACTCTGTTAACAGAAGTACAAATGTTGAAGAATGTGGCATCCATGAGTGCAGGAGGCCAGTGGGGGTGTGAGACGGTTGGGACTGGGTTGGTTATCTCTTGTCTATTTTTCACGTGAGAGTAATTTACATGATATTGGTTTGTGTTTTGACTTCTCAGGAGCTATCTTCTATCTGGAGTCTCATATTAGGTGAGATTGCTGCATGAAGGCAATACTTCTTTACAGAGTTTGCTGGCCACTGGTGAGCTAGACTACTTCTCTTCCTTTAGCTAGGATTGCATTTCTATTATTTTCAGAAATCAACAAAGTTTAAGACAGTAAGATCTCAGCATATAATCTCAATTCTTGTCATCAAATTATCTTACATCACTTATAAGATTCACCTCAATATTGTATCTAAATTTTCTCCTCTGAAAGCAGATGCCTTTTCTGCACAACAAAATGTTGACCTAGGCCTTACCTTGATAAAAGCTACCTCAAGCACCCTGAGGGCATTAGGAGGTGCAATAGGGACAATAAAGCTTGCTAATGTGATTGTGGGTGGCCTGGCAACTGGAGTGATGATGGGGAAAGCCTGGAAATCATTCCCTTCTGAGACCAGACAGCCTAAGCCGAAACCAGAGAAATGCATCACATACAAAGGAGGCAGCAGAGCTGTCTTCATAAATCGCAGCCTGTAGGCCTTTTAATGTGTCAGCGTAACCCGCCGTTAACGATATTTAATTGCTATCTACAGTAAGTTCCGTAGATCATTACCATACCAGTCATTTTTCAAAGATCCTCGTTAGCACAGGACTAGTGAACACAATAAACGATGTGACAGGAGATGGCTAGAGAAATGCTGCAGAGAATGAGCTCATGTAAGTCAGCCAGCTCATAGAGGAAACCCCCTATCTTTCTACTGGCACCATAATAAAATCCACCATGCACACTGGGCTATTTCCACTGCAGTGCATAAGACAAGAGAAATGGGTCACTATTGTGCTCCTGCTGGTTTCCTCTCCACCAATGCAGCTTGTTCCCTCACATAGTAAGGTGATGTCCACAATGCCTGGCTAGAACAGAAAAGATCTGACAACACCGATGTCCACACCTGAAGTGCCTGAAAATAGCACCTTCCTATGAACATTTAAGTTGGCAATCCATCCATTTGGGAGGTACATGTGTACTGTGAACCTACCCAGAACCAGGCACTTTGCTAAGGCATTGAGATTCAAGGTCAAGGGAGGCACAGTCCCCATGGACCTTGCAGCCGGGGACACAGCTAATGGACAGGAGACATTCATAGTCCAACTCACTTGCTTTATTTCAGTGACTTTATTTTCCATTTTGTTATTACCTTCTTTTTCAAGTCTCCTGTTGGAATTTGGATTATGTTACTTTATTTTTTCCTTTAAAATGCTTTTTGAATGATCAAAGGCCCATTTTAATCCCTCTATTGTCTGCAGCTCCTTAGAGGTGAATTCTCCTTTTACAGAGTCTGTTTGCCCTCAAGGTGATGAGTCTCCACAGGTGCTGGGGGCACACCTTCCTTAGGAATCATTCTCCCATGGAGTCTCAGAAATGCCTTGAGCTCTGCAGGCATCTTCACTGGAGCAATGATTTTTATGCTGGGCTTGAGACTTTTGGGTTGCAAGCTGTTCCACATCAGCTTTTACCTTAAATTCTTGCTCAGATTTTCCAAACAGCAAAGACAGTGTGAATGGAGGCCCCTTACACCAGCCACAGTTGGCGTTCTGACTCCTCTGTGTGACTCCTATCCCACACCAGGCCCAGTCCCAGCATTAGCTTTTGTGATGCATTCCTTGGTACAGAAGGCTAAGCATCGCTAATTTCTATTCAGAGACACAGGGACTCTACCCTTGTTCCTGGCTTTATAAAGCTGCTCAGTTCTAATGTGCACTGCACACAACAGCTGCCAGGGCCACAAACACCCCCAAGCAGACGTTAGGCTCTCAACCCCTAAGATACAGTTTTCCTCTCAATAGCTCATAAGACTCTGCCCTCTGACGTGAGAAAATAGAATTCTGTTGTGCTTTTTAAGTATGCCTATGGCATCTTTTAAAATATACCATATATGATCCAGTATTTCTTTGTGTTTGGAGTGTGAATCTGCAGGTGAAAGAGTGTGTTCTACACGTGCCCG
The DNA here is from genome assembly GCF_000001405.40 of Homo sapiens. Classification (NCBI taxonomy): domain Eukaryota; kingdom Metazoa; phylum Chordata; class Mammalia; order Primates; family Hominidae; genus Homo; species Homo sapiens. The sequence goes on along the minus strand of NC_000002.12, from coordinate 5,975,260 downwards.
ATCCATCCTCATTACACAAATTCACCCTCTACTTTAAAACAGGGAATTTGGGCCTTTGACAGGAAAGAAGCCGGACAGTCATGGGGCCAAACTGGAATCAAATGTAAATATTTAATTTCCTCCTGTTAAAAGCAGAGTGGACCCACAGTCCCTCCCAAAGTAAAATGCACAATAATGTGTCAAGAGCCCTGGACTTATTGCTTCTCGGACGTTAGCAAAGATCAAGCGCAGACCACTGGCTTTGGGGTCTGATACCCCAGGAGAGTCCCGGTTTCGTGCTCATGTGTTATGTGACCCTTGACCCCTCGTTCAATTCTCACGTGCTTCACTCTCCTAAGCCATGCAAAAGGGACATAAGGATATCTCCTGAAAGCAGAGTCGGCTGGAAGGCTGGAAGGCTTATGTGAAGCAGTTGCATATCACTTAGCACTTAGAATGGGCAAATAAAAAATGGTTTAGCTTCTCCTTTGTGGGAACAGAGACTGGGATGGTTTGTATCCTGGCTCTCCTGAAACTGCGCTGCCGAGCTGGGCCCAATCTCTAGTTCAGCTCGCTTCAGAAAGCCAAAGGCAGAAGGCTGCAGGACCAGAGATTGAGCCTGGCCACACAGCCCCTTCTTCCTGATGCCACATGGCTGGTGATCCTGGTCACAGCCTGCCTGAGCTGGTGGAACACAGCTTTGTCGGACTGTTGAAGATAACCCTACAGAAAAATCACCTGGTGAAGGGCAAATGCGCATGTTTTGTCATAAGACCAACTGGGTTTCCTAAATCAGCCAAGCCGTTTATCCTGTGGTCTTGGCAACAGGCTGACCTTCCTTTTACAGAGGAGATGGTGATGCCTGGTCCCAGAGGAGCGCTGTGAGCACCCAGGCATGGATTACAGTGCTTAGCACAAAGTAACATTAAATGTGAATCTCTCTTCTAAAACTATGTTACAAAAAGCAGTAATTCATTCCAAGCAAGACTGTCAGTTTAGGTGAATCAAGTAATCATAATTTCTCTAAAACCTTTTTTCTACTGTAAAAGCTTTAATTTTTGTCTTTATTTTTATTGATACATCTTAGATGTGCATATTTTGGGAGTACATATGATAATTCAACACATTCATATAATCAAATCAGCATAATTGGGATATTTGTCACCTTAAATATTGATCTTTTCTTGATGCTATGAGCATTAGGTTAATGGGTACAAATGTACAGTTAGATAAAAAGAATAAGACCTGGTCTTCAATACATCATGGTGGCTATAGTTAACATTAACCATTGTACATTTCAAAATGCTAGAAGAGAATAATTCCAACACGTTTTTTGTTTGCTTACTTTTTTCTGAATTCTAATAGACTGATACATCAGTCCCTGCTGTAGCGAAAATAATGACTTCCTCAAAATGCACTTCAAGAATGTGACCTCAATGGATGTAACAGAAAGAACCTGCTCTTGGTGTTTGGGAAAGAAAAGGTGTTAGGCCCGCCACAATTCCTTCTCCTCCCAGGTGATTCAGAGTCCTGGAGGACAGAATACCTTGGGAACTTGAGTGAACTCCTTTCACCAGCCCAGCCTTGACTCAGATTCCAGCTCATATAGCTCACAAGCTCCACTGCCCAGGCCAAACCCCTCAAATGCTTAGGTTTTGTTTGTTTATTTGAAAGAGTTTTGCTCTTGTTGCCCAGGCTGGAGTGCAATGGCGCAATCTTGGCTCACTGCAACCTCCGCCTCCTGGGTTCAAGCGATTCTCCTGCATTAGCCTCCCGGGTAGCTGAGATTACAAGTACCCACCACCACGCCCGGCTAATTTTTTGTGTGTTTTTAGTAGAGACGGGGTCTCACCATGGTGGCCAGGCTGGTCTCAAACTCCTGACCTCAGGTGATCCGCCTGCCTCGGCCTCCCAAAGTGTTGGGATTACAGGCGTGAGCCACCACGCTCGGTCTAATGGTCAGGTTTTTATTCCTGTATATGTCAAGTAAGGACAATAAGAATTACTTCAAAGTGTTGTTAGGAGCTAATGCATGTAAAGCATTTATAAGAATTTTTGGCACCCAGCAGATGCTCAGAAACTTTTAGCTCATAATATTAGCATTGCTATAAAAATAACATTAATAAAAACCAACAACATTACTACCGTGAGAAAGTCATAATAATATACATCAAAGGATATTAATAATATACAATGACTTTCCCATATGCCATTTGTATGGCCAGAAAGCCAGACACAACTCCTGACTTCCTCCTGCGATTCAGACGACATTGCTTGGATGCAAACTTACCTGAAAGAACCACTTAATAGGTTTGTCACTCTAAGCAAATACTAGTGTTCAAGAAATGTTCTCAGGTGATCTAAAACACAGTCCAGAATACCTGCTTATGGCTTTTCAAATGTTTGCAATACAAGGCCTGCCTCTGTGCTCAGCTCCCAGAGAGAATTTTTCTAATAGATGCAGTTTTTCCTATTAGCAATGGAACATACACATTTGAAACCCAGCTGGCAGCCTCTATGATTGTAGGCTAAATCTCGTAAACAAAACTTAAATGTAAAGAAGTGTTTGTACTAGCTGCAAATGGGCTACTGGTTTGATGCCACAGGGGAAGTTGTTAGCAGGTGACATCAGAGGATGGATTAGTTAGGGTAACATTGTGAACCGAGAGACAGGAGAGATCTTGTCACTCACTGAAGGCGAGACTCTTCTAGAGAGTTGTTTTCTCCCCAAGATCTGCGCCTTTCCCCAGACTGAGTCAGGATCTCCGAGGTTAGGACCTAGCTACGTATATTTTGCACAAAGAACTCTGATTTGGACTCCAGGATTTAGAACCACAAATGTGCATACAGACCCAATTTTGTACATGGGAGGTGAGGTCAGATAGATAAAGTAACTTGCCAGCAGTCACTCATCTCACTAGTGTCACAGCTAGAATTAGAACCTATGGACTTTTGGTCCCTGGTTTGCAGCAGTTTCTGTAACACTAGTGGATATGAAACAACATGAAACACAAAGAACTGAGTCCTCGGAGGTGTGCAGCCCAGCAAAACTGAGCCTCTGGGTGGGAGTGGAGGGCAGCCAGAAAGAAAGGCCTGCGGTGGGTCTCTGCGTCTTAGATTTAGGAGGTAACCCCCACTGCCAGATGGTTTAGGTGATGGTGGCCGTGTGGGAGTGTGGTGATGGCTGGGGAAAATGACAAAGGCAATTCCCTTATGATAGCTGCTGAGGAGAGCAGTTGACACAACCCTGCTGCCATTTTTGACTCTTTCTTCACGAGTTGAGGATAAGGGGATATAACCGCAGCCACCAGCATGGAGATTCCCTAGGTTCTTAAACTTACAGGTTATTAAGGACATAAAGGGGTCTTCATGTATTCTAATGCCCTAATTTCACAGGAGAAGAGACAGTCTCAGGGAAGGCAGGTGGCTTGTTCAGTTTCAATCAGCCAGCAACTGGCAGAGCTGAAACTAGAACTCAGGTCTTAGGGCTCCAGTTCTGTAACTCATCCATCACACAAAATAATTATAATAGCATGTGCCCATGTGGCCTGGACATGGCCTGTAGTCAGTGCCATAGATAGGGATGGATGAGACCCACTGCCTCTAAGGCATGCAGTCCTATTGGCTCCTTCCTGCAGCAGTCCCTGGACCACCAGGTTCAGAAACACCTGGGTCTGTGCTCACATGCAAAGTACTGGGCCTGCCCCAGATTTACTGACTCAGAGCCCCTGCAGGTGAGGCCAGGGAAACTGGCTCAGCAGGTGATACCTGGGTACTCCAACATCTGAGAAACCCCGAGATAAGACCTCCAAGTTCTGGGATATTGTGGGGCTCTGTTGAACAACAGAAGGTGTAACGTACAAGAAAGACTGACCTAAAAGTGGCATCAATTATTTCATTGAAGAATCATCAATTGAGTGCCTACTGGCTTATAGTGCCCACTGTTCACTATGCTGGGAACAGAAGTCAACAAGCCAACCACATTCCAGCTGTGAAGGAATGCATCCGGACAGCCATAGAAGGCCCTGGATGCCTGGTGCCTGGGCTGGGGTATGTGCCAGGTAAAGAAGGGTGTGGATGTCAGAGAAGAACAACTCTTGACAGTGCCCAGGAAGGGCAGCTGCTCCTCGGAAGCAGGGCTCATGGAGCCATGTTGCTATGGATACAAACAGTGTCTGGTTACTTATGGGAACACTATTGTTAGGATGGTTCTGAAATGCTTTTGTCCTGAAGGTGGAGAACTCACCAGACCAAATTACTCTTGGCTAAGGTGGTTAACCCTCTACTCATACGATGTCCTGGGGCAACAGTGCAACCTCAAAAAATATTAAATAAGACCAAACTATGGAGACAATAAAAAGATCAGTGGTTGTCAGGGGCTGAGGGAGCAAGGGGATGAAGGAGTAAGTATCAGTGGAGCACAGAGGATTTTAGGGCAGTGAAACTCGTCTGTATGATACTAAAATGGTGGAGTCATGTCATTATACATTTGTCCAAATGCCTGGAATGTACAACACCAAGAGTGAACCCTGGCGTCAACTATGAACTCATTGTGATGATGATGTGTCAGTGTAGGATCATCAATTATAAAAAGTGTACCACTCTGGGAAGAAATGTTGATAATGAGGGAGACATGTTTGTTGGAGAGGCAGGAAGAATATGGAAAATCTCTGTGCCTTCCACTCAGTTTTGCTAATAATAAAACTAATAATAATAAATAATATGAAATTATTAAATAATATTAATATTAAAATAATATTATTATAAACTAATAATAATAAAACTAATTTTTTTCTGACATCTCTGTCGTCCAGGCTGGAGTGCAGTGGTGCAATCATGGCTTACTCAATCGCCATCTCTTAGGCTCAATGGATCCTCCCACTTCAGCCTCCGAAGTAGCTGGGACTACAGGCATGCGCCACCACACCTGGCTATTTTTTTTTTTAATTTTTTAGAGACAGAGTCTCACTATGTTGCCCAAGCTGATCTTGAAATCTTGGCCTCAAATGATCCTCCCACTTCAGTCCTCAAAGCGTTGAGATGATAGGCATGACCCATGGTGCCTGACCTTAAAAAGTCTTTCAAAAAAAAATTAAATATTTCTAAACTGTTTTTTAAAATAAGTTGTCTCACGGTGTATAAAAGTTATACTATCAAAAGTCAACTTTTGGTAAATGAAGGCTGCCAGATTGATTAGAAATTAGAAGGGGTTTGTCACTGAATCTGGTAAACTCAGAGCAACCACCACCTCTCTCTAAGCCTCTAACCATCTGGATTAGGAAGGAGAGAGGTGGGCTGCTAGAATCCCTTTCTTCAAGCTCTGATGTTCCAAGACAAGGATAATTGCTGATGAGAAAAAAAAAATCAGAATCTCACAGACTGCAAAAGCAGAACAGCACAGTTTCCACAAAACCATACAAATGTACTTTTTGGAACATAAGAGCCAAGCACATGCAACAGCTTAGGGTCCGTAACTCAGCATATGTAAAGTTCGTAAATTAATGTAATAGGAGGCAGGGTAACATCTGTTCTGTAGTACCCAACAGAGGGGATTTGGATATTTGAGAAGAGGCTCTGCACATAGTAAAGTCAGCCTAGGAACATGTGAGCAGTATTTACAGTGAAAAGGTCCCCATCTCTAACTATACACATCTGCTCCAAGACAGCTGAGGCTGGCGGTGCAGACCCCACTGAAGGGAAAGCCCCTTCCGAGGAAGTGGCCTGCTAACAAATCAAAATGGAGCCATCTGCCCTTCCCACTGCATGCGCTCCACCAGCCACCTATTCGTGCTCACCAGCTGGCAGCCTGCCCTGGCCCCGGCATGTGCCTGCCCCCAGTGGGCAGGGCCATGACAAAGCCACTGCTGGTCACCATTAGTGGTCAAGTCTCATGGTGGGTTTATTGAAGAACGTTTGCTTAATTTTAGATCAAAGCAGTACTTTCTTCTCCCTCTGGAAAAAACAAAACACACAAATAGTATATTGGAGCAACGAAGAACATAATCAAGTTTATGTATGGGCCACTACGAAACTGAATAGTTACCTCCTACTTAAAAGGGTATCCTGGGCCACGGTGAAGCGGTCCTTTTATCCTGTGGTCTGCAGTGGAAATGGCAGCATTACTGGAGAAGAGCTGTAAAAACATGCACAGTGAGTTGCTGCCGCATCCTGATGGCCCAAGAGAGGGAAGGAGGAGGAGATGAGAAGGGTTGAATCGGTTCTCTGACATGCCAGAGAGATAAAGGGGTGTCTCCCAAAGCTCTGAGGGCTTTTAAAAACTGGATGTCCACTGATATTTCAAAACAGTGCTGGGTATCCATAATTACAAAGGCAGGTCACAGGGGTCCAGAGTTGAAATCTCTGCTTTTGGATGCCACAGATGAGCCTTCTCAGCAGGCTTGGCAAACATCTTCACAGCCACCATGACACGTGATAGGATTCGGGGACCACAAAAGGAAAGAGCTAAGTTTTGAGGCTGAAGACCAAATTGGTTAAAAATATGGTCACTCTCAGGGTCAGTAAGAGAGAATTAAGTAAAAAAAAAAAATCTTTGAATACAGGGAGCAAATCAGTAGATATAACATGGAATGGCACAGGCCATCAGGCAATCCTAAGGCAGAGGTAGATTCATCTTCAAGTGGCTTCCTCCAGCCTGACACCTGAAAAAGTGCAACTGCCTCTCATTTGCTCTTTCTCCTGTTTATCAAAAGGGAAGAAAAGAAGAAAAAGAAAATGTTAGTAGCTGAAAACATGTCAACACTATTCTGGGCATTTCCCTAAGTTATATAATTGAATATTCACAACTCCCTCTGATGTGTAGATATTAATATAATTATTTGCATTTTACCAATGAACTCTGGTAAAATGTAAGCTATGAAATACATCCAGAGATACTATGTGATGTGCTCAAAGACAAACAGCTAACAGGCAGCAAACCCAGGCTTCAAGCAAGTTCTATCTGAAACCTTTTTCCCTCTTCCCTAAGGCATATTAAATTGATGTTGGGCTTCCCATTTATCTTGTTTCATGAAAGAATGGTCTAAGCCCATGGCTTCTTCCCTATCCAAAAGAAAGTAAACAGTCATGAGACCAAGATCCCCTGGAATCTCCCCAAAGGTAAGTCAAAGCTCTGTGTATTCCAAGCTCCTTTGCTGCCAGGTCCCGGCGATCGTGGGATGGGGATTCTGTCTCTGAGCCAGGTCCCGGCGATCGTGGGATGGGGATTCTGTCTCTGAGCTCCACTTATTTAAATCTTACCAGATTAAAGGTCTGACTCCGGTAAACTCATCTCCATGACCTTGCCTTTTAAAAAATTGATTTTATTTTTTAGAACAGTTTTATATTTTAAAAATGTAGAGAAGGAGCTCCCCACTGTGGAAAAGTGGTAAGCAAGAGATCCCTAGTGGTTCACGTTCGCACCAAGGACTCTTTCAACCCTAGCCGTAGGTGAGCCCCTTGGCCCTCGTGGGCCCTTAGACTGGTATAGAAAGCTGCCTGCAGTCTATGTGATGGCATTGTCTCAGGGAGAGACTTTGCACTGGATGCCAAACACCCCCAAGACCCAAATAACTGCAACATGATGCCATTCTGAGAGCCCAGTCCACACCAGACTACATCCCGCCCTGGGGACCAACAGCACCTGCACCTCCACAAACCTTAAGCCCCACTGACATTCCCCTACATCCACCCAGAGGGCTGCAGCATTGCAATGCTGGCTGGACACAGTGGCGCATCTGGAGCAACAGCACTCTAACCCACACAGTGTCCTACACTCTGGAAAATGGGTGGTGCAGTGCAGCAGGAGGCTGCCTTGGGGACAAAGGAAGTGTGTACTCCCCAGAGTCTGAGAGCTGACTGCCAGGGACCACTGCCACTGACAGCAACACAATCTCCTCCAGTGGCAGGGTGATCACATACCTGAATGTACCTTTAGCTGACTTTGATACCAGCCCACCCACAAGCCATCCACCACAGGCATCTGTGCAAGGCACATGGGAGCCATGGGTTGGCCCACCACCACCACTGCCACTACCAATGCCATGCACACCACCCAGGGGCCCAAGGACTGGCACCCCCAACCCACCAATGACATCACTGGTGCCCAAGGACCAGCCCTCCTGGAGCCCCTGTCCACAGGAAAGTCTTGCCACAGCCTCCAATAACAACTGCCACCTAAGCCACTGAGGAATTCACAGACATCACTGATGTTGATCACAGTTAAAGAAATCATGCAGAGACCACACTTCTACACCCACCCAGAGTACAAGTGAAAGCACCCTGCCCAATGCACATTGTAGATGTATCTTTATAAAAAAAATTCCTTATGAAAGATTTTCATCCAATACGTAACATTGGACAAAATGACTGGTACACCAGTTGTGCAGATATCAACATAAAGACACAAAAAATAAAAAGCAAGAAAACATGACACCTCCAAAGAAACACAATAATTCTCCAGTAACAGATCTCAAAGAAAAGGAAATCTATGAAATGCCTAAAAATATCAAAATAATGATATTAAAAATTGGTAAAATAAAGAGAACATGGGTAAACACTACAAATAAATTGGAAAGAAAATTATAACTTGATTGAAAAGTTCAGCAGATATAGAAATCATTTAAAAACACACACACAAAAAGTCCTGGAACTGAAGAATACAATAAATGAAACATTTTAAAATACAATCAAGAGCATCAAGCACAATACACTGCATTAAGCAGAAGAAATTTTTGAACTTGAAGACAGGTCTCTTGAAATAACTCAGTCAGACAAAAAATAAAAATAAAAGAATAAGAAAGAATGAAAAGAGAATGCAAGACATATGGGACATCAAAAAGTGGCCAAATATTTAAATTTTGGGTGTTCCAGAATAAGAAATGGGTAAAGGCATAGAGAACTTACACACACACACACACACACACACAAAAGCAAAGCTATACTTTAAAAGTGAAAGGGAAATAAAGTTGTTCCTAAACAAGCAAAAAAAGATAACTCATTCCCACTAGACCAACCCTGCAAGAAATGCTTAGGGGAGTCCTACATCTGGAAGCAAAAACACAAAATCTGCTGATATGGTTTGGCTGTGCCCCACACCGACTACCCTATCTCATCTTGAATTGTAGCTCCCGTAATTCCCACATGTTGTGGGAGGGACCCGGTGGGAGATAATTGAATCGTGGGGGCAGTTTCTCCCATACTGCTCTTGTGGTAGTAAGTTTCACCAGATCTGATGGTTTTATAAGGTGTTTCCCCTCTCACTTGGCTCTCATTCTCTCTTGCCTGCCACCATGTAATACATACCTTTCGCCTTCTGCCAGGATTGTGAGGACTCCCCAGCCATGTAGAACTGTGAGTCCATTACACTTCTTTTTTTTTTTATTAATCACCCAGTTTCGAGTACGTCTTTATCAACAGTGTGAGAACAGACATACATTAAATTGGTACTGGGAGTGGGGCACTGCTGTAAAGATACTCAAAAATGTGGAAGAGACTTTGAAACTATGTAACAGTCAGAGCTTAGTACAATTTGGAGGGCTCAGAAGAAGACAGGGAAATGTGGGAAGGTTTGGAACTTCCTAGAGGCTTGTTGAATGGCTTTGACCAAAATGCCGATAGTGATATGGGACAATGAAATCCAGGCAGAGGGGGTCTCAGATGGAGAAGAGGAACTTGTTGGGAACTTGAGTAAAGGTGACTCTTGTTATGTTTCAGCAAAGAGACTGGTTGCATTTTGCCTCTGTCCTAGAGATCTATGGAACTTTGAACTTGAGGGAGATGATTTAGGGTATCTGACAGAAGAAATTTCTAAGCAGCAAAGCATTCAAGAGGTGACTCGGGTGCTGTTAAAAGGATTCAGTTTTAAAAAGAAAGCAGAGCATAGAAGTTTGGAAAATTTGCAGCCTAATGATGCAATGGAAAAGAAAAACCCATTTTCTGGGGAGAAATTCCAGCCTGCTACAGAAATTTGCATGGTAACAAGGAGCCAAATGTTAATCACCAATACAATGGGGAAAATGTCTCCAGGGCGTGTCAGAGACATTTGTGGCAGCCCCTCCCATCCAGGCCAAGGGCCCTGTGCTCTGTGCAGTCTAGGGACTTGATGCCCCGTGTCCCAGCTGCTCCAGCCATTGCTAAAAGGGGCCAAGATACAGCTCAGGCTGTGGCTTCAGAGGGTTCAAGCCCCAAGCCCTGGCAGATTCCACGTGGTGTTGAGCCTGTGAGTGCACAGAAGTCAAGAGCTGAGGTTTGGGAACCTCCACCAAGATTTCAGGAAACACCTGGGTGCCCAGGAAGAAGCTTGCTACAGGGGTGAGGCCCTCATAGAGAACCTCTGATAGGACAGTGCAGAAGGGAAATGTGGTGGGGGTTCAGAGCCCCCATACAGAGTCCCTAATGGAACACCACCTAGTGGAGCTATGAGAAGAGAGCCACTGTCTCCCAGACCTCAGAATGGTAGATCCACTGACAGCTTGCACTGTGCACCTGGAAAAGCCACAGACACTCAATACCAGCCTGTGAAAGCCACCAGGTAGGAGGCTGTACCCGGCAAAGCCACAGGGCAGAGCTGCTCAAGACCATTGAAACCCACCTCTTGCATCAGCGTGACCTGGATGTGAGATATGGAGTCAAAGGAGATCATTTTGGAGCTTTAAGATTTCACTGTCCTGCTGGATTTTGGACTTGGATGGGGCCTTAAGCTCCTTTGTTTTGGCCAATTTCTCCCAATTAGAATGGGAGTATTTATCCAATTTATGTACTTCCATTGTATCTAGGAAGTAACTAACTTACTTTTGATTTTACAGGCTCATAGGCAGAAGGGACTTTCTTTGTCTCAGATGAGACTTTAGACTGTGGACTTTTGAGTTCATGCTGAAATGAGTTAAGATTCCGGAAGACTTTTGGGAAGGCATGATTGGTTTTGAAATGTGAGGACAAGAGATTTGGGAGGGGCCAAGGGTGGAATGATATGGTGGTTTGGCTGTGTCCACACCCATATCTCATGTTGAATTGCAGCTCCCATAATTCCCACATGTTGTGGGAGGGACCTGGTGGAAGATAATTGAATCATGGGTGTGGTTTCCCCCATACTGTTCTAATGGTAGTGAAAAAGTCTCACAAGATCTGATAATTTTATAAGAGGTTTCCTCTTTCTCTTGGCTCTCATTTTTTCTTGCCTGCTGCAGTGTAAGGCATGCCTTTCACCTTCTACCATGATTGTGAGACATCCCCAGCCATGTGGAACTGTGAGTCCACTAAACCTCTTTTTCTTTATTATCTTTATAATTTACCCAGTTTCAGCTATTTCTTTATCAGCATAGTCAGAACAGACTAATACATCTGCCATTGTGAAAACACACAAAAATATGAATTCACTGCTAGAGCAGATACACAAATAAGAAAGAAAAAAAGCCAATCATTATCAGTACAAAAGAATACTAAATTATAAAGGTAAACAATAAAAAATGGAAGAAAGATGAAAAGGAATGGAAAACAATTGCAAAAATTAACAAAATAACAGAAGCAAGACCTCACCAACCAATAACAATACTGAATGCAAACAGTTTAAATTCCAAAGTTAAAAAAATACAGTTTCTGAATGGCGTGATTAAAAAAAGACCATGTTATATGCTGCCTACAATAAACCCAACTTCTTCTGTAGAGATGCACATAGACTGAAGGTGAGGGGATGGAAAAAAAAGTATTCTACACAAACACAAACCAAAAGTGTACAGAAGAAACAATAGTTATTTCAGACAAAATAGGCTTTAAGTCAAAAAACATAAAAAGAGACAAAGTAGGCCATGATATAATGATAAACTGATCAATTTGGCAAGAGGGTATAGCAATTATAAATGTATATGTGCCCAGCACTGGAGTACCCAAACATACAAAGCACATAGTATTATAATACAGCTAAAAAGGGAGAGAGAGAGACCTTAAAACAATAATAGATAGGGACTTTAATACCCACTTTCAGCATTAGACAGATTATTTAGACAGAAAATCAGCAAAGAAACATCAGATTTAACTTGCACTAGAGACAAAATAAACCTAACAGACACTTATAGAACAGTTTATCTAACAACTACAGAATATATATTATTCTCATTAGGACATGAAAAATTCTACAGCCTAGACCATATAGTAGGTAAAACAACAAGTTTCACAAATTTTTAGAAATCAAAGTAATATCAAGTATCTTCTCAGGGCTGTGCACAGTGGCTCATGCCTGTAATCCCAGCATTTCAGAAGACCTAGATGGGCAGATGGCTTGCAGTTCAGGAGTTTGAGACCAGCCTGGGGAACATGGTAAAATCTCTACAGAAATACAAAAATTAGCTGGGCATGGTAGCACATGCCTGCAGTCCCGAATACCTGGGGGGCTGAGGCTGGAGAATCGCATGAACCTGGGAAGGCAGAGGCTGCAGTGAGCTGAGATCGCAACACTGCACTCTAACCTGGGCAACAGAATGAGACCCTGTCTCAAAAAAAAAAAAAAAAGTATATTCTCAGACCACAATGGAATAAAACTAGAAATCAATAACAAGAGGATCTTGGGAAACTGAACAATCATGTAGAAATTAAACAAGATGCTCTTGAGTGAACGTTGACTCAATAGAAAATTTAAGAAATCAATCAAAAAATTTCCTAGAAACAAATAAAAATTGAAACAAGATTTACCACAATTCATGGGATATAAAAAAAAAGTAGTGCTAAAAGGCAAATTTATAGCAATAAATGCCTACATCAAAAAGGTGGAAAGATTTCATTATAAATAACGTAACCACACACCTCAAGGAACTTAAACAGCATGAACAAATCAAACCCAAAATTAGTAGAAGAAAAGAAATGATAAAAATCAGACAATAACTAAATGAATACAGACTAAAAAAAAAAAAAAAAAAAAAAGCAAATAATCAATAAAACGAAAAGTTTTTTTTTAAAGATAAATAAAACCAGAAACTGCAAGCTAGCTGAACCAAGGAATAAAGTCAAATAAATAAAATTAGAAACAAAAAAAGACATATTTACACTGATTCCACAGAAATACAAAGAATCATTAGAAACTATTATGAACAACTATATGCTAAAAATTTGGAAAACTTAGGGGAAATGGATAAATTCATACATACAACCTGCCAAAATTGAATCAAAAAGAAATAGAAAACCTGAACAGTCTAATACTGAGTAACAAGATTGAATCAGTGTATTGGTCCCTTTTCACAGTGCTGATAAAGACATACCCAAGACTGGGCAATTTACAAAGGAAAAAGATTTAATGGAGAACTCACAGTTCCACATGGCTGGGGAAGCCTCACAATCATGGCAGAAGGCAAGGAGGAGAAAGTTACATCTTATGTGGATGGCGGCAGGCAAAGAGAGAGCTTGTGCAGGGAAACTCCACCTTATAAAACCATCAGACCTCATGAGAATTATTCACTATCATAAGAACAGCATGGGAAAGACCCGCCCCCATGATTCAGTTATCTCCCACTGGGTACCTACCACAACATGTGGGAATTAGGGGAGCTACAAATGAGATTTGGATGGGGACACAGGGTCAAACCATATCAACTAGCAATGAAACATCCACCAACAAAGAAAAGCACAGGACCACATGGATTTTCTGCCGAATTCTACAAAACTTATAAAGAAGAACTAAAACCAGTTCTTCTCAGACTATTTCAAAAAAATAAAAATAAGGGAATTCTTCATAACTCATTCTATGAGGCCAGTATTACTGTGATGCCAAAACCAGACAAGGGCATAACCAAAAAAGAAAGCTATAAGTCAATATCCTTGAATACAGATACAACAAAATACTAGCAAACTAAACCCAACAACACATCAAAAGGAAAATATACGATGATGATTAGGGTTTATGCCAGGTTACAAAGCTGGTCAACACACACAAATCAATAAATGTGATACATCACATCAACAGAATGAAGGACAAAAAACATATAATTATCTTAATAGATGGAGGAAAAGCCTTTGATAGAATTCAACATGTCTCATGATAAAAAACTCTCAACAAATTAGTCATAAAAGGAACATGACATAGTAAAGGTCATATATGACAAAACCACAGCTAACATTATACTGAATAAAGAAAAGTTGAGTCTTTCCACTGAGAACTGGAACAAGACAATGATGTCCACTCTCACCACTCCTATTTAACACAGTAATGGGAGTCCTAAGCAAAGCAATCAGGCAAGAGAAAGAAATAAAAGGCATCCAAATTGGAAAAGAGCAAGTCAAATTGTCCTTCTTTGAGGTTGAGAGAAACTCCCAACTGAGATTCGTTATATGATATAAAGTGGGGAAGGACCTGGTTTGCCAGAACCAAGGGACGAATGGCAAGTGTGCTGCAGCCACAAATACAGGTGCTGGTCCCCCCAGCTTTGAAATCAGATTGGGAGAGGCATGGTCTGAAAGTCACAGTTTCCTTCCTGGCAGGAAAGGCTTATGGACTGGGGCTGTTTTGAGTTCTGAGCATAGACTGCCTGGAGTCTAGCTAGCTCTTGCTAGTGGAACACCATGAATGTAAGACCTGCTTTGCTAGGTGCATGGAAGCTGGGTAGGGCTTATTCCCACCTACTTCTCCCCACTTCCTGTGTGGACCCTTCTGTACAGCAGAGACAACTGCTCTCCCACCTGGAGCATTATCCCAGTGGCCAGGAAATTGCCCTCTGATTCCCGCTGCTTGCACCTTCATGTGGAGAGCCAGAATACAGACGTGCCTGACCCACTCCCCATCTGGTTTTACTTTTCCATCCATGCTGGTAGTGTAATACAAAGGACAGAAACTTTGGGGAGCTCTGTGGCCCCAGTCATTGCCTGAGACATCAGAGTACCTCCCCCGGGTAACATAAGGCAAGCACAAATACCACCACTATCACTACAGCTGATGCTCTTTTGTAAGTGCCACCTCCTGGCTGGAGGCCAACTGACACAGTCCATTATAACATCTGCAGGCAAAATGACGCAGCATCCAGGAAGAAAAATTCTTGTGTGTATCCTCAGCTATCACCATTGCCTGAACCACTCTAACTAACCAAGAGGTCCTGAGTCTGTCCATGTGACCAGTTCATTACTACTACAACCGGCATTTGAGAGAGCCAACACACTAAGACTATTTGTAACCAAGGAATCCCACAGAATTTATGTAACTCCCCTGCCAGAGCTGGGGCTTGCACCCTCTGCCAGTAGACTTGAGGACAGGTCATATCACTGGATCCCTTGCCAACATCCCCAGCGAGAACCTGGAGTGCAGCAAACCCACTGGGGGGATAGACCCAGAGAAGCAGCAGGATCCACAGTAGCCTGGCCCTCAGGGACTCCTATTCCTATGGGAAAGGGAAGTGCACCACATCAAGGGAGAACCCTGTGGGACAAAAGAATTCAGATGGCAGGGCTTGAGCCCTAGAACTTTCCATTTGTGGAAGTTTCTTTTAGCAAAGCCAAAGCGGTGGTGCTGGGCTCAGAGGGGAAAGTCTGAAGTTCTATTCTACCCGTCAGGCAGCACTGGTGCTCATGAAAAATATTGGAGAAGGGGACTCCTAGTCCCCCTCATCCACTACTGCAATCACAGCTGGGGCTTCTTCCATGACAGCTCAGTTTGGGTGTACCTGTAGTCAGTAGTCAGCCTTTCTAGAACACTTCAGGGTGACTGCATCTCCACAGGAAAAGTGTTCTCCAGGTTCAGGTTTGCACAAGGGGTAGAGTCCCCATCCTTTTCTACATTAAAAATCAACATTCCTTCAGATGAAAGATGGCTGCCTGATCTGAATTCCTGGAACACTAGGTTAGGAGTGTGACTGGGAGGTGGATTGCTTTCCTGCTGGCCTGGAAGAGGAGCTGAGGTGGCTCCCTCCCATTCCCCTGAAAAGACCTCAGTGTATTTCATTGAGAGCTCCCCCAGCTGCCTCTGTCAGGGCTGGGACCTCTGCCCATCACTGGGTATTGCATTTACCCACCTGTTTTAGCCACAGCTGGTGTTTACTCATGGACAACACTACTGGTCTGAAGCCTGAACTATTCAACCTGGTAAATAAAATACTAGGAAAAAATAAATAAATAAAAAGTGTACACCACTGGGGAAAAAGATAAGCTTCAAGAGACCTCTGTCATTCAAACCCTGCAGGAGATGATGAACCTGCTCACACACTGAGCACATTGCTACCATAACCAGCATCTGAGAAAGCCATCATACAAAGACTCTTTACAACAAAGAAAGTCATACAGAAACTTTACCACTGGAAGCACCAAGAGCCAAATTAGGCTACAATAAACTAAAAGCATTAAAGTCACACTCTCAAGGAAAAAAAGAAATTAAAAAACACTGTTGAACAAAAAATTAATATTAAAATAATTAGAAGAAATTGTTTATCCAAATGAGAAGGAATCAGAAAGATAATTTTAGCAACATGACAAAACAAGGTACTATCATACCTCCAAAATATCACACCAGCTCTCCAGCAATTGATCCAAACCAAGATGAAATGCCAGATAAAGAATTCAAAAGGTTAATTATTAAGCTACTCAAGGAAATACAACATAAAGATTAAAAAATGCACATACATAAAAATTTCAAAAACCAGTTTCAAAAACCAATGAATGAAATATTTTCCAAAGAGATAGATATTTTGAAGAAAAAACAACCAGATCTCCAGGAAATGAAAGACACATTTACAGAATTACAAAATGCAACAGAAAGTTTAAACAATAAACTACACCAAGTAGAAGAGAGAGTTTCAGAGCTCAAAGCCAAGACTTTCAAATTAGCCCAATCAAATAAAAATAAACAAAAAAAATTAAAAGAATTGAACAATGGCTCTAAGAGAAATACAAGATTGTATAAAAAAGTCAAACCTAAGCATCATTAGTGCTCCTGAGTGAGAAGAGTAAGCAAAAAGTTTGGAAAATATATTTGAGGGATAGTGGAAAAAAACTTCCCTGGCTTTGCTAGAGATGTAGATATCCAAATACAAGAAGCTCAAATAATTCCTGGAAGATTCATTGCAAAAATAACACCACCAAGGCAAATAATCATCAGGCTAGCTAAAGTCAATGTAAAGGAAAGAATTTTAAGAGCAGTAAGCATCAGGTGTTCTGTAAAGGAAAACCTATCAGACTAACAGCACACAAAGGAAAACCTATCAGACTAACAACAGACTTCTTAGCAGAAACCTTACAAACCAGAAGGGATTGGGGTCCTAGCTTTAGCCTCCTTATACAGAATAATTGTCAGTCAATAATTTTGTATACAGCAAAACTAAGTTTCATAAATGAAGGAGAAATAAAGTTTTTTTTTTAATAAGAAAATGCTGAGGATAATTCATCACTTCCAAACGAGCCCTAAAATAAATGCTAAAATGAGTTCTAAATATTGAAACAAAAATTCAATACGCACCAAAATAGAATACTTGAAAGCATAATCCTCACAGGATCAGTAAGACAATGAAGAAAACAAAGTATCTAGGTAACAATCAACATAACTGGAACAGTATCTCTCATCTCTGTATTATTATTGAATATAAATAATCTACTCCACCTAAAAGACACAGATTTGCAGAATGGTTAAAAAAATTACCAACCAAATTTCTGCTGTCTTTATGAAACTCATCTAACATGTAAGGATTCTTATACACTTAAGGTAAAGGGATGATAAAAAAAAATTTTCAACCCAAATGGGAGGCAAAAGCATGTAGAAGTAGCTATCCTTGTGTCAGATGAAACAGCCTTAAAGCAACAATAGCAAAAAGAAAAGATGATATGGTTTGGCTCTGCGTCCCCACACAAATCTCATGTCTAATTGTAATCCTCAGTGTTGAAGGAGGGGCCTGGTTGGAGGTAATGGAATCATGGGGGCGAACTTCCACCTTGCTGTTCTCATGATAGTGAGTGAATTAACCTGACATCTGGTTGTTTAAAAGTGTAGCACTTCCCCCTTCACACTCTCTCCTGCTCCACTGTGTGAAGATGTGCCTCCTTCCTCTTTGCCTTCCATCATGATTGTAAGTTTTCTAAGGTCTCCCGAGCCATGCTTTCTAAACAGTCTGTGGAGCTGTGAGTTAATTAAACATCTTTTCTTCATAAATTACTCAGTTTCAGGTAGTTCTTTATAACAATGTGAGAACAAACTCATACAAAAGACAAAGAAGGTTATTGTATAATAATAAAGGCTTAATAGAATGACAAGATATTACAGTCATAAATACATATGCACCTAACTCTGAAGCTTCCAAATCTATACAACAATTTCTATTAGACCTAAGACAAGAGAAAAACAGGAACACAGTAATTGTGGGGTACTTCAACACTTCACTAACAGCACCAGACAGATTATCAAGGCAGAAAGTAAAAAAAAAAAGAAACACTGGACTTAAACTGCAATCTAGACCAAAAGGACCTAATAGATGTTTACAGATATTCTTCCCTAGAATTGCAGAATATATGTTCTTCTCATCAGCACATGGAACATTCCCCAAGATAGACCATATAATAGGCTACAGAAGTCTTAATACATTTTTAAATATCAAAATTATGTCAAGTATCTTCTCAGTGCACAGTGGAATAAAGACAGGAATCAACTCCAAAAGGAACTCCTAAAACTATACAAATACATGGAAATTAAACAATCTGCTCCTGAATGATTTTTGGACTAAAAATGAAATCAAGATGAAAATGTAAAACTTCTTCAAAATGATTGACTATAGTGTCATAAGTTATCAATCTCTTTGGTGTACAGCAAAAGCAGTGCTAAGAGGAAAGTTAATAGTGCTAAGTACCTACATCAGAAAGTCTGAAAAATCAGAAATTGAAAACCTAATGTCATACCTCAAGGAACTAGAGAAACATGAACAAACAAAATCCAAAGCTAGCGGAAGAAAATAAATAACAAAGTCAGAGAAGAACTGAATAAAGTTCTTTTTGAGACTTTATATCATTTGAGATTACTATAAAGACTTCTATGCACATAAACTAGAAAGTCTAAAGAAAATAGATACATTCTTGGAAAGACACAACCCTCCTAGCTTGAATCAGGAAGAAGCAAAAATCCTGAACAGCCAGTAACAAGCAATGAGGTTAAATCAGTATAAAAAATGCCAACAATAAAGACCAGGGCCAGATGAATTCCAGCCAAATTCTACCAGACATTCAAATAAGAATTGGTACCAATCCTACTGAAACTATTCCAAAAGACTGAGAAAGAGGGAACCCATTCTAACTCATTCTGTGAAGTCAGTATCACCCTACTACCAAAACCAGGAAAGGAAATAACAAAATAAAAACTACAGGCCAACATCCTTGATGAATATTGGTGCAAAAATCTTCAACAAACAGAACACAAAATATATCACACTATGATCAAGTGAGTTTAACCCCAGGGATGCAAAGATGGTTTACCATATGCAAATCAGTAAATGTAATTCATCACAAAAACCAAATTAAAAAAAAAACATATGATCAGCTCAATAGACACAGAAAAAGCATTCAGTAAAACCCATCATACCATTATCATAAAATCTCTTAACACTGTAGGCAGGCATAGAAGGAACATATGTCAAAACAATAAAAGCCATATATGACAGACCCACAGCCAACATCATACTGAATAGAGAAAAGGTGAAAGCATTACCCCTAAGAATTAGAACAAAACAAGAATGCCTGCTTTCACTTCTTCTATTTAACATAGTACTGGAAGTCTTACACAGAGCAATCAAGCAAGAAAAAGAAATAAAGGGCATCCAAATTAGAAAAGAGAAAAGCAAGCAATCACTGTTTGCCAAAGATATGATTGTATATCTAGAAAACTATAATGACTCTCCCAAAAGACTCCTAGATTTCATAAATAATTTCAATAAATTCACAGGTTACAAAATCAATAGCACTGCTATACATCAACCATGAATAAATAGACAAATGGGAATATACTTACTACACTAAAGTAAAACGCTTCTGCACAGTAAAGGAAACAATCAACAGAGTGAAGAGACTACCTGTAGAATGGGAGAAAATATTCACAGACTATTCACCTGACAAGGGACCAATATCTAAAATGTACAAGGAAATAAAACAACTCACATCAAAAGCAAGTAACCCCATTCAAAATGGGCAAAGGATCTGTGTGGACATTACTCAAAAGAAGATAGACAAATGGCCAACTGATATTATTTTTAAATGTTCAACATCACTAATTATCAGGGAAATGCAAATCAAACCCACAAACAAATATAATCTCAGTCCATATTGAATGGTTATTATAAAAAAAAGTAACAAATACTGGCAAAGGTGTGGAGAAAAGGAAACTCTTATAAATGAGTGATATGAATGTAAATTAGTACAGAAATTTAAAAAAATAGTAGGGGAGATTCTAAAGAAAAACTAATAGAGATATCATATGATTCAGCAATCCCACTACGGAGTATTAATCCAAAGAAAAGAAAATAACTATCAAAGGAATACTGCACCCCATGTTTATTTCAGCACTATTCACAATAGTCAAGATATGGAACCATTCCAAGTGTCCATCAGTGGATGAATGGATAAAGAAAATGTGGTGTATATATACACAATGGAATTCTACTCAGCTGTGCAGAAGAATGAACTCCTGTCATTCGCAACAACGTGGATGAACTAGAGGTCATTATTTTAAGTGGAATAAGCCAGGCACAGAAAGACAAATACCACGTGTTTTTATTTATATGTAGAAGCCAAAAAACTGCATCTCTTAGAGATAAAGAGCAGAATGATACCACGGAGAGGAAACGAAGAGACGTAGGTCAATGGATACAAACATACAGTTATATAGAAGGAAAAAGTTCTAGTGTTCTACAGCACAGAAGGGTGACTATAGTTCACAATAATTTACTGTAGATCTTAAAATAGCTAGAAGATTAGATTTAAATGTTTTCCACACAGAGAAACAAGTATTAGAGGTGATACTCTAAGCATGGCGATTTGATCATCATACATGGTATGCATATAACAAAATATCACAGGTGCTCCATAAATGCGTATAATCATTATACATCAGTAAAATAATAGATTAGACAGTACAGAATTCAATGTTACTCTCTTTCTCCCTCCAACACTGTCTCCCCTCTTCACATATTACTTTAGCTTGTTTTATTTGTTACACTTGATGAACCAATACTGACACGTTATCATTAAAGTCCACACTTTATCTGAGGGTTCCTGCTTGTGTTTTATAGTATTATGGGTTTGGACAAATGTATGACATGTATCCACCATTACAGTATCATACAGAGTAGTTTCACTGCCCTAAAAACCTTCTATGTTCCACCTATTCATTCTTTCCTCTCCCTGGCTCCTGGCAACCACTAATCTTTTTACTGTCTCGATAGCTTTGCCTTTTCCAGAATGTCACATAGTTGGAATCATACTGTAGCCTTTTAGGTTGGCTTCTTTCACTTAGTAATTTGCATTTAGAATTTCTCCATGTATTTCTGTGCCTTGTGAACTCACTTCCTTTTAAGCTTCCTTTTTTCTACATAGAAAGAACTGGCTCTCCTCTCCCTAGGCCCCATGGTATTTATCATAGCTGTCTAGTTCTGAGAAGAGGTGCCTGATCTGGTAACCATTTGAATAAATGTCTTACTTTGCCCTTCTAAATATTTAGATACTGGTGCTCACTGTCTTCTTCATAAGGCCTAGTACCCTGCAATAGTAACTGATTCACAGACACACACACACACACATTTTTTGAAAGTCTAATAAGAAAACATGGGTAGAAATTTTAGAGGCACTGAGATGAGTGGGAATATAAGAAAGGAAGATCTAATGTTTACTGCAGACATGCTGTGCCTGGGTTTCCATCTGATCCTCAAAACACCTCCTAACTAAGGTTATGATCATTGTCTCCTGCTTCCTGGTGAGGCTCAGGGTTCAGATCATGAGAAGGGTAGCACATGGCTTGTAAATAGTGGAACTGGATTATCCACTGAACACTGCCTTCCTTTCCCCATTGGTGATCACCCCTGGGGCACTTCTTGAGATTGTAGCTATCGGAGGTGAGAACATGGCCCCCATTCATATCATAGCACCTGCCATTTTGATGTTCCTACTATGTGCCAGGAGGTATACAAATATTTTTAATTTCTTACCAGCCATTCCACAACCATTTATTGAGTATCTACAGAAACCCAGCAAACTAGGAATTGGGGACTTTATTTTAATTGTTTAGATGGAAAATTCAAAACTTGAAAAAGTTAAAAGACTGGCCAGATGAAACATATCCAGATGTGGAAGAAGGGAACACAGGCCATATCCATCAGAATTTAAAACCCACACCTTCCTCCTGGCATCATAGGCTCCCCAACAGGACCCAAAGCACCACCCTTTGTTTCTGTGTTGAGGCTTCCTCGCAATTCCCAATCCAGTCCTGGAGGAAGACAGCCAATCTCCAAGAAGCCAGTTTATCCCAGTCACAGGGGCTGTATCCAGGCGAGATATAGCAGCTGTCCCACCTGCTAAGAGCTCTATGACCACAGGCACATCATGTGTTGGCAATGACCAACAGATAAACTCACTACTTGAGCTTTCTATCCATGGTTTACTCACTTACTCATTCAACAGGTATCTACTTTCTGCTTATGGTGTGTCACATATTGTTCTAGGCACTGGAGATTTCACAGTGCACGAAACACACATGCATACCTGTGCTCAGGCAGCTTACAGTCTAAAAAGGGGAAACAGACTATAAACAAATAAAGAGCAAAGCATACTACAAGTTAGATAATAACAAGAGCTATGGATACAAATTAAAAGGGAGGTGGGATAGAGTATGGATGGAGGAACACAGGAGTTACAATTTTCAACAAGGTGGTCAGGAGGACTTACGATACAGTGACATTGAACAGAGTCCTAGAGGATGTGGGAGAGAGGCAATGCAGGGAGCTAAGGGAACAGCATTTCTTGTGGAGGAAATAGCAAGTGCAAAGGTCCTGTGGCAGGGGAGTGCTGGGTGTGCAGGGAATACCAGACATTAGCAAGAAACTGCAAGTTCTGGCAGAGCAAAGGCATGGGGTCTCAAGCTAACTGAAACTAAAGAATAAGTGTTCAATATCACAGGGCTTTCGATGTCATTGTTTTAATCACAGGGGCCTGGTGAGAAGAGGTCCGCTTGTAGCTGATGTGGTAAATAAGGGGAATTGCTACACGGGTATGCTTCTTCATTGGGAAGTCTCCCTGATTTCTGTGGTCTTAGGCGAGCACAAAGATGAATAAGGCACAATTCCTCCCTGAAGGGTCTCATTGCTCAGTGGAGAAGGGGTCCAGTGAAAGAATAATCATGGCATGAAATTACCAGTATTAGAACATCAGCCTGGAACCAGGTAATGGAGAAGCCTGTGGAGGATGTGGTCAGGCTGGGCTTAGGCTGCTCTCTGGAGTTCATGCCAGAGGCATGAGTAGAGTCTCCCTACACACCCACTGGAGAAAGGTAGTTTTGCCTTCCCCTCCATTTTCTAAAGGCTTGCTGGTGTTTCTACTGGCTGCAGCTGGAAAATTGCTGGCTATGCAAACTCTGCCCATTAAGCTGGAGCCCAGGGCCTCCTGTGTGTACAGCTCCCCCAAAGGACTCCCTCAGATTACTTGCCTCCTCTCCCTGTGTGTCTGGGAATGACAAACACCAGCTAGCCTGAGCCGGGTACAGCTCTTCAGCCAGGATTATCTAACCAGCCCCTCACTGCCCATTCCTTCTTCTCAGCTCCATCCCTGGAAAGCAGGGTTTTCTTGCAAAATAAAGGAACAATAGCATGGTAATCAGAGTGGTCTGGGCTCGTAGAGGCTGTACCAGGGAAATCTCTTGGCAATCCTGACCCTGGCAGACAAAATGAGACAAAGGCTGTCTATGGAATGGGGATGTGTTCACACCCTGGGATTGTAACTGTGGCTTAGCAACAGGGATGCTCTTAAGAAGAACTGGATCCATTCAAGGGTAAAGTCATCAGCACCCACTACACCATGATCGCCAATTTCCCAAACCAGGAGAAAAATTGGATCTGGAATTGTTACTGGACTTCTTTGCTATGAAAAAGCTGTTACTAAATCTCTACTCCATCAGCTGGGGAGAGAGAAGGAGGAAGGAGACTGATACTCAGGGAGAGCCTGCTGGATACCACCCCACATGGCGCCATCTTGGACATTATAGGTACTGTCTCGTGAAATTTCACCACGACCTTCTGAGCTAAGTTTTCTTGAATGGAAAACCTGAGTCTGGGGATGATCAGGACCTTTCCAAAGCTCCGATCCACCCGGGCCTCTGCCCCCCTGTTTGGTGGTAGCCCCCAGGACACAAGTGGGACTCTGTGATGACTGTCTGTGCTCACCCTGCAGAGAGTCTATGCAGAGGGCTGCCAACAGTTCTTCCAGAGGAATCCAGGCCACACCCATACAGGGGCACACACACACAGCAAATGCATAACAAGTTTCCAGATTTCCTGAGCAGAGTCAACAGCTATTTTGTTCTGTGCCATACACTCAGTGCCTGTCACAGATGGTGGTGATCCAGTCTACATGTACACCACTCTCTGGTTTAGAGTCTATGTACAATAATTTGAATAATGAAAGCATTCTGAATGGATGTAAATAATGTAAGCATGAACTTAACTGATCAACTCAGTCAGTGCCCTGTGTCTCTATTGGCCTTTAATTTCCCATTTTATATCTCTTTTATTTAACTATTGGCCACTGTCTTAATTAGGGATTATGAGCATAATGTCAAGTTAGAATATTTGGAATGATAAATGTTCATGTGCATCTAGGTGGATCTTATTCCTGTTTAATGTGTGTGTGTCTGTGTGTGTGTGTGTGTGTGTGTGTGTGTGTGTATTGAACATTTTTAAATCCTTAAGGTCTGTTCCAATACTCAGTTATTTCTTAGGATCTTAGGGTATTTGAAAAACATGGATTCCAAAGGGTATGCACCTGACATAAAATTTCCCTCTTCTCACTCCCTGCTTAACTGTCACCTACGATCAAACTGCATCTCTCTTACCTGGCTTCTCTAGCTCCAGACGACTTCCCCATCTCCCCAACTGCCCCATAAACTGCCTATTAAAACATATTCATTCTTTAGGTCAGGACTAAATGCTGTTGCTTCTTAGCGTCTTCCCTGATTTTCCTGCAGAAGAAGGGGTACCTTTCTCTAAGCTCCAATAGTACTTTTCAAATGGCTGCATTTTAGTCAATGGCATACGTCTATTACACCCCCTTGATGATAAACACCTGAGGGGAGGGTCCGTGCCTTGGTCAATGCCATAGTCCTACCACCTCTAGCAGAAGACTTTGCGTAGCCCACAAAATGAGGAATCAAAGTATTTCTTCTAGAGGATCCTGGAGAACAACACGAGAGACTCACTGGAATCCCCAGGATTCCCCAAGAATGCACCTGGTTGGCTTCCTTCCCACTACTTCCGTTTCTGAGAAAATGAGCCCCAAGGAGAGTAAATTGCTAACCCTATTTGGGGGAAGATAAGACAGAAAAAACTTCAGAGAAGAAGAGAAAACTTTGAGTTCAGCCTTGGAAGACAACTGGGAATCCTCTAGGCTGAAGTGTATGATAGGGATGGGTGAAGAAAGCACTGCAGGTGGGGCTGCTGCCATGGGGGGACTGTGGGTTGTGCAGTTTGGCTACCGTTACTTTATACATTGATTCAGCAGATATACCTTGAGTCACCTTAAGTGTCCACTACAGACATACAAATGGTATCTGTGAGATCAACATTACAGAGATGAGATCATGTTGACACATGGGGTGGTGTGGGGAGAGCAGGGAGGCAGGGAACACGGGTTAGACAGGCAGGTGAGGAGCAAATGTGGAGGGCTGCTCATGACATCCTAAGCATCTTTGATCTTGCCCTACAGGTAGGTCATGGGCAGCTAATACTGACTTGCCAATTAGACATTTATGTAATCCACATGAATGTTTAGAAAAAATCTATCTGACGGCAGTGCAGAATGCAGAAGAGTGAGAGAGAAACTGAGTTGTTCTTACAATAGGATTGCCTCCAATTGGTGAACACGGAGAAAACAGGAACAGATTGCGAGGGACGCAATTCAGAATGCACCCTCTTCCCCTCCCTCCCCCTCTACACACAAGCATTACAGTAGGACTGTAGAAAACCTTTCAGTTAAGATCAAGTAGCATACAATATTTTTCTACTACTTTCTCTACTACTATGTCTGAGGGGAGAAGAGTGGAGAGAAGAATGAAGATAGAAATACAGAGACAAGCAAAGCAACAGCATTTGCCCCAATCTGCAGTGAGTCCACTGCCCTGGGAGATGGAAAAAATGGGGTGATTTACCAGAGTGTCTCTGTCTACTGGCTGGGGCTCAGCACCAGGTTCCAGGGGTAAGGGAGGCTTGGGCTTTGCTAGGAGAGAGCTCTCTACCTGCTGAGGGCAAAACTGGGCTTACATCAGAGTCTAGGCTAAAACAAGCAGCTCCACTTTGTGACCCTGAATCTTGCGTAAGTTACTTCCCCAGGTGCCAGGTCCCTCATCTGTGAATAGGCAAAATAAATTACCTACCTTATAAGATTTGTGAGAATTAGAAATTCCTTGTAAAGCAAAGGACATCCAGGAATTATAGTAAGTATTACTGCTATTATTACTATAACCACTGTCACCATTACTAATACTACCGGCGATCACATCCCAGAATCCTACCAAGAACCTGGCATCCAAACCTCCCCTTGACCCCAGTAACCCATCTCTCTTTCTAAATAGCTCCCTTCATGCCTGCTGTGGAAGTCTCTTCAGAATGTGCCTTGAGCAGGAAGGAAAAGAAAACTCAAATCTCTCCACATCTCCCAAATCACCAATATCCTATGTCACACCAGGACTCCTCCCTTACTGTTTATCTGCCTTTCTGTTTTCCCACCTCACACTCAGAGAGTTGGGCACAGGAGGAGGATAGGTACAGGGGTCACGTCGCTGGGAAATGGCAAGGCCAGGATGGGAACACAGGTCTCCTGCCTCTTGATGGTCCACACCTGAAGGTGATGCTCACCACGTTGGGAAAAAAGATGGAGACCCAGGCGTCTGGATGGTGGTTAGAAAAGGCCGCCTACCATTCTCACTCCTCTGTGACCTTGGGGACTAGAACTAAATTTGGTGTTCCTTGGTGAGTGGAACTCCACAGCATGGACATTTCAGGCCTGGGTGCACACATCCACCTACAGAAAATACTGAAAGACGCCATTCTACCACGTCAAAGACCAAGAGAGAGCCCTGACACAAGGGACCTCTCCTGAGAGCAGCTTGTGGGGCCATCCCGGTGCATTTCTGAGACATTTTTGTGACATGTTGACCCTCCTTTCCCAGGTGGACAGCAACTGGGCAGGATTACTTCAGAAATAAAATACCTGTTTGTTAACCGACTGTCCATCCAGAACCTCCGTGAGGGTATAACATTCCCAGGTAGATCTCCAACCAAACACAGAGCCAGGAGAAATGAGAAAAGGACACAAAAATGGAGTGAGCATTGGAACATTTCCTCTATATGAAGTATCATGCACAGACTGAGAACGGATAGGGTCTTGCTCAATGCATAAGCTTGGGAGTCAGCAGAACTCACTTTGAATCTGGGCTCCGTCTCTTGCTAACTCTGTGGTCTTGGGCCTGCTGCTTAACCTCACTTGCCCGGTGTGTCACTGTCTGTCTACTGAGAATAATAAAAGTGTCCAAGTACAAAAACACTCTGCGAATTCAAACAATGCCATGTGCAGGTGAATTAGAACAGTGCTTTGCACACCTACATGTTCAAAAAGTGCCTATTACGATTATTTTATTGAATAAATAATCAAATATATTAATTAGAGCAATTGAATTTAATCTGAATTTTGGCCTGAGTATTTAGAAAAATTAAACCACAAAAAATTCAGATTTAATCCCCAGATTAAATCCTCAGATAGGCATACACATTTTTCAGGAAGGAAGCTGAGGCCCAAAGAAATTAAACAATTTGGCTGAGAACACGCAATATCCTTGCAGCGCAGTTGTTAGATCACAAGAGTCCTTATCTTTCACTATGCCCGTTTGTCTATTATAGAAAATGAACATGTTTAGTGGCCAAGAAAACATCCTATTTAGGAAAGATATTATGTGAAGGGCTTGCAAAATCTAGGTGAACTCTCCATTTTTAGCTCCAATTTTATATTTTCCAGTGTTATAATTTTATGCTTGTGTAATTAAACAAACTGGCTCATGACAAGCAAGGGTAAGGTGTTTGTTCATTCACTTCCCGCCTGGAACTGTTTTCAAGCGTGTTTACCTGGGAAACCATGTGTGACTAAAGACATCTCCCAGCGCAAGGGTGCAGACTCGGGGACCAGTGTTCAGCGCTGCATTCCTCCACTGGAATCCAAAATCTCCAGGTCCTCAAGATTTAATTACTGCGTGCAGACTAATATTTTGGGGTGAGGACGAGGGTGGGTGGGGAGACTGGGGGACTAAGGGACAGGGAGGTGGGGGGCTGGGGTTTCAGCTGGACACATTCCCATCCCCCACCCGTGCTGCTGCAGAAGCCCGCGATGCACCCACAGCACAGAAGACAAAGGGAGCAAAGCTGCCACCGAGAGTCCGCATTCCATCAGGAATTTGCAATGAAACTTTCACCTTTTCCAGCAAACTCTGTGTATTTGAAAGATTTAATTTTCTCCTCACTTCCTCCTGGCCAAGCAGGAAGAAGAATTGGAGGGCTTATTTTAGCACAGAGTGTAAGCTGGAAAGCCTTTTCTGAACCTAGCAATTGGTTTTTGTTTTGTGACCAGTGACTGCCACAAAAGGGGGGCCCACCCCCAACCCAAGTATTCAATTAACCCTGTGTGTGACAGGCAGAGGATGGAGGCTGGTTCAGGCCCCATTCATAGGATTCCGAGGGGGGCTTTTTTGAAGGATTCTTCTTAACAAAGGTTGCCAAACTAAGTAGCTTTTTTGTTGTTGCTTGGTTCTGGCCTATTGTTACCTCTCAAGCGACCTTTTCCACTTAATTGGGGCTTTAG
Organism: Homo sapiens; assembly: GCF_000001405.40. NCBI lineage: Eukaryota > Metazoa > Chordata > Mammalia > Primates > Hominidae > Homo > Homo sapiens. Next base: position 5,946,244 of record NC_000002.12, on the reverse strand, counting down.
AATTCCACGTCTATTGTATTTGGATATAAGAAACACCCTGCTTAGGAGCCCTGGAAGTTTATGAATATAAGCATTTCTGCATTGGGTGATTCCAAAGCTGTTTAGCTATCACTCCTGTCCATTGACATAAGTTACGCTGATAAAAATCATCATCAGAAAATAATAACCACAGTGATAATGAGTTTCCACATATTGAGTTCCTATGAGGTGTCGGGCACTGTAATCTATGCTTTGTGTGTTTTGTTTCTAATGTCGCAATTAACTCTGCATGTTACAGACCAGGACTCTACAGTTCAAGAAGAAAGAAGCCGCACCACACCCCAATCAAAGCTGAGGGCAAATGCTGGACCCTCCCTCACTGCTGGGCCACAGGGCGTTATTCACACCATTCCGGGCTCTGCTAGTCAACAGTTCCGCTGTGTTAGCTCCCTGACTAGACTGGAAACCACAACTGCGAACAGAAAAAAGATTAAAATACGTTCTGTATGCACAGTTAAAAATGCAAATGCTTAGAGGGAACAGGTAGAAAATATAAATGTGTGAATTGGGTCTAGTGTCAGACAACAGAGAGCAGTGAGTCCTGAGGAAAACAGGAACGGCCCACCTTCCAAAAAGAGGTTGACCTTCACATTGATTGTGTATATATATATATATTTCATCACTAAGCCAAACTCAGAAAATAGTTCTGTGTCTGGATTGGAGACTGGACCTCCCGGTAGAGGACATTTGTCCTCTGTTAATGACACCAGGCAGAAGTCACAAACTTGTAGCCTTCAAGCCATATTCCTTCCACAGACTTAGTTCTTTGCTCTGCACAGGGTTTCAAAAGTTGGGAGATTCCTTGTCTGAGATCTCTAGCTTCCTGCGGGACTCTAGACTATGCGGCATCCCCGGGCCTGTGTGGGTCCCCTGGCAATGACTAGCCGTCCAAGTCAGACGGGGCGCGTCTCCCTGCTGCACTGTGCCTGCTACTCCACTCCTTGTGTCAGCTGACTGACCTGTGTGGCTCCTTGGGTTTGCCATGTCTGTGTCAAAGGGACTGAGCTTCCTAGGATCATTTTTCTTTGCTAAGGTCTGGGGTGACAGGAGCCCTCACTTAGTCCATTATACAAATATATACAGGCATGGAATTCACAAACTGAGGGTGTCACAGTCATTCGTCTGGCAAATATGAACGTGTGACCCAAGGCCATCGAAGCATCCTTTTGACAAATTTTATGTACACACACATACACAGACACACAGACACACACACACAAACACGCAAAGGCACCAGCTATAGGGAGCAGAAAAAAAATGTTGCTCATGACATCCTATTTGCACTCATGGCCAAGAGCATGCACATTTTATATTTAAAACATAATATGAATACGCGAGTAACCAAAATCGAGATGGTGAATGCCTGCAGTCATCTTTTTAATGAAATGAGAAAAAGAGAAAGTTGTCTTTTCTTAGTGAGCTTGTTCAACTATCCAGAAAATTTCTCCAAGAATGCTTAGAGAGTCCATATGTCATGGCACTCAAGCTCTTGTCTAGGATATGGGATATGAACTCCCTTACCCTTCCTGAGTCACCTTCAGAGAACAGAATTGTGTCTTAGACTTAGAAGGGTTTTCATACATGTTCGCCACTTAATCAGGCATTTGAACAACTTAATTGAATCTGAACATTTTATATCATTACATAAAGTGAAATATTCATGTTGCAGTCAAAATACTTCAAATAGTCGTAACCTAGCCTTTTAGCAATCTCACTAATTAGTAAAATAGCCAAAAGCTACAAAATCAGAAACTAAATAATAAGATACAGATAACATGCATAAATAAAACCTCTTTGTATCAGTTAAAGTGAAATCTACAAAATCCTTGTTATAAATGCCATGTCCTTGGCTTTCTTTAGAACGCTCTAAATCTTCACTCAAATTCAGGTTGCTCTTAATTTATATATGTATATTTAACCAGCTTCCTCATTTATGTTTCTAGTTCTCTCTAGATTCGAAAAAAATATTCCCTGAGAAACACTGCTATTATAGGGAAATGCACCAATAGCAAAAGTAAGAGCTGACAACTGACAGAGAAAAAAAAAAAAAGATAAAACATTGAAAACTACCAAAACAAACATAGAAACTCTAAAGATATGGTAACCTGGGGCTGTTTAAAAGAACAGAAAAACTTTACTGTGGAACTCCGAAAATATCACTGCACTACATCACAATATACGTTGTTTGCTCTTCTTAAGGAGAAAGAAAATTATATAATAAATTTAAAGGATCTATATACAAAATGACCTAAGTATGAAAAAGTTAAGAAGCCTAAAAGATGAATGCTCAGCCTTCTGGGCAACTCGCATTCCCACATTGATTCATTGTTTCCTGATGGACTCAAATGCCTGACTCTGTTTAATTTTAGTCATTAAATCACTTTTGTCAATAAAACTATGAAAATTGTGTGAGACCTGGCATGGCATCGAAGCCAAGATTCAGCTCCTGGCAGCCCTGGACCAGGCTGTACAGGTACAGGCTCTGTGGTCACTCTGCCTGCACCCCGCATCATCTCAACAGTGAGCGAGACTCAGATTTGCAAGCTGAGCCTGTCTTAGCCCTCTCTTTCCGGCTTGCTTCCAGCCATTATTTCTAATCAATTCTACCCTGCCATCCAGGGGCAAAATATGAGTACAAAATGAATCGGGATATAGTGGTTACCTCTTTACAAATAATAGGGAAGCACACACACACACTTCTGTGCTCACAATCCACAAATGACAAACTCTCTCTCTCTACTATCTTCCAGGTAATTCTACAGATGATAAGCCCTGTTGGATAGAGAACATTTTATTCCAAATCTGAGCTTATGGGTGCAACACTGAGCTAGTTCATTTCTTCTTGTCTATTCTCTGGTCCCACACTGCCTGCTTCACCTCTTTCTGCTGTTGAGTAATTGTCAGCTACCGGTAACAAGTGGGAAGTGGAGAAGGAGAGAGAGAGAAAGAAAACAGGGAATGGGTGAAGTCCATTCAGCAAACACGTGCTGAGCCTCTGTGCTCACTGCTGGGGAGAACGAGGTATCACCAGGAAAGGCTCAGCTTGGCCAGTACCCTGGATGGAGAGGTGGGTGTGTGTGCCCCTGGTGTGGGATGGTCAGAAAAGGGTGGGATGAGGCTGGACTGAGATAAAAGGTGCCTGAGGCAGGTGCTCCTGGGCAGCGTCATCCAGGCCTGGCCTGAAGGAGAGATGGGAGGTTGGGGTCATTCCTGGTGGAAGAGACTACAAGCAAAAGCAAAAGCAAAAAAGTAAGAAGGGGACAGGGTAGAATTTGGCACCAGAAGTAGCTGGCTGCAGTTTGAGGCAAATTTGGACAGAGATCTAACGTCGCTCACAAAGAGACCCTTCCCAACGAGATGGATTTGCAAGACACCCTCTCCTCTGGAGGGCCATCGGGCAGCATTTTCAACGGCATGAAGGGCTTTCCTTTACTCACCAAGACCTTAGGTCCATTTGGAGGGTGGAGATTGATCTCTGGACAGATAAGGAGACCAAGAACTGGAGGCATTTTCTTACTTTCTCAAGGCCCCAGACTTTGTGGATTGCAGAACCGGAAGTTAAAACCAGGCCATCTGACCCCAAGTCCTACACCTTTTCAGGAACCCTAAAACTCAATCATATTAGACATAATTTGTTATCTATGTTCACGTGCAATAAGAAAATAAGACTAGGCTTAGGACAAGAAGCAGTACCCCAGGTGCCAAGGGTTGGTTTCAGGGTTCTCTAGAGCAGGGGTTGGCAAACTTCCCCTGCCAAGGGCCAGATAGTTTCAGATTTGCGGGTCATGAGCTTCCTGTTGCAACTACTCAACCCTGCCTGCGGCTGCAGTCTGAAAGCTGCCACCATCGATATCTAGGCAAGTGGGTGTGGGCGTGGTGTGCTCCAGCGAAGCTTTAGCTACAATATAGGCAGTGTTGGGCCTTTGCCTGTGGGCTGCAGTTGGCCGACCCTAGCTCTAGGGTTTGCTTTTCCATGCCATGGAGCTTTTCATGTTGGGGCAGGAACCCAGAGAAAGGCTTCAGTCGGAGAGGTCCAGCTGAATATCAGGAAAAGTCCTGTGCGGGTTTCCCAGGGCGGTTCACGTTTTCTTGCCCAAATGTTAGACGCCTTGACTGTGCAGTGCCAGATTTTAGACACTGCTCAGTTTACTTTAATTCTAAAGATGGACATGGGACACAGGCTCTGTGGAGGATGGAGGTGGCACCAGATGACTTAGGGAGGCTTTGGACGTCCTTCCCGTGGTGGGGTAGGAACCGCCTATCACAGAGAAGAATGCTGAGCCCAGACTGGGCCAGGACCAAGAGGTCATCCTAGAGAAAGTGGGGATGCTTCACATGTGAGGAGCATGAACGTGGGCGAGCCCCTGAGGAAGGGGACAGGCATCCAAAAACAGTCAGAGGAGAGAACTGTCTTGTGTGTGCAGAACTGTACGCAACTCCTTATTGCAATGTGAATTTTGAGGTAGGCAACGACAAAAATGAGGCTTGAAAGGCAAGTGAGGGCCAGGCCATGGGGCTTCATATGCCATGCAAAGGACTCTGATTCTATCTTAGCAGCAAAGGCCACTGCAAGGCTGCACCCTGAAGCCTCCTGCAGCCACCAACCGGAAGCTTCAAAGCTGGGCTGCTGGAGGGCCCCTTAGGAGTGACTTCCCAGCAGTGCCAGGACTGGAGCCCAGTTTCTCTATAAGTGAATGAAGGAATCATTTCTACCATCCCAGAGGGCTCTTCTTGGACAGATCCTCTCCACTGATATAGTTATAATATTGGCTCTCCCTGGAAGCTATTCTCTGGCCTGGGTTCATGCCAGGTCTGAATATTCAGTGCCCAGCCACCCTGCGCCAGGCTGATTAAAGAAGCCTGGCCCTGGCAGCTGAGGGCCATGCCAATGGGACAGCTTGGGCTCCTCATCCCTTGTTCTCTTGGGGAAGAGAATGTTCTATCCTATGATGACCACTGGGTCCACCCTGGGCACAGATTAGAATAATCTTGGAACAAAACAGGACCCATTCCTGGGCACAACCCAGACCAATTTAATCAGATCTTTGAGAAAAGGGCCCGGCATCAGTTCACAGTGGACGATGCCTGTGTGCAGGCAGGATTAAGTACCACTGCCACTGACGTGCCAGGCTCCCTGCCAGGAAAGTAGCCAGGCCCCAGGCCTTGCTGGAAGTTCCTCTCCTTACCTATACCTGGCTCTGCTTAACCCAGGAGAGTAGCATGTGGGGGCAACACCAGAGCTTCTCTGACTCCTGGTGCATACAAGTCACATGGGTCTGGAGGTGGCGCCTGAGAATCTGCATTTCCAAGAAGACTGCAGGGGACGCTGATGCTGCTGGTTCATGGACCATACACTTCAGTAGCAGGACAATGGGCCAGCACAATCCTCCTGGCAGTAGTCTCTGGTTCCAAGTGTACCAAGATTGGGCCTGCTCAGCCCTGGGGGTTCACCCCTGCTGGTTAGCAGTCAGCTATGTGTGCCCCACAAGCATCTCTATTCAATTTGTGAGCCAGAACGTGGAGGAAGTGGGAAGTTCTTGGGTCTGGAAGGTGCTTCAGGCCAAATGAGAGACCTGAGAAGTGGAAAATGGGAAGAAGAAGGACAGGAGCCACTGATTCTAAATATTCATGAGAAGGGGCTGCAAGATGTTAGAGAAGAACATATCTATGGGAGCCGGAGAGCCAGGACCGCTTCCTGGAAGAGGTGCAAGCTGATAGGTGGCCCTGAAAAGACCAATTAAATTAGATCTGAAGCCTCCTGCAGCCGCCAACCTGGAGCTCCAAAGCTGGGCTGCTTTGGAGAAGACAGAGGTGAGAATAGAATGGAGAAGGCTGGAGGGCTCAAATCCCATTCTCACAGCCTAGCCCAATTTCACTGTCTCCTTTTTTATGTATGTATGTATGTATGTATGTATGTATGTATGTATGTATGTATGTATTTATTTAGAGACTCAGTCACATTCTGTCACCCAGGCTGGATGGAGTGCAATGGTGCAATCTCGGCTCACTACAACCTCTGCCTCCTGGGTTCAAGCGATTCTCCTGCCTCAGCCTCCGGAGTAGCTGAGATTACAGGTGCCCACCATCATGCTTGGCTAATTTTTGTATTTTTCATAGAGACAGGGTTTCATCATGTTGGTCAGGCTGGTCTCAAACTCCTGACCTCAAGTGATCCTCCCGCCTTGGCCTCCCAAAGTGCACGGATTACAGGCATGAACAAGCCACCTCACCCGGCCTCCTTTTGTGTTTATTAACGTGCAGCCTTTTTTGGGGGTTATAGCTTTTGTTGCACTGCACAGATTTCGTATTTTTTACTTCTAGCTCCTACTGTTCTGACACTGTATACTATATACTTCTCTATTTAGATTTTTGCTTCTGTAGGCTGTACACTATGATATGTCCTTCTCTTCCTTTACAGCCTGATGAACTCCTATGCATTCTTCAAAACCCATTTTAAATTATATCTTATCTCAGTACTGTTTCCTAACCATCTCCCTCAGGCAATATAAGTGATTTTTCGATCTATGCTTCTGCAGTTATCCGTACTAGAGTCCTTATTTTAGAGTATGAGTAGATTAGTTATTCTGTATTTGTGAAAGCACTTTTTGAAAAACAAAAATAAAAATGGACCAAAATAATAAACACTGAATTTTTTTTTCTGTAATAGGGTTACATTAAAGGAGATTTTTTTGTAAAACACATACTATGATAAATGTATAATTTGTTATTATGGACGAATATATTCTAACAAGATTATATATTACAATAGCTAGCAAAAATTATCTCTACATAATATGGACTTTTGACAATAAAAAAGGAACAGAAAGAGAGCGAATTAACATACAATAAACACTAAGTAAAAATAACTTTAAAATGAAAGATATTGTCATAAATATATAATGCTTAAATTGTGTTTATGAAAATGACATTTTAAAGCAAACAAATTATTAATTGCCTAATTCATTTGCTAATAATACAGATGTGGAAAAATTTCTTTCATTTTTATGTTAACGTTAGCTGAATTATTGCAGTGTATCCAAAAGCATCTTCAAGTTACGAGTGATGATAACATCTCTTCACATGAGCTCATTTTCTTTTTTAATTATGAAAATATTGTCTGCTTGTCCTGATTTTGGTTTTGCTGCTGAAATCAATATTGGCTTTGCATGTTCCAGGTTTAATCAGTTTCTGATTTTATGATGGGGAATTTCACAACCTTCATATCATCTCTTTGAGTTTCTTCCTTTGAAATATTTACAAAGAATTGAAGTCTATAATGGATACCCACACACTTGGAAAAGCCAGCAACAGGGAATGTTAACTTCGTCTTTAATTTGCATACAGTAGCACATCACGTGGCACAAAACAGCCCACTGTACGTTGTGGCATGTGCGAATGTTTGTTCTGCACATAGAAAGTGTGCTTAAACTCCAGTGATATAACTGTGCAAACTGGAAGGTAAATAATGAACGCTGTAAAGCTCGGGGGAAGAGGAGGCTTCCTGGCAGCCGAGAGTGGGAATACAGCAGGTTGGTAAGGAATGCAGAATGGCAGGGCCAGGAAGGAAAGCCTGGGAGAGAAGCCTGGGGCAGGAATGTCGGGGAGGTGGCTCCGACTAAAGCCCACCCACCTCAGCGCTGTATTTCCGAGTCCACCAGAGTGCTCTTGTTTCCAGCACAGAACCTGGGCCCTTGGCAGCCCCCGTTGCAGCCAGCCCTGTCCCCCAAGCTCATGGCTGGGAAACCAGTCCTGTGAAGGCTGATTGCGTTTTGCTCTAGGCCTGGATAAAGGTGCCTTTTCGCTGACTCAGTAACTCAGGTGGAGCCCTTCTTCAGAAGAGTCACCTCCTCCCCTCGCTGGAGCCCCTCAGTGCATGGTGCATTTAGCTGCTTGTTTACCGGTCATTAAAGCGGTGGTTGGGGGCGGTGAGAGGAGTTGGGGAACTTGGGTCTGAAGGGTGAGGAAAGATAACATCAGCCTCCAGCTTATGACCAATTTCGAAAGCGAGGCACAGGAGTTCTGCAATTGCAAGATAGTGTGTCTTCTCTGCAGATGAGGGGCAGTGGCTCTAGTTATTCCAGCAGCATAAATTCCATCCTCCATGGCCACTCAAATACCACAGGCAGCTGAGACTTGTGTAACCTCTCCTGAGGCTTCCTCCAGAGCTGGTGCAGCGCTCTTGGCAGGAAAAGAGGAGCCAGGAGGAGTGGTTTCCAATCCTAGTTCCACCCTTAAGGAGTTGCGGGACCCTCTGCCTCATCTGTAAAGTGACACAGGCCCCTCCCTCACTGTGCTGATGAGAGATAAGCATGCTAGCAGGCAATCTGCCTGAGTGTTGGATTATTTGAATCTCAATTTCTCCCTCTTGTCTACTTTTCCTCCTGAATGAAGTAAAAAATGAAGGAAAAACAGATTGGGTGTTAAATTCTCATATGTTTAAAAAATTGTAAGGCTTCTCTTTAATTTTCCGCTTTCCCTAAACAGGCCACCACTCACCACCCCAACACCAGGCCCATTCAGTTCCGCTGTGACCTGTGGCCTGATCTCCAAGCAGCCCCTCCCAGCTGATTTTTCCAAGCCAGTATAAGGCACCAGGGTGTTCTGCCTGAACCTTGACGATAACCTCCTCATCAGTCTCACTGCTGCCATTCCTGGCTCCATAAAATCTGCACTTTCAGAGAAGCCAGTGTGATCTTCCCAAGTAGAAACGAGAGCATGGCACTACCCAGCTGGAAAACTCCCCAGAGCTTCCCGGAACACTTTGAAAGAAATACCAAGCCCTTACCTGGCCCTGCCTGTCCCTGGCCTCAGTCTAGGCTGACTCCACACCCTCCTCTTAGGCTCAGCCATGGGCCACACAGGCTGGCCTTCCTTCTGTTCCTCAAACAAGCCCTGCACCACCTAACCCAGGACCTTTGAACCAGCTCACCCTGGCTCGCGATGCTCTCTCTCCCGGCCCATCTTCTCCTTCACAATTGAACCCAATCTTCACCTCCTAAGTAGCCACTTCAACAACTTAGTCCCAATCCAACACTCTCCAGTCCTCATCATTGTTCACCATGTGAATTAACATCCGTCTCCATCTTGTCTTCTTCATTTATTTCTTTATCTAATTTTCTGTGCCATCTTTCATGCCTAGCAGTGCTCCCTGGGAGCACAGCTCCTATCTTTTCTCTGCTTATCTTCAGTGCCTAGAACTGTGCCTGGCAGAGAGTAGGGGAGCAATCAGTATCTGTGGAATGGATGAAAATGTACAGGCAGAGGCAGCACCTACATGTGGCCCTTCATGAAGAGTGTGCATTGTCAATATGCTCTCCATCTTTGCCAATGTAGAAAAGCTCATTGCTGATGCCCTCCCCCCACCCCCCGGTAACTAACCCAACTTCTACCTGCTACACTGGCTCCTCCTCTGAGGATAACTTCTCATCAGGGCTTCAGGTGGCCTCATTTTGGGAGGAGCGTTTTACTCAGATCAAATACGTCTCTCTTTCTTATCTGACAAATTTTTTTTTTTGAGATGGAGCCTTGCTCTTGTTGCCCACGCTAGAGTGCAATGGCTCACAACCTCCACCTCTCACCACAACCTCCACCTCTCACCACAACCTCCGCCTCTCACCACAACCTCCGCCTCTCACCACAACCTCCACCTCTCACCACAACCTCCACCTCTCACCACAACCTCCGCCTCTCACCACAACCTCCGCCTCTCAGGTTCAAGCGATTCTCCTGCCTCAGCCTCCCAAGTAGCTGGGATTACAGGTGCCTGCCACCATGCCAGGTTAATTTATGTATTTTTAGTAGAGACGGAGTTTCACTGTGTTGACCAGGCTGGTCTCGAACTCCTGACCACAGGTGACCCGCCCTCCTCGGCCACCCAAGGTGCTGGGATTACAGGTATGAACCACCATGCCTGGCCTATCTGCCAATTTTTAAAGCCACCAAAAAGAAAAAAGAATGGAATCACTTTTCCATGTCTTCCAGACATCTATCTATATATAGAGAGAGATAAGGACCTTAGGTAGGTAATTTAACTTTGATAAATAAGGTATAAACAAGATTGTCTTAGCTCTGCTGCCAATCTTGGAAGATCACTTACCTTCTCTAGACCTCAATTTCTTCACCCCTAAAAAGAAGGTATTGATACTAGGGGAATGGCTGAATGAATTTTGATAAATGAATATATTCGTGCTAAGGAAGGTCATTAAATAATTTTGAAAAGTGAATGACAAGGAAAAATGGTTAAGGTAAATTCGGAGCTCCAAAATATTAATATATTTCAAATGATGTAGATAACTTTTAAAGTATTTGGGGAAAATATCAAATGATCAGAAGTACATCTAAACGTTAGAGGATTATGCGTGGTTTTTATTTTCATTTTAATTCTCTAAATTGTAACCAGTAAGTACATAAAATATTCATGGCATTACTCCTTTTCCAAATTAATAAACCTAAAATGAGGGAAGTCAACCAGATAATTTCTAAGCTCCCCTCTTGCCCTGCCAGCTTGAGTTGTAGCTTTATTGCATGCACTTCTCATATGGGGATGGGGCAGGGGCAGGGCCAGGGAAGGGACTGACCCACGCTGGGCCTCTCAGAACACTGCATCCCCAGACCCCAGGGCTGTATTTGGGATGTGTTTGTGAGCCGAACAAGGCCCAACAAAGGATCTGAGGATTTTGCGAGAACTCTAGGGAAAGGGGTCCTCTTTTATCATTGGAGTTACTAATGAGAACTGTCAGAGTTCTCTCTGACAATCCATGGAGAGTGTTTGCTTGTATGAAAGAAAATTCAGAAAAAAAGCAAACTTGAGAAGTAGAGAAAAAATGAACAAAAAACAATACTTATATTTGTTGACTTTATTCAGCCCATGGGTCCAGCTGGGTCAAAGTTGTGTTTAATCTTCCTGGTCACCTGACCCGATACATTTCCTCTCTTGCCTAAACTAGTGTGAGATGTGTCGGTCACAACTCAAAGACTCTGCCTCATGGGCGCAGTTAGGCATCCATGCTGTTCCAGCTTTGCCTTTGTAGCAATCTCTGCTCAAAGGATGGTCACATCCAACAGGAAGAACCATGGAGGCTGTGGTCCTCCTCGTCCTGCTGCATGACTAATTAGAAACACTGCATGCATGCACCCAGGCTCCACCAGGAAGATCTCCTCACTGTCTACACCAGGACGAAGTCAGGGCCTTAAAAACCTCTTTGTGCAAATTACCCAAATCCTAAAACAACATATTGTCATCTGGGAGCAAATCAATGCTGGAATAAATAGTCTAACAATGCAACTGATCCTCACTGAGTGTTTGACCTCACTGTCCACCCCACCATTCAATCTTAATTCCATTGTGAGACCAAGGTTCAGCCTCCGCCCCATCCAGCATAGCTCAAACCAAGGCTGGTGCCCTGGAGGAGCTGGGTGCCTTCAACTGTGGGAATCTCTCTCCCTACAGTGAGCCCAGAGCACCCATGTCCCCCAGCCCTTGAGCTGTAGCCTCCCTGAGACCCCCAGTGCTGGTGTCTGGGCTCTGGGTTTCTACTTTGGTTTCCTGGTTGTTGTTGTCAACCAGAGCCACAGTCTTCTTGAGGACCATGAAACTCTTGGAAGCCCCCAGAAATTGTCATCTTCCCAGAAATTGGATATTCTTTCTTCCTCCCCACAGTTGGACAAGGTTCTCCATCCTGTGAGCCAGGCATTGCACTAGACTCTGGATATATCAGGATGTGAAACCACAGTCCCTTCCTTCAAGGAGCACAGATGAATGGGGCAGGGTGTAGATAATAGCAGTACAATCTTATGTAATAGATACAATGCTGGGTGTTTTTCAGGACAAGGAGAGAAACACCTAAAAGATCAGGGGGAGGCGTTTTGGAGGAAGTGGGAGCGCAGCGTAGCCTTAAACAATGAATACAAGTCATTCAGGTCACTGGAGAGGGTGCCCAGCTTAAGCAGAGGCATGAAGATGAGAAATATCGGGAAGCAAGCAGAAAAATACAAGCAATAGTTGTCACGGAAGCAATGAAGCAGGGCATCTCCCACAATAAGGCCAGAAGGGAATATAGCAGCAAGAGAATGGAGATCACGTCCTCCAATATTAACACGGTCAGGCAAAGGAGGAAGCTCGAACAGGGCCCCCAAGGCAGTGGGGGAGGCAAGTGAGATTTAATCAGGAAGCTAAGACCATTCTATTTGCCTTCTGGATGTATCTGTTTGGTATTGAAACAAGAACATCTGCCTGACTGCGAGCACCGTGTTGTCTCTTAACACCAGACTCTGCCCAGTGGATCAGTCATCCTGGAGATTGACTCCAACTGGGGAATGGCTCAGAGTCATCAGAACAATTTGGTCATCATGACAGGGCTTCAGCCATACTGTTCCAAATACGCCCTCATCCCAGAGCCTGACATCACTCCCGGTCTCCTCTCCAACCCTTAGACCTGTCACTGGGGTCTGACATACACAAAGCTAAGCCCACCAGGGCTAGCACCTGCTGAAGTGCCCACCATGAGCCTAAGTCTGGCTCACATCTGCACTGATGTCATCACACAACACAAAACATGGCTGTATTCATTTTACAGGGCTCTGAATGGGTAGCTGACTTCACTGAGACTATAACCTAGATCTCATGGCCTTTCCAAGTTTACACCTGCATCTTGTCATCACCTTTTCTGTCCCAAAGCACAGAGTCCATGGGTAATTTTTAGGTGTGTCAAACACCAGGCCTTGTGCCAAGGACTCAGCAAACAAAGGTAAATAGGGCACAATTTTACCCCTAAGGAGTTTGAACCTGTCATGGCAAATACATAACCATCTTTTTCAATAAAGAACAGAAACACCAAGAGGTTATGTGATTTGCCCAACACCACAGGGCTTCCTGGTGCCGCTAGGACAGGTTCTGAACTAGAACTCAGCACTCCAGACCCCGTGGAATAGTCCATTGCCAGCATTCCATGATGAGTTCACAGACTATGGAGAGGAATCACCTCTGGGGACCTACTGAGCAGACTCGGGGCAGTTGCTGACACATCCGAGAGTCAGACCTAGTTTTCTCCTTGGCTGGATCCTCTCTAAAGCCATCTCCCTGATTTTAGAGTGGGCTTTATGACCCAGGTGCATGATCAGCCTAGCTCTTGCTTTTCAAAAAGGAATTAGGGAAATGCTGAAAGACACTCGGCAAATCAATCTGTCTGATAGCAGCGTCCAGCCTGGCAGACGGACTTGTTCTCATGCACACGGCAGAGACCTGTACCAGACGACCAGCATCTGAACCCCCGAGCCTTGTCTCACCTGAGCAGGGCTCCCTTTGTCACGGTGTCAGCGGCTCCGAGCCGTGAAGGTTCTGTGCTTCCAACGAGGCTCGTCTGGGAGGCATCAGCACAGCTTTTAGCTTCCTTTAGTGAGGCAGTCGTCAAAACACTGCCGGGACTGCAGAATGAAATCTGGATTTGAGAACCCTCTGCAGGGCTGCCAGGGGTGCTTGGCACTGCCTGGCGCCACCAGCCGGTCCAGCTCCAGCCAGACTGCTGACCTGGCACTGGCGCTGCGTGATATAACTCGCTCTCACGGGGAAGGTTTAACTGTCTCTTCCCCAAGCTCGGAGTCCTCCAGTCTCTGTAGGATGCATCTCTCTGTGATGCCCCTCTTCCCACACTCCGGGCTCCTCTCTGCCAGGGTTCCAGCCGTTCAGGGACTCACAGCCCAACCCCTGTAAACATGCCAGCCAAGAATTCATCATTTTTAGCAAAGTAATTATTAATCCCAAGGCTTCTGTTGAAGTCCTTCTCTTTTATTAGTGCTGCCAATTAAAATATATTTAAGCATAAAGATATTTATAAAGAGTCTAGTGTTTTTCCGTAAATACCTATCGATTGAAATCATTTTAAAAAAAAAAAATCTAGCAACTATTCCCTTATTCCTGTATAACACATTGTTCTCATTTAATTTATATGACTTTAAGACTTCATATGGAAAGGATATAGTTGACTGGGGAGACATGGATACAAAAAAAAGTAACCATGTAGGAAATTAATAATGCACATTGGAATATTAATCATGTCGTTGGAAGAATGCAAGAGACACATAAGAGCATAGAACTGAGACTAAGGAGACCTGGAGACCTGGGTTCCAGTTCCAGAAATAACACGAAATTAACTTTAAAGATTTGTGCAAGTTACTTGGTGCCTGGACGTGAGTAGCTCCCCGGCTTTCAAGCAGTTAGGTTGGTTGATTGCCAAAGTCCTTCCCAGCATCACCATTCTAATATATATTTTTAAGCCAAAACACATATACCTGTGGTTTTTAGAGGAAGTATAATACAGCCATTAGAACCACTGAAGACTCACAGGCTTCTAATCCTCACTGCCCCTTCTTAGCTCTGTGACCCGGACAAATTTTCTACAGAGTAGACACCTCAGTATCCCCGATTACAAGATGGGAGAACATTTGCTGTTACATGAGCTGATGCGTCGCTGTTAAGAATTAAATGAGCTAATTTATGCAAAACCAGCTGGAACATTGCTTCATCTATGGTTTTGCACAATAAATGTTAACTGTTATTATTACTCTATTCAATGGTCCTAATTCTACCACAACTATCTTACTAACTTACTAGTTGGCCAGTACTGGATATGCAGTACTTACTATATTTGTGTAGGAGTCATAGTCTTCATGTAACAGGGTCCTGCTAATGCTTTCAAAGATAAGGCCACATCTCTGTGTTAGAAGACAGATTTTTGGCTTAGGGAAAAAAAAATTTATTGAACACTTACTGTATGCCAGAGTACTCTCTAAAACATTTTTTTCTATATCATCTACATGTTTCAGGGCACTATGTAAAGTGTATTCCCTTTTAATAACAATTTAAAATACTCTCAATTATAAAACAAGGTGATTCCAATGCATAAAATGTACATACTTTGCCCAAAGCTATAGATGTGGTTAGTGTTAAATCCAGGAACCAGGAAGTCTAACTCAAAGTAATTCATCATGTCAATTGCCCAAGCTAAAGGGGGATTCAAATGTATACTGCTCAGGTGGTGGGTGCACCAAAATCTCACAAATCACCACTGAAGAACTTACTCATGTAACCAAACACCACCTGTTTCCCAAAAACCTGTGGAACTAAAAATAAAATTAAATAAAATAAAGGCGAATGCAAACAGAAAGTAGAAACTGAAAAGAGACTTTATAGGAGGGCAATAGAGATTGGTCTTTTTGTCTTCAATCTCTCACCTACAACTTTTTTTTTTTTTTTTTTTTTTGGAGACAGGGTCTCACTCTGTTAGCTGAGCTGGAGTGTGTGGTGCAACCATGTCCCACTGCAGCCTCAACTTCCCAGCTCAATCTTCCCACCTCAACCTCCCAAGTAGCTGGGATTACAGACACCATCATAGCTGGCTAACTTTTAAATTTTTCTTTTGTAGAGAAAAGATCTTATATTACCCAGGCTGGTCTCAAACTCCAGGGCTCAAGAGATTCTCCCACTTTGACCTCCCAAAGTGTTAGGATTACAACTGTGAGCCATAGTGCCTGGCCCCAACTTTTTATTGGTGCATGGACATTACAAAAAGTTTTAAAGTATGAGTCTTCAAAATACGTATTGATATGTACATCACATATACCCCACACTGAATAGTAATAATAGTAGCAACAACAACAACTGAGGACGGAAACCTAGAAGGAAAATGTCTCTCTTCCATCAGCCCCTTTCAGGATGATACCACTGATCTCTACTGAGAAAGCCTAACATTCTACCAGCTGACAGAGAGGAAATGTTTACAGGGCCCAGCTGCAAGATTTCACAGCAGGGCGAGAAGGGTGGATTTAAAGCTGAGAGGCAATAAATTGATGAGGGGAAGAGAACATGTAGATGACAGAAGGGTCCTCACCTCCCAAGAAAAGTCAGGATCCACAGCCAGCCTTAGAGGTTTTCTATTTTAATATTAAAATAAAGTAAAGCCTCCTTTTCCCTATGAATCTATCTGTCATTCATTTAATCAAAAATTTACATTGAAATGTTTAATAAGATGGCTGCGGTGCTGAACATCCTTTACAGATATCAAAAGATGCCTTAATGTCCATCTTAGGTGTTCATTCCCTGGTAAAGGGGATCTCCATTTCCTTCTAATCAGTTCCTACTAGTTCTCGGCATTATTAAATGTATATTTTTCAGTCTACGTTTTTTTATATGATTTTGCACAAGCTGTTCCCCTTTCTATAGAATTTTTATGTGAAGTCCAGGTGAGTTCATGACTCCCACCCTATTCCATCTCTATTTGTTCTACACATTTAGATTATTACATTTAAGTCACCCTGTTATATTTATTTACCTATCTATTTCTCTTGTGAGTCTCTTAGTGACAAAAGCAATGTCTTAGTCGTCTTTGTTTCCCTGAATTTTCATCCAGTGTTTCTTAACCTTTGCACATATTGAAATATGTGAGTGGGTCATTCTTCTTTGTAGGGGGACTGACCTGGGCATTGTACGATTTCAGCAGCATCCCTGGCTTCTACCCACTAGATGCCAGTAACATCCTCTTAGTTGAGCCAACCGGAAATCTCCCCAGCCGTTGCTCAACATCTCTCGGGTGGCAAAATCAATGCCACTTGAGAATCACTACATTAGTATGATTACTAGGTCAGAATTAATACTAAACAACTTGGTCATTGAAAAAAATATCAAATTACAATAGAATCCGTTAAATATAATATAAGCTGCAGTCATTTGACAACTAATATGTCTCAATTTAGTTCTGTAGGAAAGAGCAAACTACAAATTCATTTATTTATTCATTTAATTAGTAAATTGAATGAACATACTGACTACTTATTCCATTGTAAGTGCTTTCCTAGCCCTGAATGTAGAGAAGTAAGAAAATTAAATTTCTGTCCTTGCTGGGGTTATCTGATAAAAAGTCTTCCACCTACACACACAAATATACATATATTCTTAGCTAACAAATCCAGCCATCCATCTATGCATGTATTAATTTATTTCACAAATAACTGCTGCTCCTGCTTTGTGCTGGACACCACCATGGCTGTGCTGGGGATATGGAGCTTGATAAGACACAATTCCTGTCTTCAGGCAACCATAGGCAAAGAAAATCTAGTAAACAATTGGGTGCAAGAAAATATTTATTTATGCAATAAACATTTAGGTACAGTGCTACCTACTGATATGATATTGAGCAAAGTTGATACAGTCTCATGCAGCTAACAGTCTAGGAATGAAGACAGACAGGAAGAACATTCTAGTAGAAGCGAGAAGGACCATGGAAGTCCAGGGTGGGTCCACCTGTCTGAGATCAGGGAGTATTTGTGGTGATTTTAACACATGCTCATCAGTTCTCTGACACTCCTTCCACAAAAAGTAGGGTCTGTATCACCTCATCTCTTAAGTTGACTTGAGTGACCCACTTCTAATAGGATGTGGCAGCAATGGAGCCATGTGACTCCTGAGGTTAGAGATAAAAGTTAATATGGCTCTGCTTGGTTTTCTCTATTTTGGGGCTCACCATGGAACTCAGCCAGGATACTGTAAGAAAGTTCAGGCCACATGGCTAGGCTGTGTGTAGGCATCCCAGCTGGCAGTGCTAGCTGAGGCCACAGCCAATGGCCCCATGAACCACCAGACATGTGAGTGGATGAGCTTTTACGCAAGTCCAGCCTTCAAGTTGCTCTGTCTGGGGCTAACTGGAGCAGAAAGGAGCTATCCTCACCAAGCCCTGCCCCAACTGCAGATTTGTGAATAAAAGAAATATTATTGGTTTAAGCCACTGAGTTATGGGATGGTTTGTTATGCAGCCCATGTTTAGTACCTAAACAATATAATGGATTGGATTAAAAGTTGCCCAACTGTGGTGGGTGCACAGAGTCTATATTGAGTAGTTCAAAAAAGATTTCATGAGTTGGTGATATGAGTCCAGTCTTGGAATATGAATGTGTGCACCAGTGAGTATTAGCCAGGCAGAGGAGGGCAGAAATGAAGATAAGAAGTCACATGTCTATTCTTTGAAGTGTGAGCATTTCAGTTTGTTAAGACCGTGGAGGACAGCACTGGAATGGAAGAATCAAAATAAAGAAAGTTAATTTGTTAGCTTAATTTAACATCAATACGGTTAGTTTGTTGACTAACAAAATAAAGCTAGATTCAAATATGGAAAGCCCTTACAACTAGTTTTACTATTATGACAAAATACACAAAATATAAAATGTATCATTTCAACAGGGTACAATTCAGTGGCATTCAATCCACTCAGAACGATGTGCAGGCAACCATCAGCAGTATTGAGTTCCAAAACATTTCCATCACCTTCAAAAAAATCCCTGTACCCATAAAGCAGTCACCCTCCCCAATAGTCCCTGCTAACGAATAATCTCTTTTCTTTCTCTATGAATTTGCCTGGATATTTCATTTATAATTGACCCTCTAACAATGTAGGGGTCAGGGGTGCCAACTCCCTGAAACTTTTTACAGCCAGAAATCTGCATATAACTTTTGACTCCCCAAAAAACTTAATTCCTAGTAGCCTATTTTGACCAGAAGCCTTACTGATAACAAAGTCAATTAGCACATATGCTGCATATTATATGTATTACATATGGTATTCTTATAATAAAATAAACTAGAGAAAAGAAAAATTCTTATTCAGAAAATCACAAAAAAAGAGAACAATATATTTACTCGTCGTTAAATAAAACTGGATCATCATGAAGGCCTTCATTTCAGTCTGCTGACTTTCCCTTTTGCAGACATAAATGGTTTATTCATAGATGAGGTTGTGCTTGTGAAGACAGGGCAAGCCCGTGTGGTGTTTTTGTGAGTGGCTGCTATTCCCAGTGCTAGATGGGACTCTCATCCTTCCTAATGACCCATCCGAGTGGACTGCAGGGAAAGTCCCCAGTATCCCACTTCCCGTGCTTTCAGAAATGGGGGCTCCCTGGGGCAAAATGTACCCTTTACTAAAATAGAAGCAAGCCACAGTGTTCCCTTTGGGAGACAGGGGGAGGGAAAATGCAGATTTGGGTGCTGGGTAGAGAACAACAGCCCTCTCGGCATTGGTATCTTGGCTCAGAAAGCTGAGTGCTGCCCTGGAAGTGACCTGCTCACACCCAGCCACCCTCATCTTTCATCCAGTAATTGCCTGCGTGTCCATTGCCACCACTGGCATCCAGGCTCAGGGCAGCCTTCCGAGGGACACAGGACATGCTTTTCCTCAAGGGTTCCAAGGCAGATTCAGAAAAGATGAACAATGCCCATGAATATTTAATGAAGACATTAATGTGGCAAAGCAAGGAATTCCTAGCATGTGAGGGTGAGGTCCCAACCAGCTGATTTTAATTTTCTTTGTCGGGTGAGATGTTTTTCTTTCTGGCATCTCTAATCTGAAGTCAGATACAGATAAAAAATACTAAACACAGACCATCTGATCAGCACTGCACAAGACATTCTGAAAAGCTACGCAGTAACGTTTTAACAAGAACCTGTAAGGTATTTATTACTATATATATGCCATAGATGAGCAAACCAAGAGTCAAGGAGTTTAAGTAAATTGCTCAATGTTACACGGCTAATAAGTGCAAGAACTAAGATAGAAGCCCGGGTTATCCGGCTTAAACCCAGTGCTGTAAGCCTGTAAATTTAAAGATACGTTGGATATTCCATATTCTTTGCAGAACCTATTTTAAAATGCAATTGCTTTTAGTTTCCCTCTTAATTCGTTCATAACCATTGACCTAATGTGCTTTCTCATTTCCTGCTATGAATTAGAAATGAAAAGAAATTGAAGCAATCTATTGTGATTCATTTTTACTAATCTACCATGGTCCTTGCAAATTTCAATTATCCAAATCATTTCATTTTTTTTTAACTGCACAAACTAATATCAAAATAACCTGGGTGGGTTATGGGTCTGTATGTACAATACATGTTGGAAAATTATTAGCATCTTTTGCAGTTTTAGACAATAGCTGTCAAAATTATATTGTTTCCTTATAACTTTAAAGAGGTTATTTCAAATCTTTCCTAGGCTCAGAGATTCTTCACGTGAAGTGAAGACTGTGAATTCCACCTCTGTGCAAGGCTCAGCTGCTCCTCTGCAGAATAGCAGAGCATATGCCCATCTTGAGCTGCTGTGCGTGTCAAGCTCTTTGACAGAGTGAGGTGCCATGGGCACCAGGAACACACCTCCAGACTGACTGGCTGCAACCCACCCTTGTTCCAGCTCAGATTTAAGATGTTTGGTTGGTTGGTTGTTTTGCCTTGTATTGTGATTTCTTTCTGTTTTTATTTCTAGCCTTTTATTCTAGGATTTAAAAATCTGTACTAAAAACAAAAAGAAAAGTGTTGTATTGATTCTCATCCCATCTCTGTCACCACTGGGTGGAGACTCTGTGGGATAGTGGCTGTGTGTGTGCTTCCGGCCCTGAGCCTCCCTGGTAACATCCATCATTTATCTCCGGAGTGAGACAGTGGTCCACACATGCCCACAGCCATGGGCTCCTTCCCCCACCACACCCATCATCACTAAAGCAGGGTTAGATGACAGTCTATCTGGGCCCAGCTCTCACGATGGGATAAAAAAGACTCCTGCCAAGCCCCACGTAACTCTCCCTTTCGGAAAATTCACAAGATTTCGTTCATTGATGCATTCATGTAGTCATTTAATAACTATTAAAAGTTGAGTATCCTTTATCCAAAATGCTTGGGACCAGAAGTGTTTTGGCTTTTTTTGGATTTTTGAATATTTGTATATATGTAATGAGATACCTTGAAGATGGGACCCAAGTTCACATAAAATTTATTTATGTTTCATATACACCTTATATCCTCAACCTGGAGGTAATTTTATGCAATATTTTAAATAATTTTGTGCATGAAACAAAGTTGGCGTTAAGCCGTGATGCATGGAATTTTTGACTTGCAGTGTCACATTAGTGGTCAAGAAGTTTTAGACACTGGAACACTTCTGATTTTGAATTTCCAGATCTGGTATGCTCACCTGCAAGTATTTATTCTGTGTCAGGCCTAGAGAGATTTAAATTGCCCAGTCCACTGAGCGGAACAGATGGACACACAGATGCTGAAGGTGGAGTGTGGGGAGCCCCTGGATACAGGTACAAAAAACAGGAGGCAGCCTTTTGTCCTTCCCAGACCTCCAACCTGAGCAATGGACCAGTTTAAACTCTAAACTAAAAGCAGTGTTCCAAAGGGGAGTGATTCAAATAAAGTTTTTAGTTCAATTTTGAGTTTTTTCTAGTCAGCACAAGAGATCACTGAGGATCTGGTATAGCTATTTTCTTCAGTTTTAGAAAATGTTTAAATCTGTTTGCTGAGTGCCCCAGGAGACCTTCCTCACTATGGTCATAGTTCTCTCCTTCCCCAGCCCAGGTCCCTGCTCAGTTTTGCTCTCTTCAGCTCTCCATGTTTCTCAGGCTGACCCCTCAAAGGCCTGGCTCTTGGATGCACCCCTTACCCACCCTGAAGATCAAATGCAGATCGCCTAGGCCTAAGACACGCTCCCCTCCCCTCTCCGTGCCAGCAAAACAGTCTGAAAATTGATAGCGCCATCATTTTAAGGTCTAGGGTGGTTTTTCTCTTCTTTAATTATTTTGGTCACACTGCATGTGCTTTGACTCATATTACAAATAAAGCTCCAATGACCTGTCGGTCAGAGACATTTTTACATACCTTAATTACATTTCGAAATATATCAAGCCAAGTCAGGTTTTCAGAAGACGTTGTTTCAGTATACATTTCAGCTATAATTACTATGTGGTTTCAGTTTCAGCTGATGGTTTTGAAAATTAATGTGGATCAGTTTAGTTTTGGGTTCACGGTTTAGGTCGGGTCAAGACCTTTGAAGGATTCCTAGATAAGGTGGATGATATTAATTTCTTATAATAATAATGATGAAGACAGACATGAAAATAACCTTTTGTCTACAACCCTATAGCCCTTGCAAAAGTACAAATGAAAGATCTCTGAGTGATTTTCTTAACATAGCACATGGCCCGAGCTTTTGTGGACACGAGCTATGATGTGCATGTTCCACTTTTAAAATAAGGCAGTTTGTAGTCACTGCCAACGCAATGACACTCAGGCAGCTTCTTTCTACAGAAACCTTTCATATTCTGTTCAGATAACTTATCTCAACAAACTGACTGGTGGAGAATAAAGACATTCAGGTGCTGGCATGTATTCTACTACACAGGAGTCCTCTGAAAAATTGAAACTCTCTCACTGCATTTTTGCTGAAACACATGTTGATTGACAATAGAATTTTTTTCCCAGTTTTGTATTTGTTTTTGAGCCAGCCTTTACTAACATATGGAGGTCATCGTAACAACTGTGTGCAGGAGATTGCAATGTTTATCACCATTTTGATTTTGTGGACCCATGGAGTTCACTCTGAGGGCTCTCATATTCCTGAACAATGGCGGCACAACTCATGTTATGATTAGGTTACTGCAAAAGTAATTACACTTTTTGCCTTTGCTTTTAACAGCAAAACCTCCCCAGCACCCCGTTCCATGGACCTTCTTTGTCTGTAACCCAAGGTTCTTCTGTGGTCACTCTCTCCATTTTTCTAACTCTTATCACAAAAGCTCTAAAAACAAATCAGCAAAATCATGTTTAGTTTCAGGAGTTGAAAATATCCAGTCACCAGTAGAATTAGATAAAAAGAAAGAAGGCTGAGGAAAAAGACTAAAGAGACCATTCTCATTTAATAGGTGGGAATTAAAATGCATAGATGAGAAGTGTGGACAACAGCTGTGGTTGGGGGCAGGCTGGGGAGGGGAGACCCAGTGGCATAACCCAAAGAAAGTTACCAAAGAAAAGATGGTGGATATGTGAGACGTGGCATGCGAAATGGTGTTGGGAAGCCGTAAAGATGGTGGATATGGTGGATATGTGAGATGCGGCATGCGAAGTGGTGTTGGGAAGCCGTAAAGATGGTGGATATGGTGGATATGTGAGATGCGGCATGCGAAGTGGTGTTGGGAAGCCGTAAAGATGGTGGATATGGTGGATATGTGAGATGCGGCATGCGAAATGGTGTTGGGAAGCTGCTCTAAGAAGGACTACCTGCACGGACAGCAACCTTGCAAAAACAACAACAAAAATCACGAAAATGGGAATTTGCCTTGAAACTTTGAGCCGGACCAGAGTGTCAGAACCACAGCATCCTGGAAAACATCTGATTTTCACCAGAGCTGCGACTCCTAAACAGCAACAACCAATGAACTACGGACTCCTGTACTAAACCAGCCACCTCCACCAGGGTAGTTATTATATTTCAATACAACTTGTGTAAGCGCCCTCGGCATCATTTTAAAAATCCCCACTCTCTCCTTCTCTTTGGAACATAATTTGTCTTCTATTAATAGTGAAATCTGTGTCTCCCAAATGGCAATTCCTAAGTTCCCAGTAAAGGCCTTGTCTTACTGCTTTGGCATCTGATCTTTTGCCTTTTCTTGGTTGACAGATACATGGAGTCACAGAAAAAAGAAAAAAACAAAACAAAAAAAAGGTCTTTCAAGGAGAATGACATTAAAACTATATTTGTACTTTTTATTTAAATACCGTGGCAGGATTGAAGATGCTGATATTAAAGAAAAAGATGGTGGCCAATAGCAAATAAGAGTCCTCCTAGAAGCATTAATTATGAAACAACCCGGCGAGAGGAACAAACCCAATAGTGTCTATAACTCACTCCAGGTTTTATGCCTCTCATTCTGATTTAAAATAGATCATACATAGCTAAATAGAATGAGATTCGGGGGGAAAAAATCACATGCTTAAATGTTGTGCAGCAATTATACCTTTCTCCCTCCAAAATAATTTTGTTTGATGACTTCCCTGCAGCAGACATCCTGTGTTATTTGTCTTTGCCTAACAAGTAGAGTAACCAGTATATAGTAAGTGCTCAATAAATGCTTAGTGAATGAAATCATGTGCCAGCAAGGTAGTCTCAATCAGGTTCCTGGCAGGGAGCTGAGTGGAGCGATGGTTAGGGTAGTGGAGATTTCGTCACCATTTCATGACCAGGCGTGCAGCCAGGAAGAGGAATGCCACCTAGAATAGTTATCTATTAAGACTCGAATACTGACATCTTATCTGTTATTTTGTGGGGAAAAAAATCCTGAATGTTGTATAATAAAGAGGAAGAAAAGCAAATTTTCTCAATAGTCCTGTGGGGCAAATACTCTTACCCTCATTTTACAAACAGCAACAATAACAACAAATTGATGCTAAGATTTTCAGAAATTTTCTCAAGTTACAAAGAACGTGGCGGAAACTGGATTTCAGTCCAGGTCTGTGCAGTGTCTACCCCAAATCCAGGGCTGATATACAGCCGCACACAAACTTGTTCCGCTGTCATCCGCAGAAAAAAAAAGGCGGGACTGTGAAGGTGATTATCTGTTAGTAACAAAACAGCCAAGAGGAAAGTTTTCACAATTAAACAGGACCAAAAATATACAAAGACACGTGTTTCTCTAGAGGAGTTACAAAAAGAATAACTGAAACCTAAAAAGCAGAAATTAAAGCTACATGTGCAATTCATTAATACAATATGCCAATAGCACACAGTTGAGCCCAATTACTTAACAAATGATGTAAGAATTAAAAGTTTAAAAATGAACACTATGCCTAGAACCACTCAGTAATGGCTTCGTCTCTGAAATTAACCAGGATGGGATGTGTCTCACCCAGGCCTCAGGGCTCAGGAAAATGAGTGCTGGAAACGTCTTGGCGCAGTGCCAGAGAACTCTGAAGGTCCAAAGGACTTGTTAATATCCACTCCCCTTATGTAGACTATGGAAGCGCTGCTTTGAAAAACACAGTTCATTTTTAGCCTTGGTGGCCAAGATTGAGATAATATATCAACGTTCAGAAATGATAAGATAATGGAACCTAGACCTTCTCTGGATTGAGCCATTTAGTGAGCTAAGTGAAAAAGAAGACAAAGAAGAAAAAAAGATTAGAAAAGATTAGAATATAAACAGATCTCATTTTCAGGCTGTCAAATGCTTCCTAAGAACCCCCACCCCCGACCCCGCCAAAATATCTGGAACATGATAGGTGCGAATCAGGTGAGAGAAAATTAACAAGTGCATCCATCAGGACCATGACTAGCATACAAAGGAGGTTACAGAATTACTTCTGAAGAATAAGTACACAATGTAAAATTTCACTGGCTTGTGGTCTGAGGCTTGAGGATAATATCAACGATTTCTGGCTGATCAGCTTAGGAGGGAATTTCACTGTCAGATGTACCACCTTGTCCTCGCAACAGTCATGCACTTTTGACCTTCAGTTTAGCTCAAGGAATATTTATAGTTTCTCAAATCTTTTTTATTTTTCATAATATTTATAGAGAATAGAATACACATATCATAAAAATTATTTCCCTTTAAAGTGTACAATTCAATAGTTTTTGGTACATTCACAAATTTGAGTGACATTAATTCCAGAATAATATCAATGTCCCAAAAAGAAACTCATTAGAAATTTTTCCCTCCCTACAAATTGTTGCAACCATTACAGTTCTTTCTGTGTCTATAGATCTGCCTATCCTGGACACTTCATGTTAATAGAATTATTCTGTTTTTTAATTTTTTTTTAACTTTCATTCCATTGTGGTCAGGAAATGTACTTTGCACAATTTCAGTTATTTTAAATGTATCGCGCCTTGTTGTTGGGCCTGAGATCTAGTCTGGAAAATGTTCCATGTGCATTTGAGAAGATTATATTCTGTTGTGTTTTGTGGAATGCTCGGTAGGTATCTCTTAGGTCTAGTGTGTATAGTGTTCTTCGAGAGTCTTCTACTTCCTTGTTGATCTCCTGCTTAGTTTTATTTATTTATTATTGAAAATGGGGTATTAACGTTTCTAACTATCATTGTTGATGTTTCTATTTCTTCCTTCAGTTTAGTCAGTTTTGCTGCATGCATTTTGGGGTTCACATGCTAGTTGCATACGTTTACACTTGCAATGTTATTCTGATGAATTAAACCTCTTATCATTATAAACTGTTCTTCTTTGTCTCCTCCAAAAAAATTTGCTTAGAGTAATATTGTCTAATATTAATGTAGGCTCTCTAGATCCCCTTTGGTTATTATTTGAATAAGATAACTTTTTCCATCCATTTACTTTCTAACTATTATAAGATACTATTTGTATCTTTGAGTGTAAATGCATCTTTTGTAGATACACTAAAGGCAGGTGATTTTTTTTTACCCATTCCATCAATTGCTGCTACTAAACATGATTGTCATGTTTAGTAATTTTACATTTAATGTAATTACTGATAAGGTAAGATTTGTGTCTGCCCCTTTGTTATTTGCTTCTGCATTCCTCCATTACTGACTTCTTTTTTGTTTAAAAGATATTCTCTAGTGTACCATTTAATTTCCTTTTTTATTTCATTTACTATATTTGTGTGTGTGTTTGTGTGTGTGTGTTTTCCCAGTAATTGTCCTGGAGATTATAATTAACATTTTCAGTTAAAACTGTCTAGTTCATATTAATACAAACAATTCACTGGTACACAAAATCATTGCTCCAATATAGCTCCATTTCTTCTCCCTTCTTTGCATTATTATTGTCCTAGAAATTCCACTTTACTGCTTGCTGGGCTCCATGGTTTCTGATGAGAAGTCATCTGTTAGTCTTATTGAGGATCTCTTGTACACAATGAGTCACGCCTCTTGCTGCTTATAAGACTATCTCTTTGTGTTTGGCTGGATAGTTTGATTTGATGTGCCTAACAGTCAGCTTTTTTTCCCTTACTCTACTTTCAGTTTGTTGTGCTTCTCAGATGTACAGATTACTCTTTGTCATGAAATTGAAAACAATTTTCAGCCATTATAT
Organism: Homo sapiens; assembly: GCF_000001405.40. Lineage (NCBI taxonomy): Eukaryota > Metazoa > Chordata > Mammalia > Primates > Hominidae > Homo > Homo sapiens. The sequence goes on along the minus strand of NC_000002.12, from coordinate 5,919,331 downwards.
CTTTGAATATTATTTCTGAACTTCTCTTTTTCTGGTACTTTCATCATATATATTTTGATGTGATTGATTGTATCTCACAGCTCTGAACATCAGTTTTTTTATTACTTTATTTTCCTTTCTCTTTCTGGGTCTCATATTACAAAATCTCAACTCACACTTCTTTGATGATTCTATTTTTCTACCACTTCCAAAGTGCCATTCAGCCCCTCTAGTAATTTTCTTTTTAGGTATTTCATTTCCTTTCCATATTTTCTATTTGGTTCTTTTTTGTGATTTCTATCTCTTTATTGATATTCTTTATCTGAGGAGACATCATCCTTTTTTTTAACTTTCTTTTAATTCTTTAGATACAGTTTCCTTTAGCTTTTGGAACATTTTTATGATAGCTAATTTAAAGGTTTTGTCTGTTAATTCCAACATCTAGACTTCCTCAAAGAAAGTTTTCATTAACTGTTTTTCCTCTATTTACGTACCATACTTTTTTGTGTATGGTTTTTTGCATGTTTCACAATTTTCATTGAAAACTACAAATACACTCCTACATGGTTTGTTATTGTTGCCTTTGGTTGATATTGTGGCTATTTAATTAGTAATGTTTTAAACTAGTTCTGTCAATTCTCAATTAACAGAGATTTCTTTAAAGGCCTTGAACCAATACATCTCCCAGCTTTTGTGAAAGGGCTCTATGTATACTGAGGTATGCTTTCAATGCCCCAGCAGATACTTTAAAATCGTGCCTTAGCCTTCTCTGCCTGCTGACACAGTCAGTTTGAGGTAAGAGATCAAGGTCTTCTTGGATCTGTTCTGGGCATGTGCACAGTCCAGCTAGTGTGGTAGCCTTTAAGATTGCCATGAATATAGAAGATTTGCATATTCCCTATGGTTTCCTCAGTTTTCCTTTTTAATTTTTTGATCACTGTCTTATTAGCCTCAAGTCTATTGCCTCAGTCAGTGAACAATTGCTGCTGATTGTTTTCAACAAATGCCCAGGAAATAAAGCTGTTTGCAAAAAGTGAGCTCTGAGTAAGGTCAAATAAAGACAAGCCTTGGGAGTGGGGCCCTTTAGGTTGCTGCCAAATAGGCCAGATTTTTACAGTTCCTTGGAGATGGGCTTTGAGAAGCTTCAAATTCATTCTATCCCCATCTTCATTGGTTCTCTTGGGCTGCTATTTTTCATGGCTACTATACTTTCTCACCATGCTGAAATGATTCAGGTTTCAAGATTGCTTGTTTTCAAGACTACCTCAGAGCTAACGAAAAGAGTATGAAATTAGGGCAATTTAAAACTACATAAGCTCAGTGTTCTTATCAAAATCGGTCCTGGATCCTAGATAATCATCCTCCTAGGGAATTATCCATCTTGATGTCTGCTTCTCTTCTGGAAACCTGCTATGAGAACACCTCTCCCTTTGCCCGGCCCCACCTTATGAGAATCTGTGACACTGAACTAGGAGGGCCATTAGGGTGGCTTCTAGCCAGCTGCCTCGAACTCATGCTATATGTCTCAAGGAAGCTATGACACATAAGTGCTGAGAAAGTCTGGAAATTGTGGTCAGCATATGTGCCCTATTGATGGCAGGAGACAGCTATCTTTGTAAAAGGTAGCATATGGCAAGAGACAATAACATGCAGTGATGGCACCCAGACTCTGCACATTCCTACCAAACAGGGCTCTTTGCAATCCAAACACCAGGTCATTCTAGGATTGGATATAAGAACCCAGTGTAGCATGTATAGGTAAGCTGTGCAATATAAATAGTTTGGCTAATATATTAGTTCATTCTCACACTGCTATAAAGACACTACCCAAGACTGGGTAATTTATAAAGAAAAGAGGTTTAATTGACTCACAGTTTCACATGGCTGGGGAGGCCTCAGGAAGCTTATAATCATGACAGAAGGAGAAGCAGGCATGTCCTACATGGCAGCAGGTGAGAGAAGTGAAGTGTGAGCACAGGAAATACTGCCATTTTTAAAACCATCAGGTCTCATGAGACTCACTCACTATCACAAGAACAGCGTGGGGGAAACCGCCCCCATAATCCAGTCACCACAAATCAGGTCCCTTCCTTGACACATGGGAATTACAACTCAAGATGAGATTTGGGTGGGGACACAGAGCTAAACCGTATCAGCTAATGTAGGGACCTTACAGGTAAATAAACTGAGGGCTAACCAATATGCATATTTCCTCTCATCTATCCCACACCTGCTTGCCGTCTTTCAGTCTGCAAAATGACCTGCCTTCTCACTCTCAAAAGACCATCTCAGCATGATGAGTTGATGATTCTCTATCAATGGCCTCCTTTCCCTCTCATCCATTTCAAAATATTTGTATGTCTTCACTGGTATTTTTCTCCTTGTTTACCTCTCCAGAGGAAACAGAATCTTTCCACTAGACAAAGGCTCACCCCTCCATCGAGGTCCTGAATGCAATCTCTCTTATTTTTCTAACCTTCTAAGCATGTAATAATTCATCCAAACCGGAGGAAAAGGAAGCTATGATGGGAAGGCATAGGGGGCCATCAGGTCTGAACTGAGACTGCACTAGTCCAACCAAACATGCTATCTCCGACATGCCTTAAATCTCTTTCTTTACACCACCTGCCAATCAATAAATATGATGAAAAGATTCCATATTAAAAATGAATGAATAAAAGAACCCTTGATCTCTCTGATTTTCCTCTTTTATTCTTATCACCTCCAAAGTTCTAGGGAAGGCAGTCTATATCTGCTTCCTTCCCACTTCAGTTTGTTGAAATCTCCACCAGGTTCTGGATATCATTCTTGTAAAACTCATCAGTGGTTTAACTTCGGTGGAGCCTCATCCTATTTAATGTTATCCGAAATTTAACCACTGCCTACCTCTTCTTCTTAAAGCTATCTCTTTTCTTGAAATATGAGGAATGATTCTCTCCTGGCTCTCATCTCTCCTGCCTTTCTGCTTCTCGGATTTTGCTGATTCCTTTCTGTGGGGACATGGTTAATATTTGTGGGACTGTCAAACTCCTCATTGCAGCCATGGCTCCTCCAAAAGGTAGGGTTCTCCTTGGGCTTCTGATGCCTTCTCTTTCTGGGTCATTTCCACCAGCAGAGGGACCCCTTGAGGCGAGGGTGCTAATCCTTGTTCTGCAGACTATAAGGAACAGGCAGGGTTGTGTCAATACACTCGTGGGACAAGGGAGCCTGGTGAAAACCCCATGCATATGAGATAGGGGTGTGGCTGAGCAGGAGAAGGAGGACAGACAGCAAGGAGGCGAGTCGGCCTCTCTTCCAGTCCTCAAGTCTGCCCCAGTGCTTGTCCTACTGTGACTTGCCTTGGAGGAGTGAGGCATTGGAGAGGGAAAAGCTTGCATGAGCCAGGCCTGACCCTTGGGCTGCCAGTCTTCATGATACAAACCTGTATGTTTAGGAGACAGAGAGACCAGCAGGGGCAGCAGTATGAGCTGTTTTCATGAGCCCTAGTAAGTTAGAGAGGCCTTAAAATTAAGTCTACAATAAGATGATAGGCCTTCCTACTTAGAAAAAATAAGGATGCCCATCCATGTGAATAGATAGATATTCACAAAGGCAGTGCCCATGCTAACCACAGTACTGGCCGGTGGGAGGATCTCTGTTCTTAGCCTGGTCACACATTTCTCCTAGTGGACTCCAAGTTGGGTCACACAGCCCTATTGTCACTCCCTGGCTACTGAGCACAACTGCTTACAATCCACCCTGTCCCCATCCTGGGTAGCCTGGAAAATCCCTGTAATTATAAACAGGCCCTGTCTCCAAGCCATCCCTCTCCCCAGGGCCCCACCGCAAGGTGGAGACGGTGACTCAGCTTGGCCCCTGCTGGAGCTTATTTCTGTGGGCAGTCCCAGCAGGAAATCATTGGGAGTTGAGGCATTGGGAGGGCCTTCTTAGGGGCTGCTGGGTTCTGGACAGCAGGAGAGGGAGGAGAGTTGCTCGGGAGCTCTCCAAGCTAAATCAATCCTTTCCCTTTCAGCTCAGAGATAAAAACCTGGAGTGCCATTTGAGCGCTCAGCACCCAGGAATGTCCCCACACAGCTGACAGGCATCAGCTTCCATTTAGAATGTGTGAGATTGCTGGCTGCCAGACCCACCCCTGTGGTTTAGTGAATGCCAAGAAAGTCCTGGAAATGAAGGAATTAAATAGCCATAGTCCAAGCATGTATTTCTCACACTGAGAATTACTCAGCACCCTCACATAGCAGATCCGGATATGTGGGTTACAATAATCCCTTATATTTATATAGCACTTTTTAGTTTACAAAGCACTTTCAAGTCCATTAGTGCATGTGATCCTCCAGACGGCCCTATGAAACATCAGGGAAGCTATTATTAGTCTCGCCCCACTCTGCTCCCATAATTCTTTGTACATACCTCCTCTAAAACACTTATCACTTGGTTCTGTAATGACTTGCTTACAGTGTGTTACAGTGAAAAGAACATGGGCTTTGGAATCAAACAGCCTTGAGTGTGAAAGCTGGCTCTGCCATTTACCATCTGCCTGAGCTTAGGTTAGGTACTTCCTCTCTCTAAGTCTTAGTTTTCCTATTTCTAAGAGTGCGGCTAAGAAGCTGATGATCTCCCCTGGTTGTTGTAAGAATTAGAGAATGGAATGCATATGAAAGTACCAAACACTGTCAGAATGCAGTAAGTGCTCACTAAAGATTGGATCTTCTCTTCCCTAGTGACAGTGCGTGACTTAAAGCCTGGCCCCACACTTTATTTATTTTGTGTATCTCCAGAGCTTAGCACAAGATTTGGTAAATGGGCATTATTTAAAAACAAGAAAAAACAAATGCATGAATGAAAGAATCCTATTTTATAAACAAGGAAACAGAAGCCCAAAGTGGCTAAGTGCTCTATCAAGGGTGAAAGTGGAATTTCTGGTACCTTATCTGAAGTCCCCCCTGTTGCAGGTTCTCAACATCTGTTGTCAATCTTCCTATTAGTTAATTAAACTCCTGCCCCAAACACCATCCTTGACTGTTGTCGATGCTTCTGGCTTTTTCCCAATGAGCTCAACTCTTCAAGGAAATGAAAGAGCCTCATTTGCACAGAAAGGCCAGAAAACCCTAGTTGGCCAGCATCCTTTGGGTCTAAGCTATAAGCAGCGCAAATTAGCCCAGCCATTTATATGCAAAATAAGCACCAAGCCTTGAAGATTGTTTGAAAATTGCCTACCTAAGGAGTGTAAGTTAAAAGTTGATTCAAAAACTGTTTGGTTGCATCTAGGAAAGTGAATGCCAAATTGGTCTTTTCAAATTCAAATCTAAGTTAACCTTCAACTTAAAACCTACAGCGCCTCTTCATTATCACTTAGATTCAGGGGCAGAATCTCTTTCCCGGCCTGAGTCCCTAAGTGGACCAGCCTGGCTCCCACATTGCATCTTAGACACTTCATTGCCTCTGCCCGTCAGGATTTCTCCTCCAGCCTACTGGCCTTCCTTTAGATTTTATGATGTCACGTTCTTCCCCTGCATATGTTTGTTTCATCTCTCCGGAAACTCACGTTCCTCCTTCCTTTAGTTAACTCCTGTTCCTCAGATTTTGGCTCAAATATCACTTCCCCTAGACATCGTTCCCTGATTGCCTAATCTAGGCCAAGTTTATTATATGACACATAGGATTTATTTGGATCTTTTATATCACTTTTTTTTTTTTTTTTTTTTTTTTTTTTTGTGAGATGGAGTCTCGCTCTGTCACCAGGCTGGAGTGCAGTGGCGCGATCTTGGCTCCCTGCAATCTCTGACTCCCTCGTTCAAGCAATTCTCCTGCCTCAGCCTCCTGAGTAACTGGGATTACAGGCATGCGCCACCACACCCAGCTAATTTTTATATTTTTAGTAGAAACAGGGTTTCGCCATTTTGGCCAGGATGGTCTCCATCTCCCGACCTCATGATCTGCCCGCCTTGGCCTCCCAAAGTGCTGGGATTACAGGCGTGAGCCACCATGCCCGGCCTTATATCACTTTTAATACACACTCTTACAGTGATTACTGAACAATGTCTGCATCCCCCTCTACAATGGAAACACCATGAGAACACAAAGGTTATGTTGGTTTTGCTCACTTTTGTATCTTCAGTGCCTGGCATGGAGTGGCTACTCAGTATTTGTCAACAAGAAGAAGGTTGATCTGGCTGACTCAGAAGGTGGTCTCCTACTAGGTCGCCATCTGGGTAGCAGGGTAGAGGTCCAGCCGGGCCACTGATGTTTGCGAGGGTTTTTGAGCTCAGAGACCTCTCATAGAATAATAGACTCAGAGCTGAAAGAGATTTTAGATATCATCTAACCCCAAACTCTCCCTCTTCTCAAACCTCCCTGGCCATGCATTCCACTTAATAAATGGTTTTGCAGGCTTTGCTTGGGCTTATTCTATGCAAGAGATCTACATGAATAGATGATAGGATTATGTCACCCAGAAGAGTCCTTTAAGAATCTTGTACACACAAGCAGAGGATAAAAACACCCAGAAGAACTGTATCCACGTTTTAGAACACTTTAAATCTGATAAGTAAGCAAAAACGTCTGTAAAAAGATATAGAAAGAAACAAGCCTACCTTGTCTTTTGGTACTGACTTCCAGTTCCTCCATCCTGGGGGAATCAACCTGCCCTTGAACCAGGGTCAGCAGTGCCAGCGTCTCCTCTAGTTGGCTTCCCACCATTTTGTTGTTCTGAGTCTATTCCAGATCTCCATTGCCTGATATACGTCATGAACTGGCCTGGTCACATGTTGATTTTGATATAGATATTCTAACCACCAAGAATTCTCAGTCAGTCTCTCATTTGCTCAAAATTCAGTACTTAAAACATAAAATCTTTTCACTTAAATGGCGAAGAGCTTGACATGTGCCTTTCTATTACTTTTGCAGAGCTCCTTTGTTTTACTAATTTCCGTGTGTCCAGGATCTGGTGCTGGGACACTGTTGAGTTGTGCTGAATCACTGTTATTTCTGGGTTTAATTTCTGCAGTTAGGCTCAGAAATGGGGTAACTCTGTGTCTCATGGGCATGGTGAAGCAGGAGGAGCACCCCTTCCTCAAGTGTTTGTAAATGTCAGCTATGACCATAGTAAGAAGTTTAGAGTCTTCACATATACAATTATTTGCAGGCTGAGTCTAGCCTGGGAGGTACTTTTCTACTTTCCATATGCTCTTTTCTCTGTTTCCCCCCCAGTATTCTTTGCTACAAAAGTCCCTTGACAGTGTCCCTAGTTACAAATACATGCTTGCCCCAGGCTTTGACTGAATTTGCTGTCTGTTTAATACCTGCTCCATATGGGATAGATTAACACAAAAAGCTTTAACCTTGTACAACACTCAGATGCTTTCATGTAATGGCTGTGAGGATGGGGGGTGGGACATGAACACATAAGTGGGTGCGTGTACCAAGAACAGAAATCCATTGAGTTTCCCCAGACCAGACGTCTACATTCTGGAGGGCTCTCAGCAGCCAATAAATTTGACTTGAACTTTTTTATTTCATGCATTCTGCTGTTAAAGCAAACCCTTCTTTCTAAACTAAGTATAATTGCAAGATACTATTCTGAGTGCCAAAAACGTCAACTGTAAGTTGCAAACATGGACACATTTAAACAGAACCATATGTTAGATTGAAAGGAAAAATCAGAAAGGAACCAATCATTCTACCTTTTGCTGCAGAGATAAATTGCAATGAAGCAACCATGTCAGAAAAAAATTAGGGAACCATTGATCCTCATACAATAATACACTCACTATGTATTTTCATTAGGAAAGAGAGTTATCTGTGCTCTGTGAACATTATTGGCTAGATAAAGTCTTATAAACACTCAGTTCATTGAAGACGGATAAATGACACTAGTTTATTTAATGTCTAACTAACTTAGTACATTTTGCACCCAGGTCATTCAACTGAGAAGTAGGGAAATTTGGTTTTGTTTGTCATCTGTCAATAACTGCCCTTGTGACCTTGAGGAATGGCTTTCTATCTCAGAATAAAATCCACAATCTTTACAATGATCTATGTCATCTGTCACCATCACAAACCCATTATAACCCCTCCTTCTTGGGATTATTTAGTCCTCAGGAGTGTTGTATGGGCTAGGTTGTTGCTTAAATGTCATTCCTATGTATAAGAAAACTGAGGCTCACAGATTTTTAGGTAACTTAGTCAAAGAGGTAGAGGTAGGAAATGGCAGGGTAAGGATTATAATTAAAAATGTTTTAAGCCTAAGATTTTCCACTGGGCCATGGGATATTTTTTTTCTTTAATATGCTCACTAAGCCTTAATTGGCTAGTCTGTACCACAAAAAGTTTAGATTGTATTTCCATATCTCAAATTGTAGTATGTTTATTAGAGAGATACATAAACTATTTTCAGGTGGTCATAGACAAATTTAACGGAAAAAATTGTGTGTTTGTGTGTGTGTTTTGAAAGTTTAAAACTAGCTTATTAAATCCAGGATTTAATGGATACTATTGTGTAAGATGAGAGTAAATTTCTTTAACATACAAAATGAACTGATTTTAAAAAATAGAAATCATTATACTGTATTTAGGGAATCAAGGTATGGAAAAAATATATGAAGACCGTAAGAAAATACTTTAAAATTGTAAAACAATGAGCTAAATAATTCCAAATAGTTCTTCTAGTTTTAATAGTTTGAGAATCAGTGATTTTTCTAATTTAGAAAGAAAACATAATTTTAAAGTAAGTTCAAATGTAGAATAACTTAAAGGGGAAAAAAAGACCCAGGTAGAGTGGCTCAAGCCTATAATATCAGCCACTTGGGAGGCTGAGACAGTAGGGTCACTTGAGCCTAGGAGTTTGAGACCAGCCAGAACAACATAGCAAGACCCTATCCTATAAAAATAAAAGAGTAATAATAATGTTTTTAAAAGATGGAAATACAGAAAACCACTACTATGTAATCATCAAAATGGCAATACAAAGGAGATTAACACTGCGTTAGAAGATTTCTAACAATTTTTTTTTAAGAATATACTCATCTTGTCACTGTGACCATCTTTCCCCATTGAATGGAATTAGAAAGCATTAGAAGTTTCTGGATTAATCCACTTATCTATAGTGTCATCTAGTTGCACATCCAGTTCTCCTGCGATGGAATCCTTCAGATTGAACTGTTTGCAGTTTCAGCAGCATGAAGTGCAGTCACTGCGACTTGGGCTGGAAGCCAGTGGAACTCATGTTTTGAAACAATTTGACTCTAGGTGATGTTTGAGGTGGCAGCGCATGAGGCGTATATATTTTTTTTTTCACTGAGATTAGCTGATTCTTGGGCATTAAGGTACGATGAAGAAAGTGGAAAGAAGATTATTGACAAATACACTACCTTTCCTGGAAACAGTGGCTTTCTACTCTGTATTGAAGTACCCACGAAAATAACATTATTAACTCCGTTTAATGAAGTAGGTTACTGATTTTAGTGCAACTCATAAACAGTGGTCTTTCAGAGAATTTAAATTCTCTATTAATAATCAAATTGAAATTTTCTCACCAGATAAGATGTGAATCAGGCAAAAGATAAGTGATTTGAAGAAAAATAGTATGGTAGAAAGTTTCTTTCTCATCCCCACAGCTTGCTTTCTTTATTCAAATCTTGATCTATTATCATAGTCATCACTATCATATCTATTTATCTGTTTATCTGTCTCTATCATCTATTTGCTATCTATCCATATATGCACATAAGACCAAACACATACTTTGTGGGAACCCGTATAAAATAAAAGTATTAAGCCTTTTGTTCAAAAATTACTAAGAATTTCAGGATGGAGACAATAGTACCTTAAACACTCTGCTGAGCATGTGGCTGCGTGGTGCTGTGTGGGGCTGCACAGTTTGCATGCCTATGAAGCTGGCTCTGCATAGGTATGTGTGTGTTCCATTATCCTCATTTTTCCTGAAAAATGCCCTAAGCTCAAAAACCTGAACTTATCCCTTTGGGTAGTATTTTATCTCACATGTGTGAATGAAAGGCTGAATCTGTGAGCTGTCTTGTGAGAGAAGAAGCAGTCAGAGGAACTCGCCACATATAAGTCTCTGTTTGTGTCTCAATTACACCAGGCAACACACTTTTACATTCACAGATTCATATGGCAATTTTATTTTGCCACAGAACTATGCAGATATCTCATAATATATGATAGTTAATGCATTTCTTGGAATTATTCCACAAAGGGCCTTGATATCGGCCAGTCTGAGCCTCTAGTGAGTCGGTTTGTCTCCAAACTGTTATATGTAACTTGGGAGAAACCTTCAAGTTTTCCTTAAACTTAAAGGGTGGGACATAGAGGAAAAATGCCATGGAAAGTGATGAATACAAACCCATTAGCCACAAGGCGGCCACGCTAGTTCCCTTGGGTCCTTTTGGGGCACTTTGGAACTTCCCTTCCCAGCCCCTGTGGATTTTCGCCTCCTAGGTCTTCCCTTCTCGGGCCAGCCAGCACCTGAATGGTCTCTCTCGAGTCTGGCTTCCCCTTGGGCATCCTTGTCAACGTCCCCTCCACCCTCTTCTCCCTGAGGTCCACTCAACTCTAGTTGTGGGTCCTTGTTTCTCACTCAGCTCTGCCCTTCCTTGTGGAGACGTCTTCTTGAGTGAATATGTGTTTGAGTCTTCTCAATTAATTATCTTATGTGTTTATAAAGTCACAATCTTAAAGGATTTTCTTCAAGATTGTTGAGAAAGAAAGCTGAAACAGGTAAGCCTAATTGATAATTGCAGTTATTTATTATCTTGGGCTCAGATGAGGCAGCATAATGAGGATAATCTTTTCCAAAGTGATGTCTGCATGAGGTGAACCAGCTCGGCCCTAAATCATAGATTGAAGGTCATCAAGAAACCTTAGAGATTGCCAGGGTTCTAACCTCCTGACTTTATATGTAAGGGAGCTGAGGCTCAGGAGACGGTGTCTATCTTTATAACATATATGCAAGGCAGAATTGCCCACAGATTCTATTCATCAAAATATTAGCTTGGTATGCAGAATAGATCTATAAAGTCTTAGCCTGGCCTTCAAAGCTTTTTATCATTTTCTCTCAATCTGACTTTCTAACATTCCTTAGCCACACTGGACTAACCACAGTTCTTAACCACAGAAAGCATGTTACCACATTTTATTTTTATCCAAACTGTTATTTGCTGATGAAGACATTGCATTTTCTCTCCATGGCCTCCCATGTCTGGTCAACTCATTTACTATTTACCATACACATTTCTGTGAATCCTCGTGTATTGTAAAAGTGTCTTATTATTATTTAAGTCTTTTGCTCGTAAATTTTCCCTAAGCTTACTTTTCAAACATTGGCTGAGATTTCCGTAATTCGTTGCCCATTAGGCTGGGCCTCGGGAATACAAAGAGGAATAGGACACACTCTTTACCTTCAAGGAATATGAAGTGTAGAAGATTGACATCCAAAGATCCATGAAGTCAGCATGGCGTGCGATTACTCATATGTGCCTACAGGCACAGAGAACGGGCAGCTGGTCAGGGCTAAGGGTATCGGTGAAGGCTTCCTCCAGCAGGTAGGACCAATGTGAGTGGAGATTTCACAAATCACTAGAAATTCTACAGTTCAGAAGGTGTGAGTTAAAGTATCAGAAAACAGGGAGAAGAACTCCTGATACCGTAACATGTTTCAAAATTCATGAATATTCCAAGAGGTTATTCTAATGCTTGTATTTGTGTGTGTGTGTGACTTAGGGGTAATGAGCACACTGTTTCTTCTTGTGCATGATTACATCTCTTGCTTTTCACATCCAGAAAGAGACCCCTAGAAGAGCCTGTGCTCTCCATTTATCAACTGAGCAAAGTAATTCGAAAAAAAAATCTATTACCAAATAAAAACAGAAAATTTGGAGTGTGTTCTCCAGGTGAGTGTCACTGCATCTCATGGATGTGAACTAGCTTGCCATCCTCATAAAGAAAAGCAACACAGAATCAGAATATATTAACAATACTGTGATTTTTATGGACTGTCTATACCAATTTCTTTTCTTGTACAAGCCTGTGAGGCTAAGTGAAGAGAAATGATTTTTCATTTTCTTTTCTGAGACAGGCACTCACTGTCTTACCCAGGCTGAGTGCAGGGGCACAAACACAGCTCACTGCAGCCTCAACTTCCTCGTCTCAAGCATTCCTCCTGCCTCGGCCTCCCAAGTAGCTGGGACCACAGGTGCATTGCCACCACTAGGCTAATTTTTTTTTAAATTTTTCTTTGTAAAGACAGGGTCTTACTTTGTTGCCCAGGCTGGTCTCGAACTCCTGGGCTCAAGATATCCTCCTGTCTTGGCCTCCCAAAGTGTTGGGACTACAGTCATGAGCCACTGTGCCTGGCCAAGAAATGATTTTTTCACAAGTTACAGAGCCCAGAGTAAAAACGAATCTATTGTCCTGCCATCAAAGTTGCTGCTTTGTCCCTTTTCCTGGTATGATGCCTTCAAGATGAGATTCAAGAGCATTGTCGCGTAGCGGTGGAGAGCACTAGTAAAGCCAAGGAATGACAGGTGTGCCCATAACTTAGGGAAAGCCAGAAGCAGCATGTATAGGCTTTAGTTACCAGGAGCTCTGTTCAAGGCAAGAAATGATCGATGAAGGCTACTGGTCTAACATGGCCTTTCCTTCCATTTAAAGTAGAAAAGGGATTATTGTGAAAATTGTGATAAAACAAAACTATATGGGCAGTAACGGTGAACTCAACATGGATAGGTTTGCCAAGCAACAAGAGTAAAAATGCAATGAATTTGGTCTATTGATGACATTCACATGGGATCCATGGGAGAGCTGCTTGCTCAGTATGGGTGCAAGCGAGGGATTCAGCAAACATATGAAGGCAAATGAAAGCACTCATGCTGTCGGGATGGCTAATTGGCTGGTATTTTTCAATCCTGGCAGGGGTGAGTTTTCTGAAATGAAGTAGAAATCTCATAATAATTCAGCTGATAGCATTTTACAAGGCTCTGGAAGGCACTTTTGGGGATCACTACTTTTTTTTCTTTTCCAAAATCTCTTAAAGGTTATTTTTTATCAATAAAATACTCATACTTCATTTTTCAAAGGTCTCCAGTGCCTGTAGAAGGACTGAAATAATGTCAGCCTGGAAAAAATATGCTTTGAAAACAATGGTGACATTTCTCAGCAAACAATTGACAATTTCCTACATTTGGTTTGCCTGTGATGGTAATTAGTTAACAGCGTTCAACTTGGTTCACCTTTGAGGAAGTTGTCAAGATAATGTAGCCCTACTGCCTTTTAATTATTTTAATCATTAAAACATTGCACAGATACGTGCTGTTCTCATTCTGTGGGAGTTGAAGCTTATAAACTCAGAGAGGGAAACCAATTTGAAGCTAACAGAGGAAGAGCAGTAAAGTTGTTAGTTAATTGAACAAACCCTCATTGAGTATCTACCATGTGCCAGGCACTGTGCTTGAAGCTGGGGAGATGTAAAGCGGAATTAGCCATGGTTAGTACCCTCCAGAGGCTTACAAACTCATATAACCAACTATAAACCATTTGAGAAGTGATCTAATAGTGCTATAAACAAAGCATTTGAGAATGCAGAGAAGGGAGGAATCCATTCTGCCTGGCAGGGTTGGCAAAGTATAACAGTTAATGTCTTTCCAATGGAAAATGGCCAAAAACACAACCCAAATTGGTTTAATTAATAAGGAAATATTTCTGAAATAGGAAAACTAATACCAGGGGTAGGATTGGGTTCAAAAACTCAGTTGATTTTACTGGACTCTGCTTTTCTCACTCTCTTTCTTGGGTCTGTTCTCTAAGTGTCAGGTTGGCTTCATCCTCAAATCATGTGTTGCAGCAAGATGGCAGCATCAGTTCCAACATGACACTTCTTCCAGCTACAAGTACAGTAGCAATTATACCTGCGTGTTTCACAAAGACCTAACAATAGCCTTTTTATATCTTGCTGGCTCTGAGCCAAGTAAGGGGGATGCATTATTCTAATTGGGCCAATTAGAGTCCACCACAGTGGCTGGAGGTGAAGTCAATTCCATCCAAACCTCATGGGTGAAGAGCCTTGAAAAAGTGAGTCCTTCCCACCCCACAAAATAAATAAATAAATAAATCGCAGTATTTTGTTTGTTTGTTTTTGTTTTTTGTTTTTTTTCTTGAGACAGAGTCTCGCTCCGTCACCAGGCTGGAGTGCAGTGACACGATCTCGGCTCACTACAACCTCCACCTCCCAGGTTCAAGCAATTCTCCTGCCTCAGCCTCCCGAGTAGCTGGAACTACAGGTGCACACCACCACACCCAGCTAATTTTTGGATTTTTAGTAGAGACAGGGTTTCACCATGTTGGCCAGGATGGTCTCAATCTCTTGACCTCGTGATCTGCCTGCTTTGGCCTCCCAAAGTGCTGAGATTACAGGCATCACAGTATTGCTTTAGTAAAAGAAGTTTGAATGAATGTGAGTGGGGCAGCAAAAATAAATAATATCTGTCCTAAATCTAGAAAATCATGAAGGCAGAAAGTGAGACCAGGTGTGTGCATCAGTGTGCCAGGCAGAACACATGCACATGGACCAGACACAAAAGTGCCCAATATCAATATACCAATACGTGCAATGCTTCTCATTCTCCATCTGTGAGTTAGTGAATGGCTCAGAGAGGTGGAATAATGATGACAGTTTATGGATGCAGACACAGAAATGTAAAGACAAGGGTTTTCACAAAGCAGCAAACAAACATTCTGTAGGGGCAAGGATTCAGTGAGTCATTAAAGATGACCAATATGCCAGGCCACAGGATTGACAATGACATTACTCTCTATCTCGCTAAATTACTTACTTGTAAGGCTTGGTCATTAGAACATATGTTGTCTCTTAAGGGAAAGGTGTGCATGCTTAGGTGATTTGGATCTTTGGAGAACCTCCTAGCGAACATGGAGCACCTCCTAGTGAAGGTAGAGAAATAAAGAGGAAAGAAGATAGTCCTGAATCGCTCTACCTCCCCAAACACAAAAACATAGTTCCCAAAGCAGCCTAAAAGCCTTGTCCTGTCCATTTTCTTTTCCTCTGTCCATTCATCTGGAGATGAGGGTGCTGATGAATTTGAAATGGTGAAATTTGTATATGTTTAGGATTACTGGACTGGAAATGCATAATTATGTCTTGCTCACACAAACTGGGTTTCATTTCCGGACTTCATGACCCCAAAATCACTGAAAAAGTATGATTGCGTAGCCAATCTTCATGGTTAGAATTCATTGAACAAATTATCCGGACTCATTTTATAATTTTAAGATCTAGTCTAATTGGCCACAGCAATAGCTATTATTTTATTCTTATTTGAAGACAAACTGTGGTTTGGGAAATTCTGATGTAAACCATGGTTAACAGTAGCATAGTACTGTGAAAAGAAAAAAGAAATGCATAGAGAGGCTAGAACTAAGTGTTAAGCGTGATTGCTATTTTCCAGAAGGGAATAATTACTTTGCTTCCCTGAGCCTCGCCATCCACACAAATAAAGCAGGGATGGCTGCTGAGGGTGAGGCTTTCTCTGTCAGGAAGCATTCTCATAGGAGCGTTGAAAACTCAGACTGGATGAGGCAACTGATCCTTCACATGTACCAGTCATTCTGCCAGCAACATTATTTTTTTCTCTCCAAACCTTCATGCTTCAATTTTGCCTTGCTAATTCTTGCTTACCCAAGAGGACTGCACTTAGAAATGTCATCCAGGATTTCTCTGACTCCTCCAGGTTGTGTTCCGTGCCTCTCCTCGGAGCACCCACAGCTCCCTTACCGTCCTTCTATCATTTTCTACATTGGCTTCTAATTCCTAAACCACGGCTAGTCCCTTTCCCTCTGTGAGGGTGGGACTCATACTAACATTTGCACTGTTCTATTCCCAGGGAGCATCGTGGAGCCACAGAGATAGTGGGTAATCACTTGCTGAATAAATGAATAAATGAGTGAATGAATGCATGCGGCATCTGAATGATGTGCTTATTGATTTAGACTCTAGCTTAACAGGGTAGAGAGAAGCAGATCTGTGGTCAGTTTGACATTAACTTGATTGATACAGGCAAAAGAGTTTAAATGGTCCAGGTTCCTTAAAGTAATCTAGGGGTTATCACATCTTTCCCATTTTGGTCAGTCAGCAGCTCTGTGACTCCAGTGGCAGTTTGGGCATCAAGAAAAGAACCCTAGACTTAGAAAACGCAGGCTTAAGTTCCAGCTCTGCCATTCATACACTATTCGATATCATGATTCTGCCTCTCGGAGCCTTTTCACTGACTTACAGGTGGAAAGTAATAAAAATTACTCATATATGCATAAAATGTTCATTTAACTTACTTAACTACATGTTAATTGCATGACATAATAAATAGTTAATAATCTATAGCTAAATATACATAGGCCCGATAGAGTGGTTGCGGAAGTTAAAAAAGAAAATAAATAAAAAGCTTTGTAAAATGGGAAATGTTGTTCCAACATGAAGTGTTACTACAAAATCAAATGTGCACTGTCTGATACAACCTGTGGGTACAGCCCAGACCTAACTAGAGAGTTCAGGTTAGCCTTCACAAGAGCCACCCTCTGGGACTCTCTCTTTTTTTCTCTGTTCATTCCTTAATGACCAGTAGAGTTTGGTTGGCAAAACGCATTAGCTGTGCGTGGTTTTCTTTCCATCAGGTGGACAAAGCGACTTGTCTTGGGCAGTGGCGCCAAGATAATTAATTTTGTAGTAGAAACACAGACACATCTTATCTTGCCTTTGTTCCTTCATTTGTAAACCTGTGTATAGCTTAAAGAAAATTCATTCAGCATCTTCTGATTTGTCACTGTTCAACCACTAAAATACTATTTTGGTAAAGTCATCTGTTGTCTACAAACCTAACAGTTTCATTGTACAGATCCTTGCTTCAGAAGCAGAAGAAATAGAATCACATTCTTCCTCCCTACCTTGACCCTGTACACACTTAAACCCCTACAGATTTGAGATTGGTTTGACATTTAAATTTTAGCATTCATGCTGATTTTAAATGTAGTCAAAGCACTCTTTTTGCTTTTAGTAAATGAATTTTCAATTTACCAATAAGAAAATCACAGTACTGGACTGTGCTAAACCTGACTCGACTTTGCGTTTGTTGTATAATTAATATGAATTGAATATACATTGATTTTGTTCTTTGGACTAATAGAGTAATTTTAAAAGAAAAACTTGTTTCAGTAATTAAGCAGATTAAAATAGATAATATATATTTCTTGCTTAATCAGTCCAATAATTGAGTTCCACTGGTTTAAATTCTCATCTACTTCGTATTTAATCAAAGTTAAATGCTATGTTCATCCTAAAACTAAGTAATGCATGGACAGTATATTTAACCTAAAAAATCACATTACAAAAATTACCATTAGCATAGATGCTTTATTCTTGCTTAAAGTTCGTCCATAATAGGTTTCATTTTAAAGTGTTCTAAGATTGTTTCTGAAATCCCACTAATGAGAACAGCATTTTTACATGCCTAAGATGCTAGAAGAGTATCATATGGCAAGCCTAAGGTACCATGGGCCTTAACACGTAAACAAAGCACCCACAGCAAACATAAACAATGGCACAATCAGAGGTGTGTACTGGCAGCCATAAAGCAGAGCTCATTACGGCACCAAATATCAAAACAACAGCACAGCTGGGATAGCAACCTGATGCATGCAACTTTCACTCTTTAGACTCTAAAAGACTGGCCAGGCACTGTGGCTCACGCCTATAATCCCAGCGCTTTGGGAGGCCAAGGTGGGTGGATCACCTGACGTCAGGAGTTCGAGACCAGCCTGGCCAACACGGCAAAACTCCATCTCTACTAAAAATACAAAATTAGCTGGACATGGTGGCGGGTGCCTCTAATCCCAGCTACTCGGGAGGCTGGGGCAAGAGAATCGCTTAAACCTGGGAGGCGGAGGTTGCAGTGAGCCAAGATGGCGTCACTGCACTCAAGCCTGGATGGCAGAGAGAGACTCTGTGACAAAAAAGAAAAAAAAAAGTCTAAAAGACTACCAGGACTCTTAGACTAGGGGAACAGGAGAGATTCCATGAGCTTCCACGCACAGACGAAGCTGTGAACACCACGGTGGTGTAAGGGCAGCCGGAGCAGAAAGCCTGCGTCTGATTCTCATGGGGTGTCACTGGGCAGCTCACTTAACTCTCTGCATCTCACCTTTCTCTCCCTTCAAGGGAGACCACTGGAAGCTGGAGTTGTTCCTTACCCTAAAATTCCAGATGTGAAGCAGTGATTTGCCCTAACTGCCCGTAAAGAAAATATTTGTAAACGGTTTCACGGAAATTATAAAATAGCAAGTAGGGGGAAGATTTTGAAACGACATTTGTCCCAATTCCCTCTTCTTTTGGAAACATGACATTTGCAACAGTCTACGGAAAATAATGCAATAGATTACCGAGTGATCAGATTGTTAACTGTGTACTGTTACATTCAGATATTCATCATGATTTTGCTTTTGAATAGTGGTATTACTGAGCTCAAATGACTTTCATAAAAATTGTAATAAAGACCCCCGTATCTTACATAATTATTAGTAAAGCAGCCAACATGTATTAAGTGCCATATGTCAGGCACTGAAGTGCTGACCCTGTGTTGTCTCATTTAATTTATTTAATTCTAACAAGACATTAGTGTCATGATACCCTGATCATTCTAACTTTGCAAATGAAAAAATGGAAGAGAAAACTTTGGTAACTAACTAGGGAAAGTTTGTGTCAGAGGTGATGTGTCAGCTAAATATTGAAAGGTAAGTAGACAACAAACAGGGAAGGATGTATTAAAAGAAAAACAGCTTAATCAAAAGCAGGTAGACATGGGGAAAAAAGATGTCACCTGCCAGTAACTATATGGAGTCCAATATAGATGCAGCTAAGACAGCATATGGGGCAAAGGTAAGAGATGGCTATTGACCATTAATGATAGATTGGATAAAGAAAATGTGGTATATATACACCATGGAATACTATGCAACAATAAAAAAGAACAAGATCATATCCTTTGCAGGGACCTGGATGGAGCTAGAAGCCATTATCCTCAGCACACTAACAAAGGAATAGAAAACTGAACACTGCGTGTTCTCACTTATAAGTGAGAGCTAAGCAATGTGAACACATAGACACAGAAATGGGAACAACACACTCTGGCACCTGTCAGCGGTGAAAAGGGAGTTTGGGGGAGGGAGAGCATCAGGAATAATAGCTAATGTATGCTGGGCTTAATACCTAGGTGATGGGTTGATCTGTGCAGCAAACTACCATGGCACAAGTTTATTTATGTAACAAATCTGCACACCCTGTGCCTGTACCCCGAAATATAAAATAAAATTAATAAATAAAAAGAGATGGTGCTTGAAATTTGAGCAGATGACAGACCATAGAAGGCTTGGCAGTCCCCAGAAGTCATATTAATGTGGGGGACTGTTTGTGCTCTCAACTTGATATTCCTCTAATAAGAGAGTAGTATTGGGGGTTCTATTTCAATAAATTACAAATAAAAATACAAACTAGGAATACAGAAAATAAGAACAGCTTTGTTATTCTGGTGGCATTATTGGTGATTGTTTTGCTTTACAATTTTCTTTACTTCGTTCAATATGACATTGCCCTATAAATAAAATATATTTTTAAAAAATATTATTCATAATTAAATCCTACTACAACAACAAAATGACGTCAAGCATTTCTTTTTTTTAATTTTAATTTTTATTATTATTATACTTTAAGTTTTAGGGTACATGTGCACAATGTGCCAGTTAGTTACATATGTATACATGTGCCATGCTGGTGTGCTGCACCCATTAACTCGTCATTTAGAGTTAGGTATATCTCCTAATACTATCCCTCCCCCCTCCCCCCACCCCACAACAGTCCCCCAGAGTGTGATGTTCCCCTTCCTGTGTCCATGTGATGTCAAGCATTTCTAATTCACCATAGAGTTGTCATGAAACCCAAGCCAAACAGCTCTCTGTCCTGAATATAGACTTGAAAACCATGGGCCAAAGCACATCCCTGGTGTGTTACATCTCCTCACTCCCCTTCTGTTGAGTGCGAGAGCAATGAATGGTGAAAGCATTCGCTGCTGTATTTGAAGTAGCTCAATAAGTCTAATTTCCTTTACTCTTCTTCCCACTGCAGGGCTAGGACCCATAGATTGTATGATCTAAGCTTATTTTATCATCTGAAACTTTTTTACCAAAAAGAGAAAGATTCTAGGTTAGCAGATGGGAGAAGGTAGGGTGCACAATGATCTAAGGAGGCTGAGTGACAGTTGGGGTTAAGAGAAGTTGGGGGAGAGGAATGAACATGGAAGTAAAATAGGAGCAGAAGAGAACACACCTGAGGAAAAGAGACACTGGCAGAGCCATTTTCACAACTTCTGCAAAACCACAGGAAACAGAGTCTCAAGAATTGCACAGCGGTCAAGGTCAAGGTCAAGATCAAGGGCTGTGTGGAGAGGCTGTCTGGGGTTAGATGCTGGCTGTGCGGCCTACCTGTGCAACTTAAAGCAAGTTACTGAAGTCCCCTCTGTGCCTCAGTTTCCTCATCCATACAGTGGAATAATATGGTACCTAACTCACTGGGCTCTGTGAAGATTACATAAGTAAATATATGTGAATCGTTCTTGGAAACAGTAGTAGATGTTGGGTAAGTGTTTTGTCATTGTGTTTCTTTGTTCTCTTTGCTTCTTTACTTGCTTGAATTCATGCCTTGGACATTCTGGAGGTTAATTATGAAGGCAGAAGCCACGCACTGTATTTCTCTGGAGAAGACTGCTTCACCCCGACAGGACATTCCACGAAGCCAGAGGGGAGGTAGTTTCACACATATGTAAGTTTCTTCCTCCAAACGTTTTTCTTAGGGAGCAAGACTGTGCCCTCCTCACCACGACATCCCCCTACTTTACCACCGTGGCCAGCACGTAACAGGTCATCTGTAAACGCTGATGAAGATGAAGGTGGTTTCCTTCTAAAAGGGCCCAGTAGGCCCCGGGACCCACTCTATGTACCATTATTTAAGTAGCACAATCCACATCTTCATTTTATCTTAAGATGTGCATTGCTGTTTCTTTGTTCATTGTTTTATAGTTGAAACAAAACAAAACTCCACTTTGTTTCTAAATATGTTTTTAGTAGAAACAAAATATAATTTATTTTTTACTTTATTGTCAAAATTATGTATTAAAATTTAGCAAGTTTGTATTTTTTTCTGGGAAAAAAACATCTTTATATTATCTCGATTTCCTAAGAGAAAAGAGTCTTGCTGTTCTCTCTAAGCTACAGTAACAATGGCAAATTGGAAGGGAAAAGTAAAATAAACTTCATTTATACCTTAGGGCCTAACACAAAGCTACAGCTCATTATATCAGTTAGATTTAAAAAGATGTGTTAGGATGTTTTAAATTTGGACATAAAAAGATTATGAAAATGTTAAATTCAATAAAAACAATCATCAAAAAATACCTTTATATATATATTATACGTATAGATTTTATATATGCGTGTGTGTGTTTCTCACACACTGAGAAATACACCACTCACTGCATGGTCCAGATCAAGATGTAAAGATTTCCTGCCATCAGCTGCAAATACTTCAGGATGGAGCTTGTCTATTACTGATGTCAAGACACAGAGAGAAAGCGAGTATTACTTTCTTCTTTCAAGTAGATTCTGACAGCATTTTTCAAAATGAAAACAGATCTCACCATGTTTAGCCAAATGGTCAAGAGCACGACTGGGCAGTAAAATTTGAGGGCCTCCCATAGATTGTGCATTTCCACATGAACTGACACATGATGCAAGGAACACACCAAGGCCAAGTCTAAACACAGCGCAAGGCCTAGGCAGGGCATCCCCGTGTTGTTCTAAGTCAGGAAACAGCGCTTACAGTCCTGGGTCATTCAGACCATGCTGCATTCAGAACAACGACAGTGATGTGGGATCTTCAAGTGGAGATGTGTTCCCACTTCACAAATAGACCACTCTCCCTCACAACACTTGGCTGCCTTACACATTTACAAGTTACTGCCTTGCCCCTCAATGCATTTTAATTTGTGATGCACTACATAGATCACAAAAGTTTGGTGTATGTGTAAGAGTAATTCAGAGAAACAGAATTAATAGGGTGTGTGTGTAAGAGAGTGTGTGTGTGTGTGTGAGAGAGAGAGGAGGGGAGAAAAGAGAATTTTTATAAGGAATTGACACATGCAACTACAGAGGCTGAGGAACCCGACCCAGAAGAGCCAACGGTGTAAGTTCCAGCCTGAGTTCAAGTCCAGAGGCAGAAGGCTGATATTCCCTCTCTAAGGCAACAACGCAGGGAGAGCAAGATCTCTCTTGCTCAGCCATTTCTCCTGCTGAAGCCTTGGATAAGGCTTGCTTGCACTGGGGAGGACAATCAGCTTTATTCAGTGCACTTAACCAAATGCTCATCTCATCTGAAAACACCCTTACAGATACATCCAGGATTAGGTTTAATCAGATTTCTGGGCACCCAGTGGCCCAGTCAAGTTGACCCATGAAATTAACTATCATAGCATAAGCCAACAGAAATTCAGGGAAAATCAACCTCAAAGCCCACAAGGCCCTGAGCAATGTGAGTTCAGACAGCCAGCACATGCTGGTCCATGCTGTACCCAGAGCATGGAGCAGAGGCCTGTAGGAGTAGGAGGTGTGTAGTAAATATTTGACAGAATGGACAGAATTCCAGTTCTGTAATTTACAGACCTTGGACAACACACTGAAACTCAGCCTCCAAAGCCCACTTGACAAGGTTATTGTGAGAAGTAAATGTGTTAACCCATTCAAATTTGCGAATCTGATAGCAAATAAAAGCTGTTATCATCATCATCATCATCGTCCATATTTTTCTTATTGTCCAATGCCATTTTGTGAAAATCAATTGTAGTAATATTTATTTTGATGATGTGAGATATAATTTTAAAATTACCAAAGACAGCATAGAGGTATTCGTGAGGTGGTGGGTCTTATGAAGCTTCAGCTAGAAGACAGGTTTTTATTTTTCCTATTTTTTAAATTCTACTAAGAATATTATAACATAGTGTCTGAGATTACTTTGCTCATTCTCTTTCTTCAGTGGATATTGTTTTTCAAAAGTGTTACAAATTTTTTAAATTGTGGAGTACAACTTCTTAAGCATTTTATGTTACAGATGAAATACGTGTTTCTATGACTGCCTCATACTACAATATTGACCCTAAGCACTCATGTAGTAAAAGGTCCAGCTCAGTGTGGTCAGCTCCCTGTTATGAACAGGGGACCAGACAAGACGTCAGAACGTCTGGATTCTAGATGCTTTCATTACTACCTCAGTCTTTGACTTTGGACATCATCTCACTCTATTAGGCTTCAGAATTGTTACTTATAAGTAAACAGCTACATAACCTTTTAGTTTAACTCTAAAAAGCAATGGTTGAATACAAATTCGAGATGTTTAAGCAGGAAAAACATATAAAAATGTGATAAAAGTCATGGTGTGAAATGAAGACACCATGTAGCATTTGGGAAACATACCGAAGGGATGGCAGGCCACGATAGACACAAACCAACTGACTGCCTTCCCTCAGGTTCTGGGAAGCCTGTGTGTCCTCTTGAATCTTGGCAGGCGTTGTGATTCCTAAACCAGTAGAATATGGCAGAAGTGACACTTGCCGGTTTGGGGAACCAGCTTCCGCTTCCTGTCTTAAAACACAGCTGCCATGCTGTGAGCAACGCAGAGGAGAGACCCATGTAAAGAAGTAATGAGGTCAGCCATGAAAGCCCCACCTGAGCTCCCAGGAGCTGCTGGCTTCATGGGCGAGCATCTTGGAGGTACATCCCCAGGCCCAGAGCCAACACAGCTGACCCCACAAGAAACAGGCATGAGCTGTCCACGCCAGCCCAAGCTGTAGTTCATAAAAACATAGATGGCCCGTCTCTACTAAAAAATACAAAAAAATTAGCTGGGCGTGGTGGTGGGCGCCCCTAGTCCCAGCTACTCGGGAGGCCGAGGCAAGAGAATGGCGTGAACCCCAGGGGGCGGAGCTTGCAGTGAGCCGAGATCGCGCCACTGCACTCCAGCGTGGGCGACAGAGCGAGACTCCATCTCAAAACAACAACAACAAAGCATACATGGTTGCTGTTGTTTTAGGCCACCGAATTTTGTGGTGGCTTGTTATGATAGATACAGGGAACGAGGAGTCAAGAAATAAGGACTCTCATTTCAAATTCACCAGTGATTTCTTGTGGGATCTTGGAAAATTATATAGTGGCCTCAACTTGCAGCTCAGTTTTGCAATGAGCCACACACTCCTTTGGCCCTTACATCTCCAAAATAAATAACTGCCACACATTTTCCTTTCAAATACAAACCTGCAGCTCAGCAATGCTCCTGCCTAAAATATTTTCTTCTTCTCCATGGGTATATATGAAGTACAGACATAAATAAAGAAATACAGGAACAGATTTCTTATCCAGGAAACCCAGAGCTTTACATAGCAATAAACATCTTGCTTCCTGCTTCAAATGCCCTCTGGGGAACCTGTGGAGATGATACGTGTGTGTTCAACTCAATTGTTCTTAAACTCATTCTGTTGTGCTCTAGTGACAGATTGGCATCCAGCGTCACCTTCCTGTGGGAGCCTCCACTTTCCTGCAGAGTTACATATGTGCAAAGTCTGGCTGAGTACACCCACGGTCTCTGAGCCATCTGGGGAAACCTGAAGACCTTTCCCCAAGGTCTGGCCCCATCTCAGCAGTCACCAAGCTTGTCCTCAGGGACTGGGTTCTATGATGCAGCAGCACTGCTGCAATGGTGACTTCCATGGATTGGGTGATGAGATGCTTAGGGTGAGGGATGAATCGTCGGATGTGTTCAGGAAGAGGAGGGTGCCAATGTCCACCTTTATGATGGCATCCAAGGACAGGCAGAGAGGGAAAGGATTAGAATTTATTTTCCTTTGTTGCCCTGGATAACCAATTTTATGTTTTCACAATAAAGTTGAGCCATGTTCAGATTTTTATCCCAGGGAGTTTCCCTGGATATTGACGTTGAAAGAGCATGCCATGGGGGACATTTGCAAGTCTGCACAATTGGAACTATATCCCTAGATGCCTCCACAAGACACATACACCAGAGTAAAGATGTTAAAAATTGTGTTACTGGCATTCTCTTTAACACTGATTATTTAGAGATCTGATTCTGAAGAAAATTATCCCATTAATTCTGCAAAAATAAAATCCATGCTCCTATTATTTCAGCAGCACTGTGTCATCATGAGCTTTTCTCATCATAAAAGTGGAACAAACTGCACCATCAGGTAAGGACCTGCTCTTTTAGCATCACCAGAAGGATCACCAAGCTCTCCAACTATTCCATCGTCTCCTCTAATGCACTGGTGTTCATTGAAAATTGGCTTCTAGGCCATTACATAATTATAAAGGGATCAATTCAACAAGAAGAGCTAACTATCCTAAATATATATGCACCCAATACAGGAGCATCCAGATTCATAAAGCAAGTCCTAAGGGACCTACAAAGAGACTTAGACTCCCACACAATAATAATGGGAGACTTTAACACCCCACTATCAACATTAGATAGATCAAGGAGACAGAAAGTTAACAAGGATATCCAGGACTTGAACTCAGCTCTGCACCAAGCAGACCTGATAGACATCTACAGAACTCTCCACCCCAAATCAACAGAATATACATTCTTCTCAGCACCACATAGCACTTATTCCAAAATTGACCACATAGTTGGAATTAAAGCACTCCTCAGCAAATGTAAAAGAAAAGAAATCACAACAAAATGTCTCTCAGACCACAGAGCAATCAAATTAGAACTCAGGATTAAGAAACTCACTCAGAACAGCACAACTACATGGAAACTGAACAACCTGCTCCTGAATGACTACTGGGTAAATAACAAAACGAAGGCAGAAATAAAGATGTTCTTTGAAACCAATGAGAACAAAGACACAACATACCAGAATCTCTGGGACACATTTAAAGGAGCATGTAGAGGGAAATTTGTAGCACTAAATGCCCATAAGAGAAAGCAAGAAAGATCTAAAATCAACACCCTAACATCACAATTAAAAGAACTAGAGAAACAAGAGCAAACACATTCAAAAGCTAGCAGAAGGCAAGAAATAACTAAGAGCAGAGCAGAACTGAAGGAGATAGAGACACAAAAAACCCTTCAAAAAATCAATGAATCCAAGAGCTGGTTTTTTGAAAGATCAACAAAGTTGATAGACCGCTAGCAAGAATAATAAAGAAGAAAAGAGAGAAGAATCAAATAGACGTAGTAAAAAATGATAAAAGGGTTATCACCACTGATCCCACAGAAATACAAACCACCATCAAAAAATACTAAAAACACCTCTATGCAAATAAACTAGAAAATCTAGAAGAAATGGATACTTTCCTGGACACATACACCCTCCCAAGACTAAACCAGGAAGAAGTTGAATCCCTGTATAGACCAATAAAAGGCTCTGAAACTGAGGCAATAATTAATAGCCTATAACCAAAAAAAGTCCAGGACCAGACAGATTCACAGCCGAATTCTATCAGAAGTACAAGGAGGAACTGGTACCATTCCTTCTGTAACTATTCCAATCAATAGAAAAAGAGGGAATCCTCCCTAACTCATTTTATGAGGCCAGCATCATCCTGATATCAAAGCCTGGCAGAGTCACAACAAAAAAAGAGAATTTTAGACCAATATCCCTGATGAACATCAATGCAAAAATCCTCAATAAAATACTCGCAAACCGAATCCAGCAGCACATCAAAAACTTATCCACCATGATCAAGTGGGCTTCATCCCTGAGATGCAAGGCTGGTTCAACATACGCAAATCAATAAACGTAATCCATCACATAAACAGAAGCAAATACAAAAACTACATGATTATCTCAATAGATGCAGAAAAGGCCTTTTACAAAATTCAACAGCCCTTCACGCTAAAAACTCTCAATAAACTAGGTATTGATGGGACATATCTCAAAATAATAAGAGCTATTTATGGCAAACCCAGAGCCAATATACTGAATGGGTGAAACCTGGAAGCATTCCCTTTGAAAACTGGCATAAGACAGGGATGCCCTCTCTTACCACTCCTATTCAACATAGTGTTGGAAGTTCTGGCCAGGGCAATCAGGCAGAAGAAAGAAATAAAGGGTATTCAATTAGGGAAAGAGGAAATCAAATTGTCCCTGTTTGCAGATGACATGATTGTATATCTAGAAAACCCCATTGTCTCAGCCCAAAATCTCCTTAAGCTGATAAGCAACTTCAGCAAAGTCTCAGGATGCAAAATCAATGTGCAAAAATCACAAGCATTCTTATACACCAATAGCAGACAAACAGAGAGCCAAATCATGAGTAAACTCCCATTCACAATTGCTTCAAAGAGAATAAAATACCTAGGAATCCAACTTACAAGGGATGTGAAGGACCTCTTCAAGGAGAACTACAAAGCACTGCTCAATGAAATAAAAGAGGACACAAACAAATGGAAGAACATTCCAAGCTCATGGGTAGGAAGAATCAATATCTTGAAAATGGCCATACTGCCTAAGGTAATTTAGATTCAGTGCCATCGCCATCAAACTAACAATGATTTTCTTCACAGAACTGGAAAAAACTACTTTAAAGTTCATATGGAACCAAAAAAGAGCCCACATTGCCAAGACAATCCTAAGCAAAAAGAACAAAGCTGGAGGCATCATGCTACCTGACTTCAAACTATAATACAAGGATACAGTAACCAAAATCGCATGGTACTGGTACCAAAACAGAGATATAGACCAATGGAACAGGACAGCGCCTCAGAAATAATACCACACATCTATAACCATCTGATCTTTAACAAACCTGACAAAAACAAGAAATGGGGAAAGGATTCCCTATTTAATAAATGGTGCTGGGAAAACTGGCTAGCCATATGTAGAAAGCTGAAACTGGATCCCTTCCTTACACCTTATACAAAAATTAATTCAAGATGGATTAAAGACTTAAATGTTAGACTTAAACCATAAAAACCCTAGAAGAAAACCTAGGCAATACCATTCAGGACATAGGCATGGGCAAGGACTTCATGTCTAAAACACCAAAAGCAATGGCAACAAAAGCCAAAATTGACAAATGGGATCTAATTAAACTAAAGAGCTTCTGCACAGCAAAAGAAACTACCATCAGAGTGAACAGGCAACCTACAGAATGGGAGAAAATGTTTGCAATCTACCCATCTGACAAAGGGGTAATATCCAGAATCTACAAAGAACTTAAAAAAATTAACAAGAAAAAATCAAACAACCCCATCAAAAAGTGGGCAAAGGATATGAACAGACACTTCTCAAAAGAAGACATATATGCAGTCAACAGACACATGAAAAAATGCTCATCACCACTGGCCATCAGAGAAATGCAAAAGAAAACCACAATGAGATACCGTCTCACACCAGTTAGAATGGCGATCATTAAAAAGTCAGGAAACAACAGGTGCTGGAGAGGATGTGGAGAAATAGGAAAACTTTTACACTATTGGTGGGAGTGTAAACTAGTTCAACCATTGTGGAAGACAGTGTGGCGATTCCTCAAGGATCTAGAACTAGAAATACCATTTGACCCAGCCATCCCTTTACTGGGTATATACCCAAAGGATTATAAATCATGCTGCTATAAAGATGCATGCACACATATGTTTATTGTGGCACTATTCACAATAGCAAAGACTTGGAACCAACCCAAATATCCATCAATGATAGACTGGATTAAGAAAATGTGGCACATACATACCATGGAATACTATGCAGTCATAAAAAAGAATGAGTTCATGTCCTTTGTAGGGACATGGATGAAGCTGGAAACCATCATTCTGAGCAAACTATCGCAAGGACAGGAAAGCAAACACTGCATGTTCTCATTCATAGGTGGGAATTGAACAATGACAACACTTGGATACAGGGTGGGGAACATCACACACTGGGGCCTGTCATGGAGTCAGGGGAGTGGGGAGGGATAGCATTAAGAGAAATACCTAATGTAAATGACGAGTTAATGAGTGCAGCACACCAACATGGCACATGTATACATATGTAACAAACCTGCACGTTGTGCACATGTACCCTAGAACTTAAAGTATAACAAAAAAAAAAAAAAGAAAATTGCCTTCTGGCAGGCTAGCTATCTGAACAGGAAACCTCACCAAATGGATGGACTGAGCCCCTGGCTAGCCAGGATCTCCACTTACTCAGTAGCCCACTGAGTGGCTGCCTGTGTGGCTCTCTCATTTCTTTCTATTTATTTATTTATTTATTTATTTACTTATTTATTTCTGAGACAGAATTTCACTCTCGTTGCTCAGGCTGGAGTGCAATGGCGTGGTCTTGACTCACTGCAACCTCTGCCTCCTGGGTTCAAGCTATTCTCCTGCCTCAGACTCCCGAGTAGCTATTCACTCTGCACCTAGTGCAAGATTAATCTTGCTGCAGTGGCACCAATTCTGTCACTTTCCCACTTAATATGTCTCCTTTTGTCCCTGTTGTTCCCAGAACACAGGCTGGCGTCCTGGCCCTTTCAAGCTTGCTTCGTCACTCTCTGCAGTGTGCTCTCCCAGCTTGCTTCAGCCTATCCGTGGTTGACTGTTTCTTGCATGTATTTGTTTACTTTCCCTTCTCCTTCACTTCACTTTTCCTGTTCTCTGTGCCTGGATTCCCTTTCCCTCTAACTACTTTGTTCACAATTTTTAAGTTGAGCTGAAATGCCACTTTTTTCATAATGCCATCCCTGATCCTCCTCAAGTAAAAACAGTTTACAGCTCTTCTGAATGTACTAGAAACCTTATCTGCAACTTTTATTACACAGGAAGTACTGTTTGGCATTGTAAGTTTTGAGAACCACATTTCATATGTGCCTCTAGACTGGAAGCTTCTCATGAGCAGGATCATACGCAATGCAAATAATGCAGTGTATTTTGAATAAATGTGTTGAAGGCCAGAAGAAAGCAATTTTTTATTCCCATCCAACCTGCATGTACAAGTTGAAGGGCAGGGCTTGGTATAGTAAAAATTCTACAAATAATAGTTGGACCAATTGAGATTTTAATATCATATAAACTTCATAAAACCCCTTGAGGAAAAATACCTGGGTGTGAAATTGCTTGGTTCTATGGCAGGATGGGTTAAATCGTGACCCCAAAGATGTTCAAGTCCTCACCCTCAGTAAGTGCCAATGTGACTTTATTTGAAAATAGGGTTTGTCAGATAATCAAGTTAAAATGAGATAAATAGGGTGAGCTCTAACCCAGTATGACTGTTGTCTTTATAAAAATAAGATATTTGGACATAGAGACAGACAAACACCATGTGAACATACAAGCAGAGATTGGGGAGGTGTGTCTCAAAGCCAAGGGATGACAAAGATGCCAATGAATCACCAGAAAACAGAAAAGGGCCTGGGCAGATCCTTCTTCACAGCTCATGGAAGGAACCAATGCTGTCGACACCTTGATCTCAGCTCTCTATCCTAGAAGTGCAGGATGATAAATGCATGTTGTTTAAGCCAGCCTGTGTGTGATGTTTTGTGGTACTTTGTTCTGGCAGCCCTAGGAAGCCCATACATATGGTGTATATTATATATTTTAACTTTATAAGAAACTGCCAAACGGTTTCATTGCATTACCACCAGCAACGTGTGCGGGTGTCAACTGTCCTTCCTCCTTGTCAGCACTTGGTCTTGTCACTCCTTTTAATTTTGTCCCTTCTAACAGGCATGTCATGGGAGCTCCTGGTGTTTTTAATTTTTATTTCCCCATGGATTGTGAGCATCTTCCCCTGTGCTTATTTACCATCTTTATATCTTCTTGTGTGGAACACGTGTTGACATATTTTCCCCACTTTACTATGTGGTTGTTTATCTTCTTTCTGAGTTGTAAGATAAATTCTGGAAACAAGATCTTTACCAAGTGTGTGCTTTGAAGATGTTTACTCTAGGCTGTGGCTTGCTTGTCTTTTCACTTAATTATCAATCTCTTTTGAACAAAGAAAAAATTTTTAATGTTGATGAATTCAAGTTGATCAATTTTTCTTTTATTATCCAGTCTCTTCATGTAATCTCAGATAGATATTTGCCCAACCCAAGGTCACAAATATTTCCTGTTTTCCTCTGAAGTTTTTATGGTTTTACTCTTTATGTTTTATACGATACACTGGTTTCAGATTTCTGTTTTTTTTTCTAGCAAGAAATTAGCTACCCTGTTTATCTTTACTTCTCTGTATACAGCCCTGTAATCTGGATACTTTTAAAATCTTCTACCTGCCACTGATTTAAAGCAGCTTGATTATGATGTTGTTTTCTACTTTTGTGAGTGTGTGCTTGAGGTTTGCTGAGCTTCTTGGATTTGTGAGTTTGGAGTTCTCAACAAATTTGGAAAAATTTCATCCATGATATATTTATTCCAATGCTTATCTCTGCTTCCCCACCTTATCTTTCAGAACTTCAATTACATGTATGTTAGGGTGTTTTATGTTGTCCCAAAACTCTCTTAGCACTGTTCACTTTTTTTCAGTAACTTATTTGTGGTTTATTTTGACTAGCTTCTATTACTATGCCTTCAAGTAATGATAATTTTTTCTTCTGCAGTATCTAATCTGCTATTAATTCCACCTAATGCATTTTTTATGGTTTTGGGAAATAGAGTTTCCATCTCAAAAAGTTCAGTGTGAACCATGTTTATGTCTTCCATGTCTCTTAATATGCTAAATATTTCCTCTATGTTTCTGAGGTATCACAGCTCAGTACTAGTCTCAGACCCATGCTGGTCTTATTTTACTGACACAGCCACACAAGTCATAGGTACAATATTTGTAAGAAAATCCACTTCCTGGATGGTCCATTTCTATCAAGCCAGAAGGGATTACTTGGTCATTTCATGAACTGAATGTACAGCCTAGTATGGGAACTCTGATCAAGGCTTTGGGGAGCAATATTTGTTAGTAAGCTAGCTTGGTAAAATTTGGCAAAATACTCTCAACATACAAAATTTCATTCACCCAAGCCTCTAGTCTGAAAATAAGCTCACACATCTTTACAAAATACTACAATTCCTTATGCCCTTCCTTGTAAATTCCCTAATGCAACCCTTAAGAGTGTGACATTGTATCAATATTATAGCAAAGCTCAGGTGGGACTGCTAACTCTGCCAATCCTGGGCCTGGTGAATAAAAAGGTAACACTCTGGTTCTCCAACTCTTGAGAACGTAGCTTCCATTTTCCAGTTGATAACAACAGCCAGTATGCATCAGAATTGCCTCTAAGGCTTTTCAGAAACTTCCTAGCCAGACCCCACCCCCGATCCCCTCCGTCAACAATGAGAGTTGGGCATGTCTGCTTTTCAAAAAGTCTAATGTATAGCAGAGCTGATATTCCACAATTTTTACATTGCAAAGCTGATTATCTCTTTCCATGACAGCAGCTCCGTGCAGTTTGGATATCATGCTCAATAATAAGCAATATTATTGCACAGCCACAGTTAGAAGAATAGCGTTTTTCTCTCCTACTCTCTGTTCTGCTGGCCTGTTCTCTATTGATTAATCTGGGTAATTTATGCCAAGCCTCTAGGGCAGAGGATGCTGTCTTTATGTATGGAACACAGTCAAAACTCAGCAAGGGCCCAACACATATTCATTATTAATGTGAGGTACTAGTGCCGTATGCAATAGCATCCTGCTGGAGAATTCTGGGTTTTATATAAACTCGAAGAATTTTGAAAGATTCAGGCTTAACTGATCATAAGGTAGCTGTCTTTTACTATCGAGCGTGTGTGTAAGAAGAAATGCTACCTGATTTCCTAGCCACATAGCAAAGTAGTTATTCAAAGCACGCCTTACCGACTCATAGAAATTAGGTACAGAAGATAAAGTTGAGGACAGCATAAAATGCATGCAGCTTTATTAATTTTTAAGAACATGTAAAACAAAACAAAACATCAATGACAAAATCCTCAGTGGTTAAAAGTCCACATGTCTAAGGGTCCAGGGGGAACTTGCTTAAATGCATACATCAGAGTGATTTGTAGCAGTCATTTACATTGCTTGCATGCCAATAAATGCTACCCACCGTGCTTAAAATGTGTTAACTAGCTTAAAAAGTTCCCCTGAAATTATGCTTACTTTATCTTAAAAGAGGAATTTCAAGCTAGTCTCTACAAGGGACATTATACATTCCAAGTTAGTGAAGTCCAAATCATTGAGGTTTATTTCTACAGCAAAATCTTTTTATAAACATTTACATTTACAGAGGTCCTGAGCTCGTGGAGGGGCTGGCATTCCATTGAACATAATGATGTGAAATGTGCATCTTCCAGCGAGTATTTATTTTAGGGGCAAGTAATTGCCTTTGCATATGAGCTTCACAATGTTTTGAAATGTATATTATCCATAAAGTAAACACTACTCTATTCTACTGACAATCCTATTGCAGAATGAAATTATACTCATCTATAAAAAGCTAACTTTAACTCTCAGGCCATACGACCAATCTTAGTAATTTTCAAAACAAAGAGTATGATTTGGCAATCAAGCAATTTATTTGGTAGTGTCTTAACAGGCCAACGGTAACATTCTGCAGCCAACATTTGTTTTGCTGGCAAGACCCTTCCAGCAGAAGCTTTTATTTTGAGAACTTCAGGGAGGTAAATATTTGATTTTAGAGAGTTAAGATGGTCCAAGGATTTTCAAATGTCTCATCAGGTCAGCCAATATTTATTCTGGCCATTAAAAAAAAAGAGAGAGAGAAAAATCTCTTGAGCTTTTCTTTTTTGTAACACATTTAAAATTAGTTTTAGAAAAGTATTTTGTAAATAGGTTCTAAAGGGTTTTAACACATTTTTTAATATTTTACATTTATTTACATCTATGTGTGTATATAGAATATAATATATAAATTAAATATATATATATATATGTATATTTTTTTTTGTTTTTTTTGAGACAGAGTCTCGCTCTGTCACCAGGCTGGAGTGCAATGGCGCAATCTCGGCTCACTGCAACCTCCGCCTTCTGGAATCAAGTGATTCTCCTGCCTCAGCCTCCCCATTAGCTGGGAACACAGGCGTGCGCTACCACGCCCAGCTAATTTTTGTATTTTTAGTAGAGACAGAGTTTCACCATGTTGGCCAGGATGGTCTCAATCTTTTGACTTCGTGATCCACCCACCTTGGCCTCCCAAAGTGTGTGTGTGTATATAAATGGTGTAGGAAAAGCTATATATATATATATATATATATATACACACACACACACATACGTGTATATATATATATACGTGTATATATATATACACGTATATATATGTATATACACGTATATATGTATATACACGTATATATGTATATACACACGTATATATGTATATATACACGTATATATATACACACACATATATATACACATATATATACACATATATACACATATATATACACATATATACACATATATATACACACACATATATACACATATATATACACATATATATATATATACACACACACATATATATATATATATAGAGAGAGAGAGAGAGGGAGACTTAAAAAACAGAGAACATGGCCAGGCATGGTGGCTCATGCCTGTAATCCCAGCACTTTGGGAGGCCGAGGCGGGAGGATCAGGAGGTCAGGAGATCGAGACCATCCTGGCTAACACAGCGAAACCCCGTCTCTACTAAAAATATAAAAAATTAGCCGGGCGTGGTGGCGGGCGCCTGTAGTCCCAGCTACTCGGGAGGCTGAGGCAGGAGAATGGCGTGAACCCGGGAGGCGGAGCTTGCAGTGAGCCGAGATCGCGCCACCGCACTCCAGCCTGGGCGACAGAGCGAGACTCCATCTCAAAAAAAAAGCGGAGAACATAACACATATTTCTAGGGCACACCCGAGTCCTTTCTACAGCTGTTCATGCTACTTTGCTTCCCGCTTTTCTCATCTCCGCTATCTGGAATCCTTCCACCTGCTGGGAAATGACTCAGCACTTTTCTGTAAGACATCCTCACTCCTCCAGCGTGAGGAGTGGTTAGCCTTGCACTGTTCATGCGTTCCTGTCACATGCTGCCTCAGGCTGTCGCTTACTGCAGTATGCCTTATATTCACGCAATTGTGTGCACCTTTGCCTTGTGTTCTCTGGTAGGCATGAAGTTTACCTGGTGCAGGGATCATGCGTTTTACTGCTTGCATTCCTTCCCGTGACATTACCCAACATTGTGACCTGTACCAAACAGCATCTCTGTGAATTCATAGACGTGCCTCCCCTGAAGACGGGGATATGTCCTGAGAAATGTAGTATTAGGCGATTCCATCATTGTGTAAGCATCGTAGAGTTAAGTACTTACACACATCTAGATGGGACAGCCTACTGCACACCTAGGCTAGATGGCATTACTCCTAGGCTACAAACCTGAAGAGGATGTTACTGTACAGAATACTATAGGCAGTTGTAACGCAATGGTAAGAATGCGTGTCTAAACATAATAAAGGCACAGTAAAAATACAGTACAAAAGATAGGAAATGGTACACCCATATAGGGCACTCACCATGAATGCAGCTTGCGGGACTGTGGTTCTGGGCGAGTCCGAGCGTGAGTGGTGAGTGAATGGGAAGGCCTGGGACATTGCTGTGCACTACTGAAGACTTTAGAAACACTCGCCACTTAGGCTGCATTACATTTATTTCCATTTGGTATTTTATTTTATTAATTTTGAGACAGGGTTTCACTCTGTCACCCAGGCTGAGTCCAGTGGCACGATCTCAGCTTACTGCAATCTCTGCCTCAAACAATCCTCCCACCTCAATCTCTGAGTAGCTGGAATCACAGGTATGTGCCACCACACCCGGCTAATTTTTGTATTTTTTGTAGATACTGGGCTTTACCATGTTGTCTAGGCTGGTCTCGTACTCCCAGGCTAAAGCCATCACCCTACCTTGGTCTCCCAAAGTGCTGGGACTACAAGTGTGAGCCACTCTGCTTGGCCAAATGTATTTTAAAATACACTTTTTAAAATAATAAATCAACTTTAGCTTGCTGTAACTTTTTTACTGTATAAACTTCTGAGTTTTAAAAAAGTTTTGACTTTTTGGTAACAACAGCTTAAGACACAATACATTGTATGCTTGTATTAAAATATTTTCTTTCTTTTAACCTTATGTTATAACATTTTAATTTTATTTTTTTAACTTTTAAATTTTTTTCTTAAAAATTAAGACACCACACATACATTAGCCTAGGCCTACACAGGGTCAGGAACATCAACGCCACTGTCTCCCACCTCCACATTTTGTCCCATTGGAAGGTTTTCAGGGGCAGTAACAGGCATGGAGCTGTTTTCTCCTCTGACAACGATGCCTACTTCTGGATACCTCCTGAAGGACCTACCTGATGCTCTTTTACATTAAATTATTTTTAATAAGTAAGAGTACACTTTAAAATAATAACAAAAGGATAGTACAGTAAATAATAAGTCAGTGTCATGGTCATTTAATGTCCTTATCAGGTCTGATGTACTACGCATAGTTGTAGGTTTTGGGCTTTTACACGCCTGGCAGCAGAGTAGGTTTGCTTACACCAGCACACCCCAAACACGTGGGGAATGCTGGGTGCTTCAGGGTCACTAGATGATGGGAAGGTTTCAGCTTCCTTATAATCGTATGGGACCACTGTCCTATATGGGGTCCATCACTGAGCAAAACATCATTATAGAGCATGTTTGACTGCATATCAATTATAAAGATGTGACTGTATTGGTCAAATTAACCATGTGGCATTGTTAAATATTATATCTTGTATCAGCAGGTACATTTGGAAAGGGAGCCACTTATACATATTTCTCTTCAAAACTCTCAGAAAAAGTGTGCTAGCCTTTGCCCTGTCTCATTGTTTCTTCCTAGTTTCCTTTCCATTCTCCATTAAAAGCCCAAGAACACACACGGCAGGGAGAAGCACTTTGGAAGATGAGTGCAGGGCATGTCTGAGGGGCCAGGCACCATAATCCACTTGTATTGTCAGGGAGGTCAAAGGGCCCGGGGACTCACTCGGGATAAGTGTGTGGCATGAAGGCATTGAGGTGCAGTCCTCCAAAGCGAGCCCCACTCAGTAGAGCCATCTCTCCCAGCCCCAGTCAATGCTCCCTCCACCGCCCCCAGTTGCCTTTTGCAGAGGAAGTTGCAGGGCAGGATCCATACATAGCTATTCTATGTAGCCACCTACCCTAGAACAATCCCCTGGAACCCAGTTCAAACTCCCGCTCTGTGAAATTTGCTTGTCAGGTTTATATGGCCTATGACCAGCAGGATTTTCAAGAAGCACGTTTGAAAACCAATTCTGCAGGCTGTGCTGAGTCTCCTACTCTTTGCCATTGTCATCTTTGTCCTTCAATAACGACCTGACTACCCTTCCGATGACTTTACCTTGACTCAAAGACCAGAAAACTTGACACAAAAATGGAAGACATATTGGCAACACGTTGCAACCCATGGTCCTTGCAGAGTTCTATTGGAAAACACACCTCAGCCCTTCTGAACTACCTTTTTCAGCCTTGCTTTTCCATGTCTTTAAAAAAATCAGCATTTTACAGGTAATAAAGAAAACTTATATAATCACTTATTTTAGAGTGTGACTTCAACTGCTTTTACAGGAAAAACCCACCTTTGCAATGTTAGCCTTCAAATTCCATCCCAAGGAGCTTATCTCACCACACTCTTGGGTCCCTTCAGACATGGTTAAATTGAGTATCTGAAAGCTACTTGCAATTCCTGTAAATACTAAGCTTGATTTCTTGCTTCTTTTGGAAGAGGCTGTCAAAAGCAGAGTTTCTTTATAACCTATCACATGATAGCTACCACAGATCAAGTATCCTCCATGGCAGCCTCTGAGCTAACCCCCTCATCTCAGTTAAACCTTCCTAACAGCATCCTTACAGATGAAGAAACTGAAGTTGGTGTGACTTAAGTATCTCGCCTTAAGGCATCCATCCATTGAAGTTGCCTTCTTGGTCTAAACTTGAGCCTGCCCAGTTCAAAAGGCTGGGTTCTTTCAGCCTAGATCTACCACTTACGGAGGTTTTTATATATAACGTATTTTAATTACTTGTGTTCTTGTTATCATAGATGTATTTTAAGAGAATAGAACCTGCTTTTCTAAAGCTCAAGTACTTTTTTATAACAGCCACTTAATTGGACACAATACTCAGACATGTCAGTTTTTATATAGCTAAAAACTGAAATAAAACTGCACATTAAAAATGTATTTTGCCAATTTTCTGCAATGAAGGTGTATCATTTTTTAAAATTAGAGAAAGGAAAGCATTGTTTCAAAATAACATATTTGGATTCAATCAATATGGTAACATTATCAGTGACATTCTGGGTGCTGGGCTGATCATGCGTGTGTATTAAATCTGGTTTATTTTAAGCCGCAACTCTGAGGTAGACGACATTTGCCTGATATTTTAAATGAAGAGGCTGTGGCTGGAAATGTTAAGTAACATGTTCAAACAGGCACTATGTGCTGGAGCCGGGACTTAAACCAGGCCTTCTCTCTAAGTGCAGCCCCCTTTCACTATATTCCTGACTCTCAGACCTGCGTACACATAGGGAGGATCTCGTGAAGATGCAGATTTTGATTCACTGGACCTGAACAGAGACCTGAGGTTTCTCATGTCCTCGGAGTTGTCAGGCAGCTGCTGGTCTTTAAGTAGCAAGGTACTATGCACATTGCTATAATAAAACTTTTCAGATATCTAGCCATTTCTTATTTTTGCAACAGTACTTTCTGATTCTCTAGAATATTCTCTGTAGTTTCAGGGAGCAAAGAGGTACCCATGTTATTGATTAGGCAACTAGGACTTCTTCCGTGAAAGTCAGTTTTCTAAGTTTCAACAAGTGAGAGGTAATAAAATACAGTCAATCAAATGCAACCCTTGAATTCCCTAGGCTCAAACTATTTGCTTCAAACTCCCCGGTCTACCTGACAGAGCTACTAAGAGAAGTAACTGAAGTAATGCAGATAAAGCATAGGGAAGTCTTAGAACTATTCCTAGCACATAGTAAGCAGTAAATACATGTCAGTGTTGATTATTGATAGTACGTTGAGTACGAAACAGTAGACTCAAGTTAATGAAATCACACTGTACAAGTTGCACAGAATGACAGAGCACAACCTATGAAAACAACTCAATATTTTATTGACAAATAACTCTACAGGAGTCAATGGTGCAACGTGGCTGCATAGACACCAAAGTGACTTTCAGTTCTATTTAAAGAAGCACATCACTGTGGGCACAGCTCAGGAGACAATTGAGGGGCTTCACTTCAAGAAATATAGTTAAACTCATGCTTTCCACAGAAAAATAACCATTCTGGTGAAGTGATATAAAATTAATTATTCTGCTAACATTACCTGGGCCCCAGACTGAATACACTCCCAACACTGCACAAGTTGCTAGGATACAAAAACCAAGCAGGTGCAATCCTTAATTTAAGCATCTTGGAAATATCATTGAAGAACCTAAAATATTTAATTTGGAGAAGTCATCAGAGATGAGTAGGGACATCTGATTGATTGGTGCCTGCCAAAGTTGCAAAAGGAGAAAGTGATAGACCCATGAAACTCAGTCTTTATGTCTTAAGGAGTTGAGTTAGGGCCTGTCGTGTAAGATGTCACTATTCCAGTTAATTGAACTATGAAAATAATAAGCACCTATTGGAATAAATTTAGTCCATACAGAAGACTCTAAAGAACACACTGTTACAACTAGTGTCAATAATTTTGATTTGTTTCATCAACATTATTGATACATTCATGTTTTTAAGGTAAAATTGTAATGGCTTAGAGTTTCCAACCATGAGTATACAGTGTGTTTCAACATACTGAATTCTCAGAGTCTTCATAGTAAAAGGTGGCAAAGGTATTGGATTGAGGGTTGGAAATAAATGAACATAACAGATCTCCCTTAGATCTTAGCTCCAAGGATCTTCATATACACTTTCCATTAGAGGTAACAGCAAAAGCAATTCTATGGATCTTAAACAAACGTATCAATAAAAGTGTTCACAGGTATTTGAAATGGAATGAGAGGTTTGAGAAACTCTCTTGGAGCAGGTGGCTGTTAGAGACTCTGAGCATGGGAAATACTAAAAAATAATGTAGAAGGAGTTTTATGGGAATTCTCAACAACTCAAGCCCTCAACTTGGAAATCTGATGGTAGGTAATGCCATCCTTGTCATAATTGGATTCTGAATGAAAACAGAAATTAGAGTTGTCTGAAATTGAGTTGCAAAGTAGAACAATTTGTGTTAGGATTATCACAAACTATTATTGAGTAAGGCATTAGTTAATGATGCTTCATTCCTGGATATTTTGCTTTACTCCTTCTCGTTGCAACAGAAAAGAGAGGTATACAGATCCAGCTTTGAATCTCCAACAATATCGTGAATAAAATTTAACCCTGATAATTAAAATTGAATCAAGTGCTTCATTGTAGAGACCTTTTGTATTAATATTTGTAGGTTTTGAATGAATATTTGTAGCTTACCCAAAGGCACATGTTAGTTTAAAAAAGGTTGTTAAAGTTTGCATTCGGTTAATTAAAAAAGAACAAATAGCTAGAAATAAATGTGATTACTACTGCATTTCACGTTCATTAGTATTAAATAGCTTTAATAAGCATGCGCACTTCAAAAGTCCCCTTTCTAATGTTTGTGAAGTCAATACCTTGAATTGTATCAAAAGGCTTTTCAAGTAATACAAAGCTATTTAGTATTCATAACGAGGTTTTCCTTTTCCACTAGGACAAAATAAGTGACTATTTTTAAGTCCACACAGTAGACTACCTTTCACACGTTTGTATATGTAATTCCCTCAAATTTACATGTTCTCTCCCACCAAACACTAAATTTAATACTGTGCAATTTAGACCCATACAGACACTTGGATCTGACTCATTCTGATCGCTTTTGAGAATTGGGTGTTCAAAAATAAATTATGAGTAAAACACAATTTTCACCTTTCATTATAGAATTGTGAAAAAAAGGCAAAGATTTTTGTTTTGTTTGCTTTAGAAGGTACAGTTCTTTTAACATTGTATAAAGATATCTTGGGATTTGTTTTAGATACCTTTTAGGAGAATGCGTTGCATTTTAAAGAATTTTAAACTGTGTACTTTGTCCATTTCACACATGTGACTCCCTTTGGCTGTAGTTCACAATATTCTAGTGGAAATGAGAACCTTTATTACTTGTATTCTAAGTACATAGCTTAGTATATTGCTCATATACTTTTTAAAGATCTCTGAGCATGTGGATAAGGTTTGAAACTCACAGTTATAAAGGCAGCTATTGCAATTTCACAGACTTGAAACATGCAATTCAGATTTTAATGCTGTTACATTACTATGGCTGTTAATGACTTGAGTGGGGCCAACTCATCTTGTACTCTTGCCTCTGGTCCTCCAGCTGTACTCACCATCCCTGGTCGTTCTCACTCTTGCCTCTTTTTCTTGCATCTGCTGATCCTTCAGTTCCCTCTTCACATATCTCCTCTCACACATCTCAGTTCCAGAGTCAAGGTACCCAAGAAAGCCCAGAAACCATCCTCCTTAATACAACCTCGTCTCCCAACTGGCTGTGTTCAGCAACTCCTCTGACCTCATCTGTGTATCCAGCTACCTCGTTGTATGACACATACTGAAATCACCAACCAGCCTTCCTTTCCTGGCTGGAGGACAAGTGCAAGTCTAATTCATAGCTCCGCTGTCTGCTAACTATACTGCTTTTGGCTTTGCCTTAAAATAAGGAGAATTAGAAACTCTCTGGCCATGATTCCTGATCTGCAAAATTATCAGTTTGAGGAATATCCTACTGGGATGTTGTAAGCATGAGTTAGGTGGCATTTGTTGGGTTCTCTTATTGAGTTCCCTTTCATAACTGTCTGAACATCTTCTCGAACTCTTTGTTGTAAATTGAAAACATTTCTTCTGTCATACTGTTCATAAGCCACACTTTTTTAAACACTGAGATAAATATAGAATTCTTAAAAGAATATTTAATCTCGACTTATATATGGGATACTTTTTCTTCCGAAAAGTTTCACAGGTATAGACACATATAGACATTTTCATTCACTTACTTACAGAATCTCTACTAGTTCCCAGGAAATGAGTGACATGTTCTATTGGGCCTACACAGATTCTTGTAGGAAACAAAATTGGAGAGCCCGATGCAGGCCCTTCTTCATCAAACTCTTGCCTTTTATCTTCCCTAGGTCCTGCGATTGTTCATGTATGGTACAGCATGGTCACTCATGGTGCCCCTTCCCCATGCTTATTTGCTGTTCAGTTGAATCAAAGAGGTTTGGTGAGCAAGATTTGGTGACAAGATGGCAGCATAATTTTAACTATTCACGTAATATACTTTGGGAATTAGTATCTAGTCTTTCTGCTGAATGAGCTGTTCTTTGTAAAGAAGATATGTGTAGAGAAATAAGTTGATATGCACGTGTATTTATACATATGTGTGTAAGTCTGTGTATAAAGCCTTACAATAACTTCGGTAAAAGAAACTGGATCTTTTGCCATACCATCATGGCAAATTTTGCTATAAATGTTAAAACTATCCTTTTTTTTCTTTTTAGGTGATTCCCTGTTCTTAGAAAGAAAAGGACCACATTGCCGTTCAATAGCATTAGACAGAAAGTGAGCCCATCGTGAAGATATTTGAAGATCCAGAAACTACAAGACAAATGAAGCCAATCACAAATGCCAGATGCTGGTGACTAACTGGTCGTATATTTCCACATTTATAGGCGAACATGATTTCTTTCCAAACATGACTGCTATGTGGGAGTGGAGGAATGGTTCTAAATCCATTCTAAGATAATCTGGCCTCTGAAATTTGTTTTTTGTTTATTTGTTCTTTGGTGGAAGAGCTATATTTTTAAAAGTCAACTTTATTGAGAAATAATTCACATAAAATAAAATGCATACACAATTTGAGTGTACAGTTTGGTAAATTTTGACAAATGCATACATTTGCAATAATGGTCACTTTGAACATGATACAAAACATTTTCATCACCCCAGAAAATTTCCTCTTGACCTTTTGCAGTCAACCCTCCTCTGCCCTTTAGAACCAATGATTTCATTTCTATCTTAATATCAGTATTAAGGATCGATGGATTTTGCCTATTGCAGAACTTCACATTAATGGAATCATAACATATACACTCCCTGGGGTCCGAATTCTTTGGATCAATATCATGTTTTAGAGATTCATTGGTTTGTAACACAAATCATTTGTTCTTCTTTATATTGCCAAGTTGTGTGACTATGCCACAGTCTGTTTATCTATTCACCTGTTGGTGTATGAAGTTATTTTAGTTTTTTTATGATAATGCATAAAATTAGTATGAACATTTATGTACTAGTCTTTTTGTGAATGTATGCTTTTATTTACCCAGGATAAATATTTAGTAGTGGAATTATTGGGTCATATTGTAAATGTAGCAGTTAGATTCCTTAAGACTGTTCCCAAGATCCCCTGACTCCTGGTTTACACACCCTATATAACCATTTTCTTTTGACTGTGGGTAGGACTTCTCGATGAATGTTATT
Source organism: Homo sapiens (assembly GCF_000001405.40). Classification (NCBI taxonomy): domain Eukaryota; kingdom Metazoa; phylum Chordata; class Mammalia; order Primates; family Hominidae; genus Homo; species Homo sapiens. Next base: position 5,875,622 of record NC_000002.12, on the reverse strand, counting down.
CCTATGATTAGTTAACAAAGATGCAGAGATTTGTGGCTGTAATTAGCATTCCCAATCTGTTGACTTTAAGTTAATTAATAGGGAGATTGTTCTAGGTGAACCTAACCTAATCAATTGAGCTTTTTAAAAGAGGCTCTAAAGGTGAGAGATTCCCCTGTTGTCCTTGAAGAAGCAAGCTGCAAGGAAACGAAATTTCTCATAACAACCACATGAGCTTAGAAGAGCACCATGAGCCTCAGATGAGTCCTCAGCCCTAATCCACACCTTGATTGAAGTCTGTGAGCAAAGGACCCAGATAAGCATTGCCTGGACTCCTAATCCAGGGAAACTGTGAGGTAATAAATGTGAGTGGTTTTAAGCTGCTAGATTTGCAGTAATTTGTTACATAGTAATTTGTAAAAATGAATATAATAAGTGTATGCATAACTTTACAAAACACTGCCAATTCTTATTTTCAAATATGGCTTACCATTTTACATTTCCAAGTTCAATATATCAGAGTTCCAGTTGCTCCATATGCCTGACAAGACTTGATGGGTATGTCCTTTCAATTTCTCCATGCAAGTGAGTATATTCTGGCATCTCATTGTGGTTTTAAGTTGTATTTTCCTAAAAACGAATGACATAAAGTAGAGTTTCTTAGGCTTCTTGTACGTTGGTGTATCTTCTTTTATGAAGTGTCTGTTTAAGTCTTATGCCCATTTTTGTTGAAGTTTTCTCTCAAAATTGATTTCTACAAATGCTTTATGTAATCTTGATATTAACCCTTTTCCAATTATTCAGATTGAAAGTATTTTCTCCCATTCGATGACTTGTCTTTTTATATTTTCAACAGTGTCTTTTGAAAATCAGAGGACTTTATCTTTGAATAAGATAAATTTATATATTTTTAATTTGTATGGTTTTTTTTTTTGTTCTGTCTAAGAAGTCTTTGCCTACTTTAAAATTGCAGAATGTTTTCTGCTAGAATTTTTAGACTTTTAGTTTCTCCATTTAGGCCTAGGATCCAAGTAAGTCTTTAAATCAGTTAGTGTAAGTATTCCAACTTTCCCAACTCTTCAAGATATTTTGGATATTGTACATACTTTGCATTTCCATATGAATTCTAAAAACAGCTTACCAATTACTCTGAAAAGCCTGCTGAAATTTTTATTAGAAACATAATGAATCTATGAATCAATTTGGAGAAATGGATATCTTAGCATTACATATTTCATTTTATGAACATTGTCTGTCTTTTTACTTATTTAGACATTTTCTATCATTTCGTAGTAATGTTTTCTAGTCATTTTTACAGAGGTCTTGCACATCAGTCATAAAATTTATTTCTAAGTATTAGTGAGGCTCTTACAGATGATATTTTATAAAAGTATTTTTCCACTGTTTATGTTTTATATATTAATCATTATCTTACAGCCTTGCCAAATTCATTTATTCATCCTACTAGTTTTTTTTTAATATTCCTTAGAGTGTTCTACATAGATAATCATGCCCTTTGTGAAAAGCAACAGTTTTACCTCTTCCTTCCCAATTATTATCCCTTTATTTATTTTTCTTGCATTATCACTCTAGCTACGACCTCTTGCAATATTGAATAGAAGTGGTGAAAGTTGATACCCATGTTTTACTCCCAACCTCAGGAAGAAAGCATCCAGTCTTTTATCATTAAGTGTAATATTAGCTATAGGATTTATAAATACTTTTTTGTAGTTTGATGACGTTTTATTCTTCTTTGCTGAGAGTTTATTTTTTAAATGAATAAATAGACTCAGATTTTAATGCTGAATTTTAATAGATAATAAGGTTTGGCTGTATCCCCACCAACATCTCACCTTGAATTGTAGCTCCCATAATCCCCACGTGTTGTGGGAGGACTCAGTGAGAGGTAATTGAATCATGAGGTTGGGTCTTTCTCATGCTGTTCTCATGATTGTGATTAAATCTCATGAGATCTGATGGTTTTATAAAGATAATTTCTGCATGCGCTGTCTTTGCCTGCTGCCACATAAGACATGACTTTGCTTCTCCTTCACCTTCTGCCATGATTTTGAGGCCTCCCAAGCCATGTGGAACTGTGAGTCAATTAAACCTCTTTCCTTTATAAATTACCCAGTCTTGGGTATGTCTTTATTGGCAGGATGAGCGTGGACTAATACAATGCATATGGAGAACTTTTGCAATTAAAGATTAGAAATAATAATCTGTAATTTGTCCATTCCAGTGTGTGTGGCCAAGCTGTAGTTCACTTGTTCATTTACAGAATAATTCCCAATATCATCATGGCAACATTGATCTCTTCCTTTACCATTGTATTAGTCATCTAGGGCTGCTTTAATAAAATATCACAGAGTAGGTGCCTTAAGGAAAAAAAATCACTTCTCACAGTTCTAGGGGCTAGAAGTATAAGAAGAGTGTGACAGCAGGGTTGGATTCTGGTGAGGTCTCTCTCTTTGGCTTGCCGATGGCTGCCCTCCTGTTCTGTCCTCACATGACCTTTCCTCTGTGCATGACTGGTGTCTTTCTCTTCTTATAAGGATACCATGTATGGATTTTGAGGGAAAAAAATCCAATCTATATCAACCACCCCCAAAATATCTTGATGCAACTCAGAGAGTATGTTCATCCACACACACACTCAATTGTATGACTCCAATGAGAAAACCAAAGGAAAAGTAGTCTGTCTATAAACATTCGTCTTATCCACGTGTGATAAGATTGTAATAATGGATATACCTCTATTTCTTTGAAACTAAGGTGTTGCTGACTCTAAGTTATGTTTCAGTTTCAGAAATAAGAAGATGGGGTAGGGAGAGTGTATTTGGGAATCAATGAAAAACAGCATTCTTACGCAAGTGCCTTTCAGATTTGGGATATTAATAGATCCATAAATTCAAGACAAAACAAAAATTGATCATCACCCCACATTCAGGATATTTAAGCATTAAAACATAGGAAAGATCACTCTAAAAATAAATAGTAGTTCTTCCAACTAAGGAACACACATATGTATCTAAATTTATTTACATTTACAGAACAGTGCCAGCTGAGAGAATAGAATTTGGGAATCCCTTCTACAGAAAATGAAGAACTGAGATTTAAAGATCAAAGACACTAGGAAGGAGAGGAAAATGTGCTCACTGCAGTAAAACAGACTTGATCAATCTTTTGACTGTTTTATCAACTAAGGAAGGTGCAATGACGATGTGTCAGCTTTGGATGAACATTAAATTAGCAGAATTACTTCCAACATTCTGTCCATTACATGATCATAGGCCATGATAACAAAGAAGCAAGACTTATAGCAGCCAAAAGTAGAAATTAAGGTTCTGCAGAGATGTATCTGAGGTGGAATTTTTAGCCACTTCCACGATTCCAAGTGGAGAGGAAATTCCAGGGAAAGCCAGAGGGCTGGACTAGAAACAGGTGCATTTGTGAAGAAAAGAAAAAAGACATCAATTATTGTGTGTGCAAAATGTATGTTTTGCAGCCTCAGGTCACCTGGGAGTTCTCATTTATGTGGGCACTGTAGTAATTGACACTTTACATTTTTTTCACACAGTAATTCCATTAATTAGATATCTCTATATAACTTTATGCATAGAGTGCTGATTTAATATCATAGATTTCAAGTACTGCAGGTAATGAAGATACAAACCAGGCAACACTATACCATTCAACTCATTACTTGGAGGAATTTATAAAAATATGCTTAGAAGGAAGTAATTCACCTATAAAAAATTTATAACATTTACTGGGTCAACAGATTCCTATCATAGCAAGTTGAATCTACATTCATTAACTTGGTTCATTTCTGAAAATAATTGTCTTAGCCTCTTGCAAGCTCAAGAGCACATGAGTTCTCACCATTCCAGAGCAACTGTGTCTTGGCAGAAGCACCTGCAGGAGGGGGCACTGTGCTTAAGGAGGACACAGCCGGGGGAGAGAGGTTGGAATTGGCCTTAAACCTGAAATTCTTTCTCCCAGGCATTGATCGCTATTTGCTCACTGTCACAGACTTAGAGCTGCATGTATTTTGCCTTTGATCCTGAGAAATCCTAACAAGCTGAATTAAAAGCAAGTGGTCCTAGGAAGCCTCCATCACTGGTGTCCTGAACACCTGAAAGCAAAAAACCAAATAGCATGATGGGTCTCCAATTCAACAGCCACAGCCTGGGGCAAAAATACAAAAGCCCCATCTGCAGTAGGAATGCGGAGGACGCCTTCTTCACCTTTGTTCATTCCACCCAGGTAGGGCATTTACCGGGGCAGGATGATAAGCCAGGCACTGCAGGTAAGTAAAGACAAAGGAACTCCTAATGTAGACTCTTGGAAGCATCTCTCTGTTACCTTGGAAGGTTACTTAACTTCTCTGTGCCTCAAGTCGCTCATGAGAAAAATAGACATTATTATAGTGATCCACCTGATATGTTTGTGTGAGTGAGATGCATTAACTACTTGGCATATAGTACTCACAAATACTAAACGTAAATAAAATATTTAACATAGACATCAGCTATCATTATCACTGTCATCTTCATCACGTAATCCTATCAAAGATGTAATTGCCGTATTGTTATTATTTCCACTTTTCCAATGAGGAAATTAGGCAGCTTATTCAGAATCACAGAGGTCGTTAGGTGGCTGAAGCCAGTTTTTGTGTTCTCAGGTTTTTTCTACTACAGCCGTCTGGGGAAGGGGGAATGGGGAATGTTAGAGACAGAAACTGAGAGTAGAAAAGGAACTTCACGTGCATGCCAGGTACTTTACTTGTGTTACTCTATTTGATTCTCACAATACGCACATGGTCAGGCAGTGGCTGGATTTTAAGGTTTTGGAACTTGAGAGTAAGCAAGGCTACTTAATTTTCTTGCCATGGTAACAAAATTATATCAAATGGCTGAGAAAGACTTGAGCTCAGATGTGTCTAAAAGTAAAGATTATGCTTTTCTTTGACAGAAACAGAGTGAAGTTGAGATGTGACTGGTTAAGGCAGAGTTGGAGTGAAGGGTCAGAGCTATCCTGGAAAAAACATGACTGGCTTTACACTAACTTCAGTCACGCTATGGGACCTTTGGAGAGCACCGGCTCACATTCTAGCCTTGAGTCCTAGAGCTGCAGATCTTTCCCGAGACTTGGCCTGACACTGAAGGTCTAGAACAGAAACGAGAAACTCTAGCTTTCCAGATCACTTGCCTTTCCTTGCAGGAAGTATGAAGCTCTCCCCAGCCAGATCCTCGACTATTTCAGCACAACCATGATAACGCTATTGCAGGTTGCATTTTTGTGAGTTTGTAAATGCAAGACTGAAAAAAAAAAAAAAAGAACATAAACTCTGAACCGAGTCATTGAAATTGAATGTGTGAGGGAATTCTTGCCTGTAAGATGAAGGCAAGCTGGTTGGCCTTCACAGAAATGGCCGTACCCAAAAGCTGATCCGAAAAGCAGCATAGGATGTGGCCACAGGGTGAACTATACTTGGATTCTCACTGGAGCAGCTGTTGAGGGGCCGTGCACAGGAATGTCAGAGTGTGGGGGCCGCAGTGGCAATATGTCATGCGGCTCACATTCTAGCTGATCTCACAACAACTCTGAAGTCTGGTGAAGTTGGTGAGAGCTCCCAACTTCGCAGGCCTGGTGGACTGGGTTGTCTTAAATATTGCGCTCCCTGCAAAGCATGTATTTCTGCAACACTCAGATGGAATGAAAGTGATTTGAGAGATGATAAAGCATTAGTGTCCAAGTGAACTCCAGAGCATTAGTGTCCAAGTGAACCCTCCCTATGGCAAAGCTGAGGAAATAGCCCCGAGAGACAGAGGATAACAGGCTTGGGGTCACCAGTAGAGAAGCAAAGACGATCTTTCAGCTCAGATCCCAAATCCAGGCAGCTGTGTGGTTTTGGTTTGTTTCACAGTGCCACAGAAAATCTGAAACCCTCTGTATAACTGAGTGGATAGATGGGCAAGCAAACAGGACATCCAATTGTTCTGCAGATAAGGTGCAGGTGCCTCAGGACAGGTGGGCGTCAGTGAGGAAGAAGGAGGCTCTATCACAAATTGAGTTTAGAAGCTCTGGGCTTCATTTTTCCTAATCTGGACAAGCCACTCTCCTTCTCCGGGCCTCACTTCTTAAATCTTTAAAACGCAAGAAAGCAAAGAAATTTACAGCTCTGTGATTCCTAGTGTCCTATTTTAAAAACTTCTCTACCTCTCTAAAAAGATGAAAGGAAATATGGACAGAGTAAGGGACAGGAGAAGAGAGAATGTGTGAAGAAGAAAGAGAGATTCTGGCTTCAACAGCTACCAGTGTCGTGTTTCCCTTTTCTCTGAAAGCCAAGAGACCTTCAAATGCTTGCTTATTCCGGGGTAAGACATCCCCAGAGGCAACCACGCCTGGGGATTTTCCAGGGATCAGGAGCAATTAAAAGACACATAGCTTTCCATTTCCAGCAGGCCGCTTCCAGGGCAATCCCCGGAAGGCCTGGGAGGACACCGATACAAGAATGCAGTTGCACCCTTCCTCGAAGGAAGTGTCAGGGCCTGAGACCACAGCTGTGTCCCCACCCTCTTTTAGTCCTCTGCATAGTCTCATGGCCCTGGGACCTGTTGGGCATTCCTGGGTGTGGGCACAGATGCCTCTGACCACCACCCGGCAAGAAGTCTCTTGGGAAGAGTGTCCTACCCTATTTATAGCTGTTCCTCAGTTACTTTATTTTACCGTAGGCCACACAAAAAGCTTTGATCATAAGACGCTTCCGGGTAGCCTACTATTCCATGAGCCTGTAGACCAGACAGGGTAGAAAGCTCCCTGTGCCACTGTGTCCGGCTGATACTGCAGTCACAGATGTCTCCACCTCCTTTCTCACCACTTGGGCAGAAGATAAGTCAACACGAGGTCCCTGGGACTCCTTGACTGGCTGGCCCCTGCCCTATGTCCACTTATGTCCACACAGGCCATGATACTGTAAAGTCAGCGGTCCTTTCTGTAGTCCTGGGGTCTTCATGAGCCTTGGCACTTCCTCGTCTCTGCTGCCACATGCATCCTGCTCAGAGCAGCCCACACACAGGAAGAAAGCACAGGGCCAGGCCACATGGCGTCTCTCACAAGTGGGCAAACTTGACTTTTTATTGGTTAGAGTTGGTTGGCACCAGTTCTGACTTCAGTGAATATCTGGAAAGACTTAGATTACAGCTCAGCCTTGCCTTTCAGAAGGAGGTGGAGTGGGGTTTCAAAGACAGTCCTACAGGGCTCCATGCCTCCCCTGTTTTCTGCAGAGCACAACACCTCTGCAGCTCACTAGACCCCTCCATAGGGTTGCAGAAAGACCTAGATTACAGTTCTGAGGGTGAAATCAGATAACCAGCCTCAAGAACTAGGGCAAAACACAAGAATTTTGGGTGAGTTTCTGCATTTGTAAGTTGAAAGGAATTCTAACTAGATGATCCCAAGGACTCTCTGAGGACAGAAATCCCAGGATTCAATAAACTCTACTGTGCTGAGAATTCAGTAAGTGTAAAACACAGTTCTTATAAAAGATAGAGGCAAGAAGGTAGTTTTCATAAAAAAGAGGAGGTAATGATGATTTCTGTTTTCTAGAATCCAAACTGACCTTATTTGGAGCCAATGGTAACTTAAGTTGTAAGACTTTTAACAGATGCAAACAATTTGTCCTTGAATCTGGGGTTGCTCTGTATGGTGACAACTCTGGTGCTTTTCTATGTGAGGGATTAAAAAAACCTGAGTAACAGAGTGTCCAAAGTCGGGTGTTTGTATCTAATAGAAAGCTCTTGGCATTGTGTTCTGAGTCAGATCTCAAAGGCAATAGCAGGCCTGGCAGTAGGCACCATGGAAGCAGGCACTGGCCTTGTGAACTTCACCTTGTAGGATTACCCTAGCCTGTTTCTGTGGTCAGCTGTTCTAGAGTCATCACAACTGGTCTAGAGGTGTCAAAGATGCAGAATGAAGGGAAAGGAAGTCTTCATGAAGCCTAACGTTGAGGAGTGAGATGATAAGCAGACTATTTGGGAAAACTGGTATTATGCCAGTATCAGTAAAAAGGTTGCAATTGGTCTAGAAAGACCTAGAAACAAGATGGTTTTCACAGTGCACAACGAAATCTGATTCTAGCTCTATTACCTCAACCAGCTGTCTGACATTGGGGATGCTAGTCCCACTGTCTGGACCTCTGCAGCTTGGTCTGTATGATGCGGAATGGGGCTAACATGGCCTCAGCAGTTGCTTCAGCTTTGCCGTCCTGCCCTTCTCTGGCACAGACTCCCAGGGGCAGCCAGGGTTCTCACAGCCACCAGACACTGCACCCTCCTCGCTGCCTCCCACGCAGCAGATGGGGCTGCTAGATGAGAGCATGAGCAGGGCAGCAGCCGGAAGCATACACGCCCATTGGATTTCAGCTATTTCCATGCCCTGGTTCTGCCCACACAGGCCGCCTTGGCAGAAGTGTCGAGTCTGCAGCTGCTGCCCAGAGCACTTGTGGAGCCTGGTCAGCAGCCCCACCCTGCTGGAGTCCAGAGACGGACACCTAGGCAGCCCACACTGTTGTCTAGAACAGGGGCAAAGAGTCTCACCACAAAGATGGCCCGGCAGCCCAGCCCATCACATATAATGAAAAGATCACCCCTGGGAGTGTCCAGTAAACATTTAATGAAGGCAATCCCCTCTCGGCATGAGGATTTTTGGCTTTCTGAAATTGGACATTGGTGATGCTTTGAATCGGAATGCAGGGAAATGAAGACAGTAACTAAGCCTTCTTCATCCTTCTCCACCGTCCAGCAAAGACAACAGTTTGTCCTCAGAGTATATGGCAGGAGGGAGATGAGCCAACATCGAGAGCCCCACTTAATGACAAGTAAATCTTGTTCTGTACTGCCATGCTACTTTCTTTAATACTGATGTGGACCACCTATAGAGTGTTCTATAAAGCAGTAACTGCTTGCAGAACGTTGTTGACGCTCATGCACTTATGGCTCATAACAACCCTAGGAAGTCCTATTATCACTTCTGTTTTACTTATGATGAAACTGAGACATGTGATTTGCCCAAGGTCAGAGAGGTGGTAAGAGGTAGTGTTAGAAGGCAACGCCAGGACTCTGACTCGAGGTCCTTCTGAGTCCAGGCTATTCTGCACTGATCCACAGCTAGCTAGCTGGCAATCTGCAGTCATAGACACTGGAGCAAAGCTAGCAGAAAAGGAAGAGGCCAAACCAACAGAATGACAGGTTCTCCCGCATAGATTTCTCCACCAGAGTGTAGGATTTCCTCCAGTGTCCTGGATCTAAAGGTTATCAGGAGATGTATATTGACCCTAGCAGTCAGGACCTGTACCTGCATAACCTTCTGGGGGAAGAGCAGCTTAAGAAGGAAGAGAGCTCACAGAATCCTTGCTGTACCCAGCAGGGTAGAGGCAGGTCCTCTCGACTCTGCTCCCAGGGCACCCTCCCCTGCCATCTCCCATGAAGCAACTCAGCACTTGCTTTCAGAGTTATTTGTCTTCTCATCAGATTGTGAGCTCCTTGGGTGCCTCTTCTTATATCCTAAGAACATAACCCAATGCCTGGGACATAGCAGGTACTCAAGAAACATCGGTGCAATGAGTCAACAAACTAAAAAAAAGGTTGACTTTTTTCTCGAGAGTCCAGGCTCCCAGGGAGATAATAGAGGCAGAAACCCCTCAGTAGGCCTTTGTTATAGTTGAGTTGGTGTCTCTTGAGGCAGAATAAAGGGAAAAATTATTGAAGGTAATTGTTGAGTCAAAAAGGCAATTACATGAGGAGTATTGCATAAATATGTACACATGACTGGACATGCAAATGTTCTCAATCTAGAAAGTGCCATAGCTGTTTTTTCCTTAATCTCCTCCTTGTTAATGCAAAGCACTTGACAAAGATTAATAAAACACAACACTTTCTTCCCAGGGAATTTACATTAAAGTAGGGGAGAGACACACACATGAATAAGCAATGTAAGGAGGCCAAGAAGCTGGTCGGAGAAAGTGCGGAAAGGGATGGCATTTACCGGCTTTGATTTGGCCAGTCTTGTGGCTCCGAATATGGGACAGAAGCTTTGGTGTGGAGGGAGCTAATACCCCCTGCCTCTGGGGGAAATTAGCACATAGAACCAGAAACACTCAATGTTCAGAGAGCAGACTTTCTCATATTGGGATATAGTGGATACCAGGTATCCATGCTGGCTTGGAGAGCACTGACTTTTTATTCTGCAGAATTCTCACAGAAGAACAAGAGTTGAGTCGGACACCATATCTTCCAATGGGAGTCCCTTTTGCCAACCCTGAGCTTTGCAGCGGAGAAGATAAAAGGCATGTTATGCTGTAGGACTATTGGTGACCTGAGCATAGGATGAGCCCTTATAGGAATACTTCACCCCTGGGAGGAGCACACAGAGGCTAGCTGGCCTTCCCAGGGGCCTGGAAACATTTGCCTGGACATGGTTGCCAATCAGCATAACTTAACCCCTTTAGTAAATGGATTTGTTTAGTGTTGAGATTGCCAAGTTGGGTCACTTTAGAAAATATTAGAGATAAGGGAGGTAGCAGCAGAAAATGTCCAAAGTCAAATGCTTGTCTGATAAATGCCTACTGCTGCTAATTTTCTTGAGTCAACCAAAACAATGTGACCTGTGTAAATTCCTGAGCATGGGGAACAGGAATCTTCATGACTGTAACCCTGGCTCCGTCTCTCTTCCCCCCGTGCAGGCTCCTGTGTCTTCTGCACCAATCACAGAGTTTTCTGATCATCTTTCATTCCCAGGAAGACCATCTCTTTCTTTCCCTGATAACTTTCTTGCTCCCGTGCAAGCTCCGTCATGGATGAGAAGTTAGCATGCTTTCCCACCTCACCTACTCACACTTTTTGACTACCTGCTCCATATTCATTATCTGTATTTGCTTCCTAGGGTTACCATAAAAAATGGCCACAAATTGGATGATGTAAAACAACAGAAAATTACTTTCTCACAGTTCTCAAAGCTAGAAGCACAAAATCAAGATGTCATCAAGCCCATGCTCTCTCTGTCAGCTCTAGGGAGGAACACTTCCTTGCCCCTTTCTGCTCCTGGTGGCTCCCTGTAATCTGGGGTTTTTTTTTGACTTGCATCACTGTAGTCATGTGGCCTTTTCTTCCCTGTGTTTCTTCATATGGCTTTCTCTCTGTGCATATCTGTCTCTGTGTCCAAGTTTCCATTTTTTTTTTTTTTTTTTTTTAAGGATACCAGTTATATTGCATTAGGGCCCATTCTAATGACCTCATTTTAACTTGATCACGTCCATAAAGACGCTGTTTCCAAATAGGGTCATAATCTGATGTACTAGGGGCTAAGACATTAACATATCTCTTTGAAGGTGGACATAATTCAATCTTTAACACTATAAGTCACACACTTTACATAAATGGCTCCCTTTAAATTTTACTACAACCCTGTGAGTTTGATATCATGGTCCTCACTGTACACATGAGGAAACCAAAACTCAGAAAGCTTCAACAACTCTATCAAGCTCAAGCTCTTTGAAGGTGGTGAAGAAGATCATTGAATCTGAGGCATTCCACACTGTCCGGGGAATTCTTATCATTCTTCAAGACTCAATTTAAATGTCGTCTCCTCTATAAACTGTGCTCTGAGTGCTCTGATTGATAACTGACCAGAGTCAGTGACTGGAGTGTACGCTCTTTAGAAAACGTGTGCATCTTACCATTCAATACCCAGCTGAATGAAGTTCAAGAACATCACGATAGCTCCTATCTCCTGACGGTAAGTGATCTTGGCCCAGTGGCCATAAAAGCTAAAAGTGGAGTGATATCAGCATCTTGGAAGATAGTCTGTGTTCATTGCAGTCTCAGCAATGGGCTCAGCAGCCCATATAAAAAAGCTTCTTTGCTTCCAGACCTGAAAAAGTTGGTATCCATTTCAAGGCTCTGCATAGCAAGATGATTAAGGGTAACAAATATTCCTTATGATCAAGTTATTGTCACAATACGTTGCTTTATTGCCACCCCCCCCCACCTTCCACCCTAAGAAGACAAAGTTGTATAGTCAAGAGCAAAAGGAGATGAGAAGACACAATGGACCCATGATAATGGGGTTAAAGAACCGAGTGAAAGCATTAATCGCATGATAAATAAAACTTGAATAGGCTCCTCCCTCACCTGCTCAGACTCTCTTGTGTGTTGTGTGCTACTCATTATTGCTCTTGGCCCCTCCCTTCCCCTGGTAAGTCACCCAGCGGGTGTAGTGTTGTCTTCCATGTGCAGGAGGTCACCTGCTCTGTGAAGGCAAGGCAAGGAAGGGCGGTATCTGGTGGAAAGAGATAAGAATTAAAGATTGAGATACGCTTAATTTCAGGATTGGAGGAGAGAGTTTTCCTGTTTGTTTTGTTTGGAGCTTGTCATTTTTTCTTAATGTGAAAGTATTCACAAGTCAGGACAAAATAGCCTGGGGGAAATTAATCATCTTCTATTTTGTTTCTCACAAGGGGGTCTAGGGACCTCCTATGTCAGAAGCACCTGGGATGTTGTTCTAAATGCAGATTCCCAACTTTCCTGTTTTCCTAAATTGATATGTGTGGGAGAAGGACTTCTCTGTAATACATTCTCTAAATCACTCTTCTTACACCTCATTGGGTTGGTGTAAGAATGCCTTCTTTTGAACTTTACTTCTAACATGATGGAGGAACAGGACAGGCTTTACCCTTTTTCCCTAGACAACTAGAACACTAAACAAAAATATCGTTACAGGACTCCTTCATTGCCACGTCAGCAGCTGGAAATCTCTGTGGCTGCCATGGCCTTTTTCCAGGACTTAGCTCAGGCCCACTGGGGTCACTTTACCAACTTGGTCCTGCAGGCTGCCCTCGGCTTGCCCTCCAGCCAGGATCCCTCACCTGAACAGGGACTCCGTGCTCAGCCTGTGGATGGAGCAGGCATGCTGCAAGCAGCTTCCATGTTGGGAGCCAGTGTTTAGACAAGGGGAACGCAGTGGCATCCGAAAACTCGAAGATGCAACCGCAGAGCCCCAACATATGTTGCAGCCTTTGCTCAGGGAGTCCCAAGGTCTCAGCTCCCAAGGAATGCGGCATCTGTTCACTCCCAAAGCTCCACAAGTGGGACTATGTTACAAGCCCTTTTATTCCTGCCACTCACAGCTTGGCAAACTGAGGGTATGTTACAGCTTATTCATTCCTGCCACCTACAGCTCAGCAAGTTTCCGGTTCTCGTTCGGCAACGAAGAGGAATTAAGGTACGCAGATGTCAGAGTGTGAGTAAGGCAGAGAAGAATTTTATTGAGTGACAGGAGGAAAGCTCTCAAGTGCAAGAAGGGACCCTGAAGGCAAGTTGCCCTCAGCTGCAAGTGGTGGCCCCAAAATGGGTAGCCATCTGTGAGGCTGGTCCAGGGGTTTTTATGGGCTCAGAATGGGAGAGGGCATGCTGATTGGTCCATGGGTGGGCTTGGGAAAAAGCACTATTCAATTGGTTGAAAGGCATGATCCAGAAGGAATCAATTGAGAGAGACGGTAAGATGGGGATAGAAGTTCTCACTTTGGTTGTGGGCTCTATCTGGAACCATCAGCTCGGTTTTCAGGCTTTAAACTGTCTTTGGCTTCAAGGTTGAGTTTCAAGGGGACCTGTTCCTGTCTGCCCAGGAATTTGTCTGTTTCCTGTCCTTATCAATATCTAAAACAGTGATTGACAGACATGGGAAAACAGACTGTGCAGGACTCTGGTCTCTGAGAAGAGGAGCGCAGACAAGGCAGATCCTACAGTAGCAGCAGCTCATTGCTGAGAGTCAGCCTTCAGGCCATGATGCAAAGTGAGAAACCAATACAAAGCTCACAATCCTCCCTTAGCCTCAGATATTGGCCAGACCAATGCAGCCAAAATGTGTGTGGAGCAGAGACACTGGAGAGGAGATAACTATCCGGAAAGAGGAGTCTGGAGATCTACAGCAAGGTTCCCCAAGTCTCTGGCTGGATGATGATCTGTGCATGTGTAGAAGAAAAATTTGGGGGGTTGGAGAAGTCATTTATCTGTGTACAAGGAAAAAACCCAACACTACTTAAAGAAAACAACAAAATGCAGCAATCAACAATGTAAAATTCACTGTGTCAAACACCCACTAAAAATTATCAGGAATGTGAAGAAGCAAGAAATATGACATAACCAGGAGAAAAAACAACCAAGAAAAAAAGATCCAGAAACAGCCAGGGTGATGGAATCAAAGGACACAAACATTAAAGTAGCAAAAATATAATCCAACATTGTCAGCAGGTAACGGGTGTTTGAAATCTCAGAAGCCACATTCTTAACCATTCTATAGCACTCTCTCTAGAAATCAATGTCTGCTGAGGGTATGTCCTAATTCTCATTATCTTGCTCAGAATTTTTGCTGTAATTACTTTGGTCCTTTATCTGATGTGCTCTATTATCTTGGACATTTATTGTTAGAGTGGTAAGGACTTACATTAGTTGACCCTTTGTGAGGAATGACCACTACAATTAAAACACACCAGACTGCACCAAGATGTGGCTAATTTTATAGATCTTGTCAAAAATAAAATAAACGACTGAATCCCGGACAAAATGGCCGAATAGGAACATCTCCAGCATGCAGCTCCCAGCGAGATCAACGCAGATGGCGAGTGACTTCTGCATTTCCAACTGAGGTACCCAGTTCATCTCATTGGGACTGGTTAAAGAGTGGATGCAGCCTGCGGAGGGCAAGCAGGAGCAGGGTGGGGTGTTGCCTCACCTGGGAAGTGCAAAGGGTCAGGGAACTCCCCTAGCCAAGGGAAGCCATGAGGGGCAGTGCTATATTCACACTATATTCAGGAGAACCATCTCACATGCAAAAACACACATAGGCTCAAAATAAAGAGATGGAGGAAGATTTACCAAGCAAATAAAAAGAAAAGAAAAAGCAGAGGTTGCAATCCTCATCTGATAAAACAGACTTTAAACCAATAAAGATCAAAAAAAGACAAAGAAGGGCATTGCATAATGGTAAAAGGATCAATGCAATAAGAAGAGCTAACTATCTTAAATATATATGCACCCAATACAGGACACCCAGATTAATAAAACAAGTTCTTAGAGACCTAAAAAGAGACTTAGACTCCAACACAATAATAGTGGGAGTCTTTAACACCCCATTGTCAATATTAGACAGATCTACAAAACAGAAAATCAACAAGGATATTCAGAACTTAAACTCAGCTCTGGACCAAGTGGAACTAATAGACATCTACAGAACTTTTCACCCCAAATTAACAGAATATACATTCTTCTCAGCACCACATAGCACTTAATCTATAATTGACCACATAATTGGAAGTAAAACACTCCTCAGCAAATGCAAAAGAATGGAAATAATAATAAAAAGTCCCTCAGACTGCAGTGCAATCAAATTAGAACTCAGGATTAAGAAACTCACTCAGAACAGCATAACTGTATGGAAACTGAACAACCTGCTCCTGAATGACTACTGGGCAAATAACAAAATTAAGGCAGAAATAAGTAAGTTCTTTGAAACCAATGAGAACAAAGACACAATGTACTAGAATCTCTGGGACACAGCTAAAGCAGTGTTTGGAAGGAAATTTATAGCACTAAATGCCCACAGGAGAAAGAAGGAAAGACCTAAAATCGACACCCTAGCATCACAATTAAAAGAACTAAAGAAGCAAGAGCAAACAAATTCAAAAGCTAGCAGAAGGCAAGAAATAACTAAGATCAGAGCAGGACTGAAGGAGATAGAGACATGACAAACCCTTCAAAAAATCAATGAATCCAGGAGCTGATTTTTTGAAAAGATTAACAAAATAGATAGACCCCTAGCCACACTAATAAAGAAGAAAAGAGAGAAGAATCAAATAGACACAATAGAAAATGATAAAGGGGAGATCACCACTGATCCCTGAGAAATACAAACTACCATCAGAGAATACTATAAACACCTCTATACAAATAAACAAGAAAATCTAAAAGAAATGGATAAATTCCTGGACACATACACCCTCCCAAGACTAAACTAGGAAGAAGTCGAATCCCTGAACAGACCAATAACAAGTTCTGAAATTGAAGCAGTAATTAATAGCCTACCAACCAAAAAAAAAAGCCCAGGACCAGACAGATTCACAGCCGAATTCTACCAGAGGTACAAAGAGGAGCTGGTACCATTCCTTCTGAAACTATTCCAAACAATAGAAAAAGAAGGACTCCTCCTCAACTAATTTTATGAGGCCAGCATCATCCTGATACCAAAACCTGGCAGAGACACAACAACAACAAAAAAATTTCAGGCCGATGTCCCTGATGAACACTGATGCAAAGTTCTTCAATAAAATACTGGCAAACGGAATTCAGTAGCACATTAAAAATTTATCCACCATGATCAAGTCGGCTTCATCCTTGGGATGCAAGACTGGTTCAACATATGAAAATCAATAAATGTAATCCATCACATAAACAGGACTAAATACAAAAACCACATGATTATCTCAATAGATGCAGAAAAGGCCTTCAAAAGAATTCAATACCCCTTCGTGCTAAAAACACTAAAAAACTAGGTATTGATGGAACATATCTCAAAATAATAAGAGCTATTTATGACAAACCCACAGCCAATATCATAATGAATGGACAAAAGCTGGAAGCATTCCCTTTGAAAACCGGCACATAAAAAAGATGCCCTCTCACCACTCCTGTTCAACATAGTATTGGAAGTTCTGGCCAGGGCAATCAGACAAGAGAAAGAAATAAAGGATATTCAAATAGGAAGAGAGGAAGTCAAATTATCTCTGCTTGCAGGTGAGATGATTGTATATTTAGAAAACTCCATCTTCTCAGCCCCAAAACTCCTTAAGCTGATAAGCAACTTCAGCAAAGTCTCAGGATACAAGATCAATGTGCAAAAATCACAAGCGTTCCTATACACCAATAATAGACAAACAGAGAGCCAAATCATGAGCAAACTCCCATTCACAATTGCTACAAACAGAATAAAATGCCTAGGAATACAACTTACAAGGGATGTGAAAGACCTCTTCAAGGAGAACTATAAACCACTGCTCAAGGAAATAAGAGAGGACACAAACAAATGGAAAAACATTCCATGCTCATGGATAAGAAGAATCAATGTCGTGAAAATGGCCATAGTGCCCAAAGTAATTTATAGATTCAATGCTATTCCCACCAAGCTACCATTGACTTTCTTCACTGAATAAGAAAAAATTACTTTAAATTTCATATGGAAACAAAAATAAGCCTGTATAGCCAAGACAATCCTAAGCAAAAAGAACAAAGCTGGAGGCTTCATGTTACCTTTCTACAAACTATATTACAAGGCTACAGTAACCAAAACAGCATGGTACTTGTACCAAAACAATATATAGCCCAATGGAACAGAACAGAGGCCTCAGAAATAACACCACACATCTACAGCCATCTGATCTTTGACAAACCTGACAAAAACAAGCAATGGGGACAGGATTCCCTATTTAATAAGTGGTACTGGGAAAACTGGCTAGCCATATGCAGAAAATGGAAACTGGACCCCTTCCTTACACCTTATACAAAAATTAATGCAAGATAGATTAAAGATTTAAATGTAAGACCTAATATCATAAAAACCTTAGAAGAAAACCTAGGCAATACCATTCAGGACATAGTCATGGGCAAAGACTTCATGACTAAAACACCAAAGGCAATGCAAAAAGGCCAAAATTGACAAATGAAATCTAATTAAACTAAAGAGCTTCTGCTCAGCAAAAGAAACTATCATCAGAGTGAACAGGCAATCTATGGAATGGGGGAAAATTTTTGCAATCTATCCATCTAACAAAGGGCTAATATCCAGAATCTACAAAGAACTTAAACAAATTTACAAGAAAAAAACAAACAACCCCATCAAAAAGTGGGCAAAGGATATGAACAGACACTTCTCAGAAGAAGACATTTATGTGGCCAACAAACAAACGTGAAAAAAAGCTCATCATCACTGGTCATTAGAGAAATGCAAATCAAATCACCATGAGACACCATCTCACACCAGTTAGAATGGCAATCATTAAAAACCACATGACTATCAGGAAACCACAGATGCCGGAGAGGATGTGGAGAAATAGGAATGGTTTTACACTGTTGGTAGGAGTGTAAATTAGTTCAACCATTGTGGAAGACAGTGTGGTGATTCCTTAAGGAGCTAGAACCAGGAATACCATTTGACCCAGCAATCCCATTACTGGGTATATACCCAAAGGATTATAAATCATTCTACTATAAAGACACATGCACACGTATGTTTACTGCAGCACTATTCACAATAGCAAAGACTTGGAACCAACACAAATGCCCATCAATGTTAGACTGGATAAGGAAAATGTGGCACATATACACCATGGAATACTATGCAGCCATAAAAAAGAATGAGTTTATGTGCTTTGCAGGGACATGGATGAAGACATCATTCTCAGCAAACTAACACAGGAACAGAAAACCAAACACTTCATGTTCTCATTCATAAGTGGGAGTTGATCAATTAGAACACATGGGCACAGGGAGGGGAACATCACGCACCAGGGCCTGTCAGGGAATTTGGGGGGCAAAGGGAGGGATAGCATTAGGAGAAATACCTAATGTATATGATGGGTTGATGGGTGCAGCAAACCACCATGGCACGTGTATACCTATGTAACAAGCCTGCACGTTCTGCACACGTATCCCAGAACTTAAAGTATAATAAATAATAAACCTAATTAATCTGCACAGTAAGCTGTGTTTATTTTATTCTTACATGGAAACGTTTCTCCAATAGTGTCTGATGATTTTCTCTGCACTGATATTTACAGTTTAATTTGAATTACATAATAATTTTAAAATTTAACAGCTTAGTATGTTTTCTTTCCTTTTATAGCATTTGAAAAAATTTATTTCCTATTGAATTTTCTAGTCATTCTGGAAGAGCTTTAAAATTTATAATTAAATCCGGCCGGGTCTGGTGGCTCACGCTTTTAATTCCAGCACTTTGGGAGGCTGAGGCAGGTGGCTCACCTGAGGTCAGGAGTTTGAGACCAGCCTGGCCAACATGGCGAAACCCCATCTCTACTAAAAATACAAAAATTAGCCGGGCGTGGTGGTGCATGCCTGTAATCCCAGCTACTGGAGAGGCCAAGGCATGGGAATCTCTTGAGCCCAGGAGGTGAATGTTGCAATGAGCGGAGATCCTGCCAGTGCACTCCAGCCTGGGCATCAGAGTGAGACTCCATCTTTAAAAAAAAAAAATTAGAATTAAATCATAAATTCTAAGTTTTATTTCTAAATGAAATTCTAAATTTTAATTTTATAGTGTCAGTATTTGCTTAGTACATCTTGTTCATAGTTTGGTTTTACTGTTTTTACTTTCCTTTTGCCTTGCTCATTCAGTTTCTTTTTTATATTTGTGTATGGCCTTTATATTCACGGATTTATTAATTCATATATGCCAGGTATTTTTGCAGGCACTGGGTTTTGAGCAATCAATAGAACAGACAAAAATTCCTGTCTACATGGAGCAAAAAGACACACATTATAAAACAAACAAACAAACTAGGTATGTGTGTTTGCGGTGTGTGAGATTATCAGATATAACTGTTATCATCAGAAAGAGACAATTGTCTGGGAGACAGTAGTCACTGAGAAAGAAATGAAGAGCATGCCAAGAATTCCAGGAAAAGGGTTCACAAAAAAGCACCTTGAGGTTGGACCCTGCCCACCGTGTCTGAGGAACAGCAGGAAGCAACATGGCTGAAGAGAAGGAGAGTCAGGGAGAAAACATCAGAGGTGGTGGGGGACACAGTTGTTTGTGTGAGCTTGGTAGGCAATTGTAATTACATCACTTTCCACTCTGTAAGTCAGGAAGCCTTTGGAAAAATTTATTTAAAGCAAGAATATGATTTTATTTTTATTTTTAAAACATTACATCAGCTTCTGTGTTAAGAACAGAGTATAAAGGGGGAAGAGCAGATCTCAGAGGGGTTAGAAGGCAATTACAACAATCCTTGTAAAAGATGATGGCACCTTAGACCACAGAGAGATAGTTGGGGTGAAAAGAAATTTTTGACATAATCTTGAAGGTATTTTCAGTGGGATTTGGTGGAGGATCAGATATAAAGTAAAAGAGGCGAAAGGAGTTGAAAATGACTCCAAGATTTTTGACTTGAGTCACTGAAGGAATGGAGTTGCTCATTGGCTTAGATGGGGAAGCCAGCAGCGGGTGGTAAGAAAGGAGTTTTCAGGATCTTGATTTGGGGCATAGTGAGAGTTTCAGTGTCTATTAATATTCAAGAGGATATTGTTGGTATGGAGAGGGATATACAGGCAGACAGATATGAAGGTCAATGATGGGGTCAGTACTAGAGAAATTAGAGAGTGGTTAGTAGTTAGGCGATATTTACAATTTATTGAATGAATGAAATCACCAAGAGAATAATAGAAGAGAGAAGAGGTCCAGAGATTGAGTCTTTGTGTGTTCCAACTTTTCAAGATCAGAGGAATGAGGAGATATTACTACAGAAGAGAGCAGGAATGGGCAATGAGACAGGAATGCGAAGAGCCTGTGATGTGTGGCAGCCAAAGGGATGAGCCCTTGTACTAAATGCTGCTGCCAGGCTAAATGGGTGAGAGTGAAATGGCCTATGCTGTCTCTTTGTCTCAGTCTATTTTATCCATGTGTCTTTTTGCTCTTTATAGGAAATATATTTTCTTGTGTCCTACTGGGAATTCTAAGCAGATTTCTCAAATTTTTCCCAATTTTTCTTTCTTTAGATATTTAAGGCAATGTCCCCTTTTCCTGGATTTTTATTTTTTCATCAAAACCCAAAAGTGGTTCTTTCTCTTTATGGACTTTGAAAGATTAGCTATTATTTACACTGCAGCTAAAGTCTCTATGAATGATGTTCCAATCCTTCTCTCAGATCTATACTAGCTGCAGAATGAGTTAATAAACAACACCCGGCCCAGTTCTGAGGTTTTTTTTTTTTTTTTCTTTTTTTTTTTTTTTTAGTAAGATTTTCCCTAGTAGCCGGGTACGGTGGCTCATGCTTGTAATTTCAGAACTTTGGGAAGCTAAGATGGGTGGATCACTTATAACCAGGCGCAGGCGTGGAGGTGCGTGCCTGCAGCCCCAGCTACTTTGGAGGCTTAGGTGGGGGGATCACCTGAGCCCAGGGAGGTTGAGGCTGCAGTGAACCATGATTGCACCATTGCCCTCCAGCCTGGGTGACTGAGCAAGACCCTATTTTCTAAAAAAATAAAATGAATACATAAAATAATAATAATAATAAAGAATAAAGCTTTTCCTAGCAAACTTCTATTCTACAAGGCTACATCTTCTCTCTCACTGATTTGACCCACAGCCTGAATGGCAATAAAGTCTCATCTTTGGATAATTCTGCAGGTTTGGTCATCAGTGGCTGGAGCACTCATTGAGGAGAAATGTGAGGCAGTGTGCAAAGGTCGGACAGAGTAGGAGAGGGTGAGGACCAGCTTCACAACCTGCCAGGATGAAGGACACAGGGGCCTCTGCTGACCATGCTGGGATCCAACGGAGACCGTGAAGAAGTTCTAATCACAAGATGCACTGCCCCTAGCTCTTCTTGCTGAAGCTGCCACCCGGGGTGTACATCTCCCTGCAGGCAGTCACCTGCTGCATTATCTCCGTGTGTGTCCTCAGAGCCTCAGTCACCATATGGCGATGTAAGGGAGCTAAGACATGATGTGGGAAGAGAGAGATCCTGCTTCCAAAGTGGTTCCTCCCTGGTGGGTATTCAGGCAGCACAGAGCTGATTTTGCTGACGGGGTTAGGAGATGAGCAGGTTGAAGACCTTTCCTACAGTTAAAAGTGGCACATTTCTTCAGTAGACACAGACGAAGAGATACATTTCTTCATTCACTTCCATCAGCCTGTTAGTATTTGAAAATTCCACCATAATTTGGTAGATATCAGTCTTGGTTCTCAGTGTACTTGGGAGTTTTCATCACGGTCTGCATTTTAGTAGAGATTATTATTTCCCTCTACACTACTCCCTCACATGTAATCCACCGACAACTCCTGTTTATTTAATCAACAACATATCCAGTTTTTTTCTGTATTAACTGCCGTTATTCCAGTCACTGTGCCACTACCATTTCTAGCCTGAGCTAGTATCACATCTTTCTAACCTCTTTCCTTGCTTCCTCTTTTTCACCCATCTACTTGTTTGCAGGCAACTGTCAGAGTGATTTTTAAAAAACATAGAATATATAAGACACACTGTATTAGTCAAGGTTCTCCAGAAAAACAGAACCAACAGGATATATAGAGATATAGGAGGAGATGTGTTATGGAAATGGGCTCATGTGATTACAGAGGCCAAGAAGTCCTGTGATCTGCTGTCTGCGAGCTGAAGACACAAGAAAGCTGGTGGTGTGAGGCCAAGTCCAGAGGCCTGAGGACCAGGAAAGCCAATGGTGTAAGCCCAAGATCAGGCCCAAAGGTCCAAGAACCAGGAGCACCTGGTTTGAGGACTGGAGAAGATGTATGTCCCAGCTGAAGCTGAGAGGGAATTCTCCTTTCTTCTGCCATTTTGTTCTGTTCAGGCTGTTGATGGTTGGAGGACACCCACCTGTATTGCGTGGGGAGGCCGTTGATGGGTTGGAGGATACCCACCTGTGTTGCGTGGGGAGGTTGTTGACGGGTTAGAGGACACCCGCCTGTATTGTACAGGGAGGCCGTTGATGGGTTGGAGGTTCCCACCTGTGTTGTGCAGGGAGGCTGTTGATGGGTTGGAGGACACCCACCTGTATTGCATGGGGAGGCCATTGATGGTTGGAGGACACTCACCTGTATTTTGTGGTGTGGTCTTCTTCACTCAGGCTACCAATTCAAATGTTAGCATCTTCTGAAAACAGCCTCATGGACACACTCACAAATAATATTTTACTGGTTATCTGTGTGGGCATTCCTAAGCCTAGGAATGACACATACAAATAGTCATCATACACACAGCTTTGCTTAAAGCATCAAACCTTCCATTTCTTCCCACCCTGCAAAGAATAAAATCCAAATTCCCTAGCATGGTGCATGAAAGCCTTCCTGCTGGGGCCTGGACAAGCTCTCCGAGCTCTTCAGCAGCAGCCTCCCTCCCTGCACCTCCCATTCCAGGCTCACTGGCTTTCTTTTTGTTACCTGAAAACACCAAGCTCCTTCCTTGTACAAGACATTTGCATTGGCTTTTTGCTTTTACCTGGGAGGATCAGTCCCTAACCAGTGCACACTTGATTCTTAACCTTCTTATCTCAGCTTAAATGTTACCTCCTCAGAGAGGCCTTCCTGACCTACCAGTCTAAAGGCGTTACCCAGTCAATAGGAATGCGTATCCTATTTGTATTAACTGCAGAGCAGCTATTGCTACTGGACATTTTTCTGGTTTATTTATATGGTTTGTCTTTTCACTTTTTCTCTTAGCCCCACTACATTTTTCGTTTATTAGAACATACTTTTTATCCAGCATTTTCGTCGCTCCATCCCCAGCATCTAGGACACAGTCAGGCATAAAATAACTGTTGCATAGACATTTGCTGAATGACTAAATGTAGGATGGATTTTGGGTGGTGGATGAAATGGATGGATGGATGGAAGGATGGAGGGATGGGAGGATAGGTGGATAAATTTGGGAAAAGCTACCTTGGGACAGGTCAGCCATGTGTCATCTCAAAGCAGGTCTACTGAGCTGAAGTTTCCTGTGCAAGTAACTACCACTTTTTAGTTGTGATTAGTTGGATACTATAAGTATACATTTTAGTTTTTATTGTCAAGAATGGAATTGCTGTCCAAATTCAAGTATTAATTAAGTTTGAAACAAATATTTTTTTCCATAGAAATCTGTTACTCTGATATCATCATCAGAAAATCCTGAGACAAATGGTGGTGGTGGGGACAGAGGATGACTCAGTATTAAAGCTATGGAGGAATTACCTCATTAGCCTATATATATACTGCATCTTGGTTATGAGCTTAATCCTATTGCTTATACTGTGGTAAGAAGCTAAAACCAAATGAAGTGAAATACACACATACATACATACATACACACATACATACAAATACATAAATCTCTAACTTTGTGGAACTTCTAAAGCTGGATAAGAACATAGGACATAAACTACTAAAGATGAAATAAATTCTAAATTAAATGTTAACATGAGAGCAGATTTTTAGAGGCAGGAGATACCAGTGTAGATTGAGCTCATGGAGAAACTAGTTAATGTTGCTGAGCTTGAAGGGTGAAGAGAGGTGAGTGAGATGGATGGAGGATATTACAAACAGGAGAAGTTTATGGACAAAGACAAATGTATCTTCACCCTATCACTCCACTATCTGTGCCAGAGGCAATTAATAAAAGGTTACTTTGTTTTCTTTCAATTAATTTCATTCAGTATAGATTTTCTACAGCCCCAGGCACATGGTGGCTGAGAGCTAAAAAGCCTTTACCACTGTTACGTCCTTTGAAGAGCAGGCTGTTCATTAAAAGCTGGCCAGGCCAGTGTCCTCATTTTGCAGTTGTGCAAGTTTCAGGCATAAAGTGAGAGCCATCTGGTCCTTGATCTTAGCTTCTCAGGACTTCCATGGCCAGGCCAAACCAGTGAGGTTCATGGCCCAGAGCCATTCACTGTGTTAGGCAGAGGGGAGAGGTGCTTTCTGGGTGCCCCCATGAGGCTGATTGTCCTGATGAAATGGGGGCTGAGTTCCTGCCCATGAGTTTTGGGAACTGGTGCTGAGTTGAGCCTTCTGCTTGGAGAAAAGTCTTGTGTAGCATGACATAGCACAAACAGTTCTGGACTAAATGTCACAAATCTCTGGATTTAAACACTCTCTCGACCGGGCGTGGTGGTTCACGCCTGTAATCCCAACACTTTGGGAGGCTGAGGAGGGCAGATCA
The DNA here is from genome assembly GCF_000001405.40 of Homo sapiens. Classification (NCBI taxonomy): domain Eukaryota; kingdom Metazoa; phylum Chordata; class Mammalia; order Primates; family Hominidae; genus Homo; species Homo sapiens. The sequence goes on along the minus strand of NC_000002.12, from coordinate 5,850,646 downwards.
CGAGGTCAAGAGATTGAGACCATCCTGGCTAACACAGTGAAACCCCGTCTCTACTAAAAATACAAAAAAATTAGCCGGGCATAGTGGTGGGCTCCTGTAGTCCCAGCTACTGGGGAGGCTGAGGCAGGAGAATGGCGTGAACCTGAGAGACGGAGCTTGCAGTGAGCTGAGATCGCGCCACTGCACTCCAGCCTGGGCGACTGAGCGAGACTCCATCTAAAAAAAATAAATAAATAAATAAATAAAAATTAAAAATAAATAAATAAATAAATAAATAAATAAATACTCTCTCTGCTACTTTCTGGCTTTTTGCCATGAGCCAGTTACTTTTCCTATCTGAGCCTCACTTTCTTCTGTAAAATGGGGATTTAGAAAAATATCTTGATCCCTTCTTCGCCTTTTGGCTAAGAACAAGTGTAGAAAAATGACCTTTACAGGTTTGTTATGAGCTCAGGAAGCACTAGAGAATATTTGGAGTAAACACATTATATCTCTAAGTCACCACAGTACATACTAAACCCCATATACTCTCAGGAGTGTTGGCCACTCTTACATTGTTATGAAGTCTCAAATGTGCTCCACTAGTTAACCAACCACCCACGTAAAATCCAAGGCTTTTTAAAGCAAAGCCAGTTGCTGGACACTTAAATTTCCATCTTCGATTAGCATATGCAGAGGGCCAGCTGCTACTCTGGACCCACCTGCTGGAGGCTTTCTGCCTATGGATGTCTAATAAGTCCCGTCAGGTATCTGCTATGCCCTTGGTGATGATGGAGCTGTGGGTTTTTTGAGAATGAAGTGTGACATGTGATTTATTTCCTGGTATGTGTGGCATGTGTCTTCAGATGCCTGGAATATGCAGTACCCTGTTATTAAGGTGTGTGCCCTACTTATCTCCAAGGAAACACTACTGAAAACACAGATAAGCCCAATCTTCCAAAGGCAAGTATACACACATGGCAGGGGACTTGATTAAAGGGCAGCAAATGGTTCTACTCTCAGCTCAGAAAAGCAGCACTAATGCTTTCAGATGATCTGAACAGGACACTGTGTTGACTTCGACCAAACAAACAAACAGACGTCCTATGCTGTGATTTGTGATTATAATACTAGTTTAAATTTCATCCTAGAGACATTGCATCAGCACTAGTTACACATAAAAGGAAAATAAAAGCCTCTGCCCCAAAGCACACTTTATTAAGAATCTGCATTCTTGAGTAAAACTGTGAAAATGCCATAATTCTTATTCCTGAATTAGAGTGAAGATGGATTCCAAGCAACATGTCATTTGAACAACATCATATCCCTGGGACGTTGCATGTTTTTGGAATAGGCTTCATCCTTTCCCTTTCCCAGGATAGAATTTTTCAGTTACAATTACATATAAAATACAATCCCATAGGCACTTGAGTGGTGTCCAGAAAATAAGGGCTCACATTTGACCTTTGTGGAAGAGATGACAAAACATGACCCCAGGTTCTCCAGAACTCTGAACAAGTGGGAGGCACGGTCATAGACAAGAACCAAAGAACAGAGCTCAGAATGCCACTCACTAAGCCCCAGACCCAAAGGAAAAGCCTCATTGTAAAAGCATTAATATGATTATCTGCATTTTGAAAGCCTAACTTCAGGCAATATTGTCAAGCACAGATGCCTAATTTAGTGTGGTTAAGTTTCTACAATCTATATTTGCAAATAAGCCATATGGCAAGACCAAAGTATTGCCCGCTCCATGCTAAGTACCACCCCCACCATGTGTGTGTGCATGCACACACGCAGAACGACATGCACTTTTTTTTCCAGAAAGACATGCACTTTTTCTTTTCTGTTTCACATCTGATCCACTTATTTCTGGCCCACTGAATAAAGAGGGAAAAAATTAGTATATTCTGAGTATTGCAAAAGTCAGACTGAAAAAAGATATTCGCAAAAAGATTTCAAGAAATATAATCTAAATCCTTAGACATTTCTAAGAAGAGATGTAAATATCCCATTGAATTCAGAGAAAACTGCTTTTCTGAGAACTTTCTATGGGCAGCCTTTACCAATACACAAGTCCCTTTCTAGGGACGAGGTATACACCAAGCACCTTAAGAAGGGGCAGAAGAATGTATCGGCATTCTGAGAACCCAAAACATTCCTATAGTGTTGTTAACCTGTTATTAAATTATCATGTAGCAGTTTAAACTAGGCAGCCCCTCACAGGGATCTCCAAGTGTTCACTAGTGTTTTGTGAATATTACGCTGCAAGGCAGATCATTATGAAAGCATGCCATCTTGTAACCCACACCTATCCACATCCCCCTCCTTTGCAAATGCCTGTTCCATCAGATTCTCAATTTATTTACAAGATGTTCTTATTGTCTTCAAATGACAGATTTATGGAGCATCTAACTACAGTAATCAGTCCTTGTAGCACTGTTCACTTACCTATTCTCAGAATTTTTCTGCAACCTGTATTATTTCCTATAAAATAAAGCTAAAATTTGTTAAACAACAAAAGGGGGTTCAAGAATCTGTGGCATGAAGCAGGTTCCCTGCACCAGGATAAGAGAGCAAGGTGGGCTTCCTCACCTGGACTCATTCACAAGCTTTGATGTTTTTTCACTTTATTAACCTCTAAAATACTTGACGCAGTATCTCTTAACTAAAGAGTACAATAAAATCTCAGACAAAAAATTCAGCTATCATTAAAGGACCTCATGTGTGTGTGTTGCCAGGGGCGAGGGGTGGGGAAGCTGGTACTAGATGTCGAGGAGCTGAGAAGCATAAAAAGCCAGGGTCTAGATCCAACCTTCAACCTTTTTTTCTTTTGAGACTGAGTCTTGCTCTGCTGCCCAGGCTGGAGTGCAGTGGTGTGATCTCAGCTCACTGCAACCTCCAGCTCCCAGTTTAAGTGATCCTCGAGCCTCAGCCTCTGGAATAGCTGGGATTACAGCCTCCTGCCATCACGCTGGACTAATTTTTGTATTTTTAGTAGAGATGGTGTTCCACCATGTTGGCCAGGCTGGTCTTGAACTCCTGACCTCAAGGGTTCTGCCCACCTCGGCCTCCCAAAGTGCTGGGATTACAGGTGTGAGCCACTGTGCCCAGCCCAAAGTATAAAATTCTAATTATGTCACTTTTTGCTTTTCCTCTTAAAATCTTTGCCTACTATAAAGGTTATCATTTGGGGGTACACACCAGAATCATCTGAGACTTTTTAAGGTTTTGGCTGCCCAGGTGAACTCTGAGCCCTCCAACATTAGGAAGCTCTGGCATGGGGTCCAGGCACCTACAATTTTAAAAGTACTGCTCTATGGCACGGCAACTACGCTCGGTCGTCTGTGCCCAAGTGGCACATCCAGCACCGCCTTTTGCCGTCCGTCAGTCCTCATGAGTGCCCCTCTACCAGCCTTCAGCCTTTAAGCTCCTCTGCTTCAGTTACTTAGAACTTCTCAGTGGTCTCTGAACATTCAGGGAGTTAATTGTTTCAAGCTTTCATACGCATAGTTCCCTCTAAAACAGCTCCTGTTTTATATTCTTTCCGGAAAACCCCCACAGGTTGCTGAACACCAGGCCTCATTTCTGTGAAGGCGCATGAGTCAGCCGTGTCTTGTGCTTAGTCACCACACGCAGAGACTTTGGGTTTGGGTTTATACATCTATCTTACCCTTGAGTTCTTCAGCTCCTTAGGAGAGGACATTGGAGCTCGCTCTGCTCCCCCGAAACCTAATGTAATGTCTATGCAGACAGCATAGACAGAAATTGTCTCTTGGATGAACAAAGAATACCTGGACATAAGATACTAGAAACAATGGGTAGAAATTTCAGGAAGCTGAATCCATACCAGGACATTTTGATTGTTCCAGTCTTCCAATGGTGAAATGTAGTTCTTATGAAGACACGAGCTTCCTTCTCATTGCTAGAGATGGGAAGTATCCACACGAGCTCAGTAATGCTGTTGAGAGCTGATTCTCTTCTCCAGTAAAGGTTGGAGTGGAATGAGCATGGATATTGGCTCTGATGACCAGCCATGGGTCAAGTTCTATTCCTCAATCCATGTCTAATGGAACCTCCTACCTGGGGAGTCAAGGCAGGTGGATGCTCAAGTGAAAAGTGAGGAATGTAGACATAAAGAATGGGGAATCCATGTTGGAGGGAGGGAAAAAGTCCCCTGGCAGGATGAGCTGGGAAATGAGACAGAGAAGGGGTAAATCCCGGGGCAAGGGGTCTTTTAAACCATGTTACACAGTCTGTACATTTTTTACTGGGAGAAGCAGAAAGCCGCTGAAATATTTCAGGCAGGGAAGCAACATCTCCAAAGCTTAGGAAGCTCTGCTGGCAAGTGTGTGTGGGAAAACACAGGCTTGCACTAGTATCCATGCAGAGGAAAAGGGGAGTGTGGTAAAAAATGGCCACTGCCCTATGGAAGTCACTGCTGACCTGACCACATTGAGGTTAAGGAAGCCTTCTAAATTCTTCTCACTTTACATACTGGCTTGCATTTTTGTCATCGTTGGCTTTAACAGCAACATCTGAAAAGCAGATTTATTTGCCCTAGTGAGCTATGGCTATGGACAGCCAGGGTCTAGATCCAACCTTCAAGTATGCTCCCTGGCCTCCAGCAATCACCAGCTCTTAGTACACCAGCGCCTCCTGAGGCTATGCCTCACGTCTCTCCTCATTTATGTCTTCCTGTTCAGCACCTTCTGCAGCAAAACCCAGCATCTGTGTCATCGTCTCTGGGAAGCATCTCAGCTCACAGTAGAAAGGTGGTTGTTCCTCCCGTGTGTCCACAGGACCTGCACCTGACGCTTTCTAATGAACCCATCTCCAATTCAACCCAATCTTTCAATCAGCAATGCTCTGCTAAGTAATAAATATCGGAAACAGCTAAAGGTAGCATAAAGAGTAGCAAGTTAAGAAGCAGAGCCCTACTTTTCAGATCATCTATTACCAATATCCTGGGTTACCAAGGGCAAATCAATTCCTTTCTCTGACCCTCACTTTCTTTACTAATGATCTAACTTCTTATTCTAAAAGGGATGATTCTATGAATTTTTTTTTTTCGAAAAAGCCCAGACCCGAATATTTGCTGGAAACTGAAATTTCTTAGCATGACATTCAAAGCCCCTTTTAGACTTGCCTCTAATCCATTCTACTCTCCAACTCCAGCCTTCCTTGTTGGACCTCTTGTTCTCGGGCACCTGAAAGTAACAACTACCACTGTTTTCCCCTGCTCCCCACTGTGCCTCAGCACACTCCACTGCCTCATTCTTCCTATCCAATAAATTACGTATTCTTCAAGACAGAACACAATACCTGCTTCTCTATCAGATCATTTTTTCCTCCTCATGGCTAAACTAATCAACATGCTCTCAACTCATAAGCAGTCAGGACAGAACTCCTCTTGGGGATGTCTTAGCATCTCCAGCCAGAGATTTCTGGCTCTCTCTACAAACATGATAACAGCATGGTAGACAGCGTGTCTCTCAAATGAATGGCACACACCCCCAGTGTTAGCTGAGATAGTTCAGGGAGCATAAGAACATGCCCCATCATAGCTGTGACAGTAAATTACTGAAATATATTTATGTGGGAACAAATCCAGCATAATAGATACTAAGTAAACACCACACTGGAGGTGCAACACCTGGCAAAATGGTGAAGTGGTATATGAACAACTGATGTTTGGAAACTACAGTCAAGTGGAAAAATCATGGGATTTTGATAGAAATCTGGAGTTCAATGTAAGTTCTGCTATAAGCTTCCTGATCCCCCAGAAAGGCATCTGGGCCACGTGAAGTCAGTGTCTTTTTTTTAAACTGGGGAAATGGGTTATTGTTATTGTAAGCCTATTTCTTTCTCTAAACTGTGAGCACCGTGAGACTAAAATAGGTTTTTTAAAAAAATCTTGTCTTTTATGTTTCACCTACCACAGACATGAATATATAGTAGGTGATCAGTAATTGTTAGTTGAATTAATATATTTGTTTTTAAAATTATTTTTGTAGAAATAATCCCTTTAAAACAGTACCTAAATCACATCTTTTAGCAATTGGTGATAACAATTTCTGATAAAACATCAGAAATTGTTTCTGTTTCATCTGAAACAAAGAATTGTTGTTTTTCCTCCTCACTGATGATTTTTTCTAGAGAAAATGGTACCAGTATCACCACACTTTAAAACTTCTTTCCAAGCCCTTAGTCAAAAGTCCAAGCCCTTTGGAGAAAAGTCATTCCCTTATTAATTAGGTCTGGGACCCTGCAATATTATTGATTCATCTTGCTTTGGAATTATCTGGTTTATTCCATGGATCTATATTACTTTTATAAACCATATTTCACTTTCACTGACCTCTAAATTCCATGGGAAATATATTGGAGAAAACTCATGCTCAGCAGAGCTGGTTGGACGAGGGTGTCAGAATGCATTCTCTCCCCTTCATCCTGGTCCCATCATAGCAATGCCGACTTTCTTCCTGGAGAACTCCTCAATGTCTAAAAAGGAGCTTCAGGTGGCTTCTCCTTTGCACTTTTTTTTTTTTTTTTCGCTCTGTCGCCCAGGCTGGAGTGCAATGGCGCGATCTCGGCTCACTGCAAGCTCCACCTCCCGGGTTCACGCCATTCTCCTGCCTCAGCCTCCTGAGTAGCTGGGACTACAGGCACCCGCCACCAGGCCCGGCTAATTTTTTTTGTATTTTGTTTAGTAGAGATGGGGTTTCACCGGGTTAGCCAGGATGGTCTCGATCTCCTGACCTCGTAATCCACCTGCTTCAGCCTCCCAAAGTGTTGGGATTACAGGCGTGAGCCACCGCACCCAGCCCTCCTCTGCACTTCTATCTACATTAATTGTATTGGAAAACATTTCCTGGTGGCCCTTTTGTGACCATGTCAAGGCACATCATGAAGTCCATGTCCAGGCACTTACTTTGAAACTCACACTGCTAAGCTCTGGAAATAAATAGATTAAAAGGTAGGATTCCTGTTCTCAAACAGAGCACTGAAAGTCAAAGAGACATAGATTGTAATGCTTCACTCAACCATCATTTTCTTGAGGGGAAGGACCTCTTTGGTGTGATTTTATATTCCCATCATCCAGCAAAGTGCTGGACATCAGTTAGGCAAGCACCCATTACTCCCTGAACTAAAACTGATGTTATGTGAGGGAATTGATCATATGTCCCAGAATTAAGGAGGTACAATTTCCTACGTGTTTTTTTTTTGTTCAAATAGTTAAGCATGTATGTGATATGCAGTAATAGTTCCCCATTTATTAATGACAAAACTAAAGCACATTGAAGAAAAATGCTGTCTCCAAATCTAAGAAGTGGCGGGGCTTGGATTCAAACCTGGATCCATCTGGTGGCGAAGCCTGTGATCCTTCAAACTCCCTGCTGGATATGAACACAGGTCTGACTACAAAGTGAATTATAATTCTAAAATAAAATGGAAACTACGTTTTATTGTGCTTCAACTTGTAAACTGTAAAACAACGAATTAGGATTGTTTACACATACTTTTCTAATATTTTTCCTCAGGAGATCCTCCAGGACTGAGGGATATTAAGGAATTAATGAGGGCTGTCGGCCTAGTTCTTCTCTGTCTCATGATGTCAGCGCAACCCAGCACTTTTACAAGAGAGCTCTTCATCCTCATTCTCCTCGTGTCACATGGGATCCTTCTTCTGTTCTTCCTCTGATGCCTCAAGCAGCCCTGCTCACCTGCAGGGAGTCGGTCCCTGTTCCCACCATTTTCCACCATTTCCCTTTACAATAGACCACCCCGACCTGCTACTACCTCCGTGCAATTCAATCCCGTGTAGCATGCTGCGTGCTCCGAAGCAGTTATGGGTGGTGGAAATGGCATTGACCGAGGAGCCCGGTGTAGCCCAGACCCTGCCATGACTATGGTCTTTGCACAGGCCCTGAAATGGCTCCAGCTCCCGGAGCCTCCGCAGATGTGTCTCCTGGAGAAAGCAGCAGTTGGTGTCAGGTCCGATGATCTCTAGGGACCGTTCTAGCTCAAAAACCCGGAGGACACATCTGCCCGGCCATCCTTAGCCTCCTCCTCATGCTCGCAAGAGAGGTTTGCCCCATGGTGCCTCACTGTCCACTGACGGGGCCTGGCCTCAGTTCAGCCTAGGGCCGGGGCGGCAACCCCCCTCCCTCCGGAGGAGCCGGACCTGATGAGTCTCTCAGCTGCTTAACATAATATCATAATTTCTTGGCCCTAATTCAGCCCTGGCTAACTGTTTCTCCTGGAAGGTCACACAAATGACAGGTGTAGAAGAATGGAAAAATCCAGCCCTACCAGGCCCTCCATCGCCGGTGACCTGGAGTCCCCCAGTCACCAAGCCTCTTCACTCCCTTAATGAAGCCATGGCAGACTCAAGGTGTGCTCAGCGCAGTGAAACGCTGTCTCTGCGACACTCTCTTATTATTACCTCTCTGCATGTGTGCAGATGGAGGTGGGAAACAGAAATTTCTCCCTTACCACTTCTTCTTCCCCCAATCTCTTCCTCCCAGGCTCCTTTCCTCCTAGCTAAGCACTATTCCCCTGCCTCAGCTCCCTCCTCTGCAACCTCCTTCTTTCCTCCCCTCCTCTCCCTCTTCTTTTCTTTTCTCCTTCTCTCCTCTCTCCCTTCTCCCCTCCCTCATCCCTCCGTCCTTCCCTCCCTCCTCCTTTATTTCTCCCTTCCCTCCTCTCTCCATCCTCCCCTCCCTCCTCCTTCCTTCCTCCCCTCCTTCCCTGCTTGCACCCGTCTTCCTCTGCCCTTCGTTGCTCTTCTGTGACTTTCTCTCTCTGTTCCACAAGGCACGTCTTTGGTTTAGAAAGCTGCCCCTCTTACCAGCACCCACCATTCAAAGCCCATCTCAAGCCTGGGCTTTCCTCAGAGCCTCACTGGTAAATTGGGCCATCTGTGTCCCCTCCCTGTCAAAGAAAGGTCTGTAGAAACAGCAGCACACGAGGGATTTGCCATTTCAGAAAGACTGCCCTGAACAGTAGGAACTGGCTGGTTTAGGAGGAAAGAAAAACAAAAACCAAAAAACCAAAAAACAAAAACAAAACAAAAAAACATAAAGATGAATTGGGGGAATGCTGATGAAAAACAAACAAGTAAATCAACAAACATATCTGAAAGAGGAAGGGTGTGGCAGCAGGCTCCTCCCTCAATCCACCTCTGTCTCACTTGCTGGAGAGAGTCCGGCTTGCAGCCATGACCAGAGATAGTGGCAACGAGGCAGCAGACCCCATAGAAAAAGAGCATTTGTTTCAGAAGCAGCCAGAGCCCTGCCCCCAGGCCCCTATTACCCTATTTCAGAAACAGCCCTGCTCAGCTGTGTGTGAGAGCTGGGGTGGAGGGGATTGCAGCATCCTTCCATCCTGTGACCCCATCATGTCTAGAGACTTGCTGTTTCCTGCACAAAGTCAACAGAAGAGGAAAGGGAGTATGTGGTGGATTCCTGCTTCTTACAACCTGGTTCAAAAAGAGATATACATCAGCTCCACCTAGAATCCATTGTGAAGCCTAAACAATCATTCTGGTAACACACAGCTGCAAGGGCTGCTGGGAAATATAGACTGTGCTCAGAAACCACCTCCCAAGGATGAGTCCAGCTTAGCATGGCTTCAGGCTTAGTACGCTGTCTTTGCCACAGTCTCCTCTCAGGCCATGGGACATCTGTAGGCTTCCTTCTTGACACATGTAAAATGCTCACCGTCCCCCAAGGGAGGAACCTAAGAGTTGCATCTTGTCCCTGCACCAGCTCTAAGGGAAGCTTTTCTGGGCAACGCTCAGCTGTCTCCAGCAGGCACAGATAGGCTCCGTGGGCCAGTCACTCCCATATAAAAAAAAAAAAAGAAAAAAGTGATCGGCACTCCCCACACCCAATGTAAATGCTCAAATAGAATCAAATGAAACAATGCTCAGGAATACGCTCTTTAAAGTGGAAACCACTTTTTTTATTTTTTTTTTCCACTCTGTCACCCAGGCTGGGATGCAATGGCCGATCTTGGCTCACTGCAACCTCCACCTCCCGAGTTCAAGTGATTCTCCTGCCTCAGCATCCCGAGTAGCTGGGACTACAGGCATGAGCCACCATACCCAGATAATTTTTGTATTTTTCAGTAGAGATGGGGTTTCGTCATGTTGGCCAGGCTGGTCTCGAACTCCTGACCTCAGGTGATCCACCTACCTTGGCCTCCCAAAGTGCTAGGATTACAGGTGTGAGCCACCGCGCCCAGCAAGAAACCACTTTTTAAATGTTCAGTTTAAAAAGTGGTTTCTATTCCACAATTCTATTGTGGAAAAATAAAGGGTGTCGGATTGCAGAAACTCTGAGTGGTTTTTATTATAACAATTTTCCATACCTCTATCACGCTTCACCATTTATAAAACATCTTCTTATATATTTCATTTTCTCTTTTTATTTATTATGTTGGGCAAAAATTGCTCTTTAAATTTGCAAATCTGGACATTTGTGACTTCCTAAACTCACAGAAGGGATTCTAGTAACCTGATCATCGTACTGAGATCAGACAAAGTGGCAGGACATCTTTGACAGTGGAACATGAAGAAGAAAAGGAAAAGATACAAGAATGAAAGAGGGAGAAAATAGATAATTACAAAACCTGTGAATCCATGGAGACCAGAAACATGTGCCCCTGAGAGGTTTCTGTGAATCGGCATTACTATCGAAACCACACATTATCTGTTAGGATTTTAAACACTGAAGCCCTGACAAAATGTCACTTTCATTCTTTACAAATAGGGTAAGGTTTTTTAGGGTCTCTTTAAGTGGCATAAGTAGCAGGAGGGATCTAGGAGAAAATCAGCCGTAAATGTATGACCCCATTAATGAAGGGAAAGCCGGCTCCCCACCAGCCGTTTCCAAGGCAACCCACAGGCTGGACAAGCACCGTCTCTTCTGTTTCCCATTATGGAGATCGCCTCTACAGCCCATAAGAGGAGAGCAAGCATGGTCAGAAACTCTTTCTCCCAGTGTTGCCCGCACAGTTCGCAAATGCAAAGCTGTGAGCAGGGATGGTCTGTGAAATGCCTCCATGGACCTCCCCCCTGAATGCATTCCACCTGCACTCAAGACATGTGTGATTTAGGAGGGGAAAAAAAATAATAATAGTCTCATGCAGAGCCGTACATTTCCAAAAGCTCTGATAGGAGAAATGCTTAGGCTTTTCAGATAGGCAGGGACATTTCCTTTCATCACTTAAAACTCATGGAATGGGCCAGGTGCGGTGGCTCAAGCCTGTAATCCCAGCACTTTGGGAGGCCGAGGCGGGCGGATCACAAGGTCAGGAGATTGAGACCATCCTGGCTAACAAGGTGAAATGTCGTCTCTACTAAAAATACAAAAAATTAGCTGGGCGTGGTGGCGGGCGCCTGTAGTCCCAGCTACTTGGGAGGCTGAGGCAGGAGAATTACTTGAACCCAGGAGGCGGTGGTTGCAGTGAGCTGAGATCGCACCACTGCACTCCAGCCTGGGTGACAGAGCAAGACTCGTCTCAAAAAAAAGTAAATAAATAAAAATAAATCATGGAATGACAGATTTTTTTGTTTTTGTTTTTGCAAGGAACCTTTACGTCATTGTTTCTGTCCTTTCTCTGTGCATCAAAGCAGAGAGCAGGGAAGGGTCTTATCTTAAGTCACACTATGTGTTGGTGGCTGAGCTGGTTTAAGAATGCAGACATCAAGACTTTGGTTCCATGCCCCTTTAAGACTGAAATTTAAAGAAGAAATATTGAGAAAAAGACAAATAATCTAACGCCAGATGAAAAGAAAAGAGTTAGGAGTTTAAGCATCAGGTTCCATGGAGTACTTACAGGATCCAGGTGGATGACTCTGGCAACCAGGACTTGAGATTCCTCCAGAAGGCAGAGGTCCTGGAGGCAGAATGAGCTATTAAAACACAGTGACAATTGTCAGGAAAAGAAACGTCAAGGGCGTAAAACAGAGTAGTGTCCCTAGGAATGGAAAAGAGTGCACAAGAATGAGAAACATGACAGAAGCATAATGCACCAGGCAGATTTACCATCTCATTTGGGCCTGTTGAGAAACGTACTTTTTTTTTTTTTCAAGTTTAAAACTGATGATCGAAAGCCTGATTGCAGAGGTAATGTGATGTGACTAATGATCTTGCATAATGAATGACCTTGATATCAATCAGCAGGAAGCCAGCTTTGGGAGAAAAGTCTTTAGTTTTCAAATGTATGAGGTTCTGACTCCTGGTTCCAGGCCTTCACCTCCCAAATGCCTTTTGCAGAAGCATCTCAAAGAAACCAGGAGACTCAGAAAAGATTCCATGTTTGGACCTTGATCCCATGTTTATAGGAAGCTCAGGTGACTCATAATAAAGTCTTCCTCAACTGGGTCCGTTCTGCAAAATTTTCACCCAAATATTGTCTGCATCTTTCTTATTGAACAACTCTCAGTGCAGAAATTTTTTTCCGCAACAGTTACAACCTGTCAAAATGCAAACATAGATATGATCTTTAAAAGCAGACACCATCCTAATTATAAAGAAGGATAAAGGTTTGATAGTCAAAGAATTTTCAAAGTTCTTAGGAGGAATTACTGATACAAGGAAAGCATGGGTTGAATCTATGTATTCTCTGTTCACTTCTGTCTCTTGAGTTTGCTGTAACTATTGAGGAAATTTCAATGACCTAAGTGAGTTGCTCATTATTTCTGGACAATTTGCTTGATGTAGAAAACCCAAGCCTAGGCCGGGCGCGGTGGCTCACGCCTGTAATCCCAGCACTTTGGGAGGCCGAGGCGGGCGGATCACGAGGTCAGGAGATTGAGACCATCCCGGCTAAAACGGTGAAACCCCGTCTCTACTAAAAATACAAAAAATTAGCCGGGCGTAGTGGCGGGCGCCTGTAGTCCCAGCTACTTGGGAGGCTGAGGCAGGAGAATGGCATGAACCCGGGAGGCAGAGCTTGCAGTGAGCTGAGATTGTGCCACTGCACTCCAGCCTGGGCAACAGAGCAAGACTCCGTCTCAAAAAAAAAAAAAAAAAAAAAAAAGAAAACCCAAGCCTAGCAGAAGGATGGAAGGGGTTAGCTTGATTGTTGTTCAAACATTGCAATATACTAAACATTATAATCTGTCAGTTTCCAGTTCTGGTAAGAGTTAGCCCCATACCCTGTGAAAAGTTAATTATTTTAGAAACCACAGTAAAAAAAAAAAAAATGTACAAAACTGGGACCTCTGCTTCAGATGACACCCAAATATTTTCAAAATGTTCTCTTTCCCTAAACTGTGCTGTCACTCTTTCAGGCTAACATTTTCACATGCTTTTTTTTTTTTTTTTTTTGAGACAGAGTCTCACTCTGTTGCCAGGCTGGAGTGCAGTGGCAGGATCTCAGGTCACTGCAATGTCCGCCTCCCGAGTTCAAGCGATTCTCCTGCCTCAGCCTCCTAAGTAGCTGGGACTACAGGTGCACACCACCACACCTGGCTAATTTTTGTATTTTTAGTAGAGACAGGGTTTCTCCGTGTTGACCAGAATAGTCTCCATCTCTTGACTTCGTGATCCACCCTCCTTGGCCTCCCAAAGTGCTGGGATTACAGGCGTGAGCCACCACGCCCAGCCACTTTCTTTCTTAAACTAACACAAATGCTGGTTTCTTTCTCTACCAATACTTCGCTTTTTCCCCTCAAAACTTGCTGGTGTGTGTTTAAGTATACTAGGCCCCAAGTACTGTGTGGAACTGTGTGTGCTGTTGCTGTTTTAAGTCTCAAAATAATGTACTACTCAATGTCCTCTCACTCTGTAGTTTTAGAAAAAGCAAATTACCTTGTATTAAAAAATTAAGATAAATTTTATCAGCTTCTTTTGGAGGCAAGCATGACAAATGATCCAGCTGTTGGAGTTTTTGCCCCTCTTTTCTTACAGTCGTTTTTGGTTACATTTTTTTGATACTTGACATTCAATACATATGATTTAAAGTATAAAATAATATATTTTTAACCAAAGAAAGAGAGAGACAAAAAGTTTTACCTTTTTATCAAAACACCTGGTAGAAAATGCATGGGTTTTTTTGTTGCTTTTTTCCCCAGATTGAGGGTCTCACTCTGTCACCCGGGCTGGAATATGGTGGCACTTTCTCGGCTCACTGCAACCTCCACCTCCTAGATTCAAGTGATTCTCCTGCCTCAGCCTCCTGAGTAGGTGGGATTACAGGTGCCCACCACCATGCCCGGCTAATTTTTGTATTTTTAGTAGAGACAGGGTTTCACCATGTTGGCCAGGCTGGTCCCAAACTTCTGACCTCAAGCGATCCACCCATCTCATCCTCCCAAAATGCTGGGATTACATGCACTTCTTTTTAAACACAAGCAGCGTTAGGCACTTGGTCTCAATGAGGGTATACTGCCTCCTTTAGCCACATAAAGAATCAGCCATGAATAAAAACAAGAGACTGTGTTCTCTCAGCCACATGAGGAGGGAGATTGACATTTAGAATCACTGTTGCAACCTTAATGTTGTTACACTCGCTTCCTTTGTAAGTGACCGGTTTGAATGCAATGGCTGTCAGTCTGTTTCATCTTCCCCTGCCAACATCTATCTTGTCAGAGCTCATAGAAGCTGGCAGGTTTGACGCAGTGAGGGACAGGGAATGAAGAACCAAGGGACAGTGCTTTTTGGAGGAACTGCGCACCTACCCACGTCAAGTGTGGCCCCATCAGTCACCTGTGAATTCCAGCAGCAAGACTCTGATTAAATGCCCAGCACTCAAATCCTGCATCATCCTCAGGTCTCCATAAATGAATCAGTGCCTGCAAAAATTCTGAAATCATGGCCTTCAACATTTTTATTCTTCCCATTTATCCCCTCTATGCCTAGTGAACTTAGACTTAGAGTTTTCCAATGCATTGCTAATTTTATGATCCTCTTTTTAATAAATGTAACATTTAATGCAATTTAATTTTTCACCTCATTTGTGCCTTTATTTCTAAATGCTTATTACATTTCCCATTACAAAATACTCAGTGTGATAAATTTGGAAAATAAAGGAAAGCAGGAAGAAGAAATGTTTAAATCACTGCAAGTTCCACACATTAGAAACAATAACTATTGACATTTTTGTGTACTACCTTTCACAGTTTTATGCATAGATTTATTGTTACTTAATGTGGATGTCATCAGACTATAATTTTGCCTCCTGTTCTTTTATTCCTGATTATAATATAACTTCTTCCATATTATTATTACAAACTCATTATAAACATTATTTTAATGACTGCATAATTATGTCCTATAACTTACTTAGCTATTACCCTATTGTAGGACATTTAGACTATTTCTAAAGTTTCACTGTGACACATAATACTGCAATATACTTATTCATAAAGCAGGCTCAGTACTTTGGATTTTTAGGATAGATTCCCAGCAGTAAAATTGCTAGATGAAAGTATTTAAAATTTTCAATAGATCTTGGTACACACTGCCAGAATGCTTTTCACAAAGATTGCCTGATGATATTTGAATATATCTGTAGAATTTCTACATTAAAAATGTATAATTCGGAATTTATATTTGTGCCAAATATGTATCCCTATTATTATTTTGGAAAATATTGCCACTATAAACATTTCATTGATTAAGCCTCCATTATGGCAGTTCAAAAGAAAAGAAATACAATTAAGGTAGAAATGCTTTAATTAGGAAAATATGTAGATAGGTTTTATTGGTTTTGCTGAAGGCACAACAGGGCACCTGACCTAATTATTTCCGGTGAATCCTATTATAAATATTCCACTTCCTGAAAATCATCCATCTATTTGTTCATGGATTCCTCTGTTCATTTGATTGGCAAACAGTCATGGTATAATGATGTGCAGACACCATGCTGCGTGCTAGGAGATATGCACCCTGTGCCCTTCCTTCCGTCCACTGGGGGAGTCTGAAACAGACATTAAGGCCCTCGCCAGCTCCAGTACAGTCCCGCCATAGATGTTTGTGAAATGAGGTAATTACCAAATATAGATATTCATAGTACAACAAAGAGGGGTCCTGTCAGCAGAGATGGACAGCTCCACTCTGGATGCAGGATTATAGGAAGCTGAAAAGGAAGCTATGAAAGTGTCACTGTGTATTCCAGATAAAGTATAAAAGGGTAATGATGCACTTCCTTGCCTAGATTTACACTTCCTGAAACGGAGATCCTGCTTTTAGAAATATGAGAAGGATCTGCCTTTTTCATCCCTATAGCTTTTCCTCCATTCTGCTATGAATACTTGAGCATCCTTATAGTAATCATTCTTTTGAATTACAGATAAAATAAACAATTTTTTTAAATAGAAATTCTCATTCTGTTCTGAGATCACAGGTCTGAGTGACAATTTAGTAGAGAGGACAGTCTACTCAGTCTTCTATACATTTTAGCTATTTTATCTTCCCTCCTGAGACATAAGCTTGACGCACCATGGTGGGACATGGAAACACCATTCCCATCGAACGCCCATGACCTGCTCCCAAGCTGGCTTCAAGGGCCAGATCATTTTAGGTGCAGGAGGGATTCTTTTCTTTTCTTTTTTTTTTTTAGACAGAGTTTCGCTCTTGTCGCCCAGGATGGAGTGCAATGGTGTGATCTCAGCTCACTTCAATCTCCGCCTCCTGGGTTCAAGCGATTCTCCTGCCTCAGCCTCCTGAGTAGCTGGGATTACAGGCATCCACCATCACACCAGGCTAATTTTGTTGTATTTTTAGTAGAGACGGGGTTTCACCATATTGGCCAGGCTGGTCTCAAACTCTTAACCTCAGGTGATCCACCTGCCTTGGCCTCCCAAAGTGCTGGGATTTCAGGCCTGAGCCACTGCACCCGGCTGGAGAGATTCTTTATTGAAACCTTGCGATGAGGCTAGGCAGATGCTCCCTCT
This sequence comes from Homo sapiens, assembly GCF_000001405.40. Lineage (NCBI taxonomy): Eukaryota > Metazoa > Chordata > Mammalia > Primates > Hominidae > Homo > Homo sapiens. The sequence goes on along the minus strand of NC_000002.12, from coordinate 5,833,755 downwards.
CGTGGGTTGAATTGTGCCCCCCTCACCCAAAAGATATATTGATGTTTTAACCACCTCACCTGTGAATTTGACTTCATTTGGTGATAGGGTCTTGAAAGATGTAATCCAGTTAAAAGGAGGCCATTAGCATGGACCCTAATTCAATAAGATTTGTGTCCTCATAAGAAAAGGAAAAGAGACACAGAGACACAGACACACATGATGATGACCATGTGATAATGGAGACAGAGATGGGAGTGATGCATCCACAAGTCATGCCAAGGTTACTCCATCCTGGGAGGCTAAGAAAAATGCACGAAACAAATTGTCTTCTAACACCTCTGGAGGGAGCGCAAACCTGAAGACAACTTTGGGTAACGATTCTTGCAGCAGAGGAATAGAAATTTGATATCAGAGACTGGAAAGATGGAGACTTGAACCAAGCAATGGCAAATTGGTTGGTAAGTAACCATCTGTGGTAACTTGGAAGGCAAGCCATGTACAGATTCAGCTTATAGCTCCAAGCTACGCGGTTGGAACTATCAGAGCATTTGTGCATGCTGGCTATTACTGGCTGTGTGCACAAGGTATTACAAGATGAAGGCGAGCTCAAGAAAGAACGAGTCAAGTGATGGATGGTACATGTATAGGAGTGAGATGGATGTGTACATGTATATCAAACACAGTAACTATTAATGGTAGAATCTAGGTGCTCAGTATATGGGTTTCCACCACAGGATTCTTTCAACTTTGCTGCATGTTGAAAAAAAATCCATAACCAAAATATTAGTAAAAAGAGAGAAGAAATTAACCAATTTGCAAGACATACATGAAAGGGACTCCAGAGAATCCAGAAATTCCAGGGTGGCAGGTTGGAAAAGCTCACAGCTTCCATGTCCTAAAACATGAGAGATGGAATTTTAAAAGCAATAAAATCACAGAAAAATTTCTAAATTGAATACTGTGACTCAGGGGAAAGACCAGATTACAAATCTATCTTAATCTATCATGGAAATTATTCTCAGAGTAGATTTATTAAGTTAAAGAGAAAGGCATGAGGGTAGCAGCAAAATAAAATAAAATAAAATAAGCAGAATTGGAATCTATATCTTGGAAGAATAATAGGCATAGTTACTGACAAATGAACTGATTAATAGATAAATGAGGAAGAAGCCAACTAAATTTTGAGACCATTAATCACCAAGGAAACCATATATCTATTTTAAAAAGATGTTGATTATTCAAGACCTTAAAAAAATTTCTTGGGCCCCCAGTCTTTCACCAGTCACAGGTGGAATTTGGAAATTCTAGAAACCCCAAGAAGGCATTCTCCCAACATCATTTCAGGTGTGGCCCAGAGGAGCCAGGAGGAGAAAGAGTTGTCCAGAAGGCAGAACCCAGACCCTTGAGAATAGCAGAGGATGGAATTCCACCCAGGAAATAAAAAGATGCCTTAATCAAAGGTAATTTTCTTCCTCAAGCTGGGTGGTCTTCACATCTTCTAGTGGGCTCTCAGTCCTCCAAAGCCATGGCAGCCGTGTTTCTCCCACCCCTCCCCTTCCGATGGTCCTTTGTACTTTGGTTATCCTGTCTTTCTTTCACCATTGTGTATGGAGTATGTTGGGACAGGGAGCAGACAATTTGTGTTTTCAGTCTATCTTTTGCCAAAACAAAAGGAGCCCATCTGGGCCTGATGGAAAGGACTGAGCATGCTGCTGACTGGATGGAAAGTTGGGTTGTTGCCTTGCGGAGGGAATTTGTGTGTTCTGTGAGTGGCAGCAAGAGTGAAATTGTGGCCAGAGGGAAAGATTGGGGTAGGGACTAGATTGCTGCTTCCATTCTCAGGCTTCCCTAGGCACAAACGGTGATGACATTTCTAAGCCTCCTTTACATTGAGGTTGGAGCTGTATGACTGGGTTCTAGCCAGTGAAATGTGGACAAAAATAACCTACACCATTTCTAGGCCTGGCAGAATGGTCCATGCTTTCTTTGCCATCCATTCTGGTGAACACGGAAGGCACATATTGAAGGAAATTATGTCACAAGAGAGAAGGACCCTGGGTCCCTGAGTCACTGCTTTGAGGAGAGCCACCCAGAATCTCCACCAGCCGTACATCAGACTGTTCCGTGAGCAAACATGAACATTGTCTGCATTAAGATGCAGTGTTTACGGATTCCACAGCATAACCTCGCCCAGATAACACAAGCCACGTACTCCCTCCTTTAGCTTGCTTGTGTTAGCTCCTTAAGTCTCCAGACCTGCTCATACCTATCACAGTCAATCACAGATGTGGCTCTTGCTGTGCCCCCAGACGCGTGCAAATCATTTTGGGCCTGACTTGATCCAACAAGGAGATCAGCTTAGCCTGGCATGACTCCAGCCACACAGATGCGATCTCACAGGAACCCGATGGGGTCACTATCACTACTGCCACTTTTAGACATGGTGCTTAGGACTCAGAGAATTTTACTACTTTTATTATTTACTTTGTATAAGATTCACAGGTCAGAGTGGTAGGCCCTGGATTAAATTTCAGGTACACCTCACGGCAAAGCTAGTGCTGCCTTTTTTCTATTGTTCTAGAAGAGTCCAACTCTGTAGATTAATATTGACAATGCACTTCAAACCTCCATGCAAATCCTGGTTTCCTCTGAAAATGTGGCAATGACTTAAAGTTAATTATGGCCCAGCCCATCATTTCATCATAATGATTGAACAAAAGTGTACACATTGTTTGAAGTACTTTCAATAAATGCTTCTTGTTATATGCATCATAACTATTTTTAATTTGCTCTTTGGCTCTGAGCCAGTTTCCTAAGGTGTAAAACATTAAACACTAAAAAGATGAGTTAGAGTTCCTAGAACCTTTCAAAGATTTCAAAGGATAGGATGTATGTAAACAGTTGCCTGTATGCAACTGGCTGCAATGCCATATTTGATTAAGGGAATCTATAACATTCTCAAACAAGGCCTGACCCTAACAGAAATTTACTGGGAAATGGAGGCAAAAGGCAGGAGAGGATTTGTTCTGTAAAGAGAAAAATAATGAACTTGAAATCGTAACAGGTATTTTTTTAGCAGCTGGATCATTTTTCGACGCATGTCCCATATACTTGTCCACTAAGGTGGCTAGCCTTGATTCTGTCATCATTTGTCTGTATTGTTCTATACAAGAGTTGGGGCTCAATGATTTCTTTCGAAAATTATGATGTAGAGTAGAAATTGGAGTTGTCTCCACTCACAACTCAAATCTTTTATGTGTAACTCAGTCTGCTCATCCTGCCATTGCAATATACCATGGACTATGTGGTTTCAACAGCAGACATTCATTTCTCACAGTTCTTGAGGCTCGAAAGTTCAAGATCAAGGTGCCGGCTCACTCAGTTCCTCTCGGGCTCTCTCTTCCTGGCTTGCTCATCCATATATTTTCTCTGTGTCTTCATACATTGGAGAGACAAGCGAGCTCTCCTCTCTTCTTCCTCCTGTAAGGATACAAATCCCAACATGAAGCCTCCCCGTCATGACCTCATCCAAATCTACTTTCCAAAGGCCCCACCTCCAAATATCATCATATTAAAGGTTAGAGCTTCAACCTATGAATTGTGGAGGGGCATAAACATTCAGTCCATAACAATGTCTAATTTTACCATGGCTCTTTTCTAAACAAACAATTCCATAAGCCTATTTTCTACAATCATCAGATCACACAAGGAAGAAACACACTGAACTCTTGATGAAAAATGCTATAAACTACCTTATTATCTCTAGGCAATCACCAAGTCCCATCTTACCTTAAGTCATCTTAATCTGCACATACATCCTTTTGAAGTTCAGGTGGAAGAAAAAAGCATGATGTGGAGCTATTTTTGCCTGGCCATTCCAGCAGAGACTCTTCTTTGCAGCATGAACTTTTGTTATTAATCTTTAAAAAGCATAACCAAAAATCTATTTGAAATTCTTATCACTTAAAGACCTTTAAAAATTCTGCCTCTGTTATTTGAGTTGTTAAATCCCTGTGGCTTGAAATTCCATAAAATTGCTTTTGCATTATGTGTGGAGTTGTCATACTTTAACAGTTCAGGATTTACTGCTTCTTAATGTCATGAAGCATCAACAGGCAAGAAGTTGAGATGCCAGTTCTTGTCTCTCTCATCTCACAGTCACTTAACTCCTTTGAGGACAGTATCTCTTATTAATTAAGTACAGCTTGCAGGTACCAGCCTGTGGATTTCTGAGGTCATGGGACAGGCTCATGCAGATCTCAAGTTTAGGCCTAAAAGAAGTCAGAGACTTTTCCCTGCAACACAGTCCCATCTCTCTGAGTTCATCTCCTTTCTTTCAAACTGCACCCCACCTATAGATAATTCTTAAGATATTATAACACATTGCGTCTAAGAAAGGCACGCAGAAGTGCCCTGGCTGTGAAGGAGAGGAGATGTCAGCTGTCCCTAATGGTCCAAACCCTCTCTCCAATGTCAGAGTCCTGGAATACCCAACTCTGGACACTTTCCTTATCTGTCCAAGGAGATGATATGGAGACCTAATTGGGTGAGTTGTTTGAAGAAAAAGGAAGATAAACGGAAAAATCACACACACAAAAGTCTCAATGATTTGGGCAAAAAACACAGCAACTAAAATCAAATTCTGTAGGCTACCTAGCCTCATTATATTCTGGGCTCTGATATCTACAATCTACACCTGAGACTCAGTCCTGAATGGTCATTGCCAAGGTGAAAGCATAGCTCTGAGGCCCTGAATAGTACCCAATGACTCACAGGTTTCCTGATTGAAATATCAACGTAGGCTCCAGGCCCACCTACTTAACATCCTCTCTAAAGTAGCCAAAGCACCATAAATTAGAAGAAACCAGGAAGTTCTTAAAAACAGCACAGAAATTCAGAAGACTATTGACGGAAACCTTAAAAATTTGAGGGAAAGAATTTCCAACATAGAATCCTACACTAACCTCTAACCAAACTGTCATATCAAATGCAGACTCTTGAAAAATGCACTCTCATGCATCCTTTCTTAAGGAGCTATTAGAGGACGGACTTTAGCAGAATAAGAAAGTGAACCAACAAAGTGGACAGCACAGGATGAAAACAGGTGATCCAGGAGAGGAGAGAAGCAAAGGTCACAGGTGAAGTGTGAGGCTCTTTTGGAGATCAGCAAGCAGCCATCCTCGGGGGCTGTCAGATCCAGGAGGGTCAGAAGAAGGAGATACCAAAAAGATAAAGATAATGGAATACCTAATGTGGTTGAAGGAGTTGAGAGATTTATATTCTAGAAATAAGTTTGGAGCTGAATTAGCAACTTGCATAGACAATTAAGCAAAAGAAAGAAAAGTTATTAATTTGGGAAGCATCATAAAAATGTGGTCCCTGTATTGTAACTCAGCTATAAACAATGTAGACATATTAATGCAATCACTGAATATTGACTTAGGTAAAAATAGACATTTTAATTACACTGGGGATTAGGAGATGGGAACTCCATGAGTGGAAATGTGGAGGAGGAAATTGCTAATGCTTTTTCAAGTTCCATAGTGACAAGTCACTGGGTAATATTTAAATATGGGAGAAAATCTATATAAACATGTTATTTTAGAACTATCAAATGTAAATACTAAAATAAAAATCTTATAACATGAAAGTCTTTGGAAAGCTGAAATCAGAAGTTGGGTGAACAAGACAAAGATATTTGATCAATTTTAAGTATATGTCACAATTTGGAGAAAATGAAATTAACCACTAGCCTAAAAAAACAGATAAATAAAATGAGAAGCTTAGACTAAGAAAGAGAGTAGGAAAGAATAAAGAAAAATATCTCTGTTTTAATTCTGATCCTAAATATGTAATAAAGCAGATTAGCTCAGAAAGCCTAGGCAGATAGCCAGATAGAAATATTAATTTACACATCCCTCTGCTTCAAGTTTCCTGTTTGATGTTTTTCCTGAAATGAGCTTTGCATTATTAGATGCTGTAATTGCAATCTGGTTTTACTGCTCCATAATCTACCCTCAGAGAGAGTTTCTCACAACCTCCACAGAAGTACAAGAAGCTGACTCTTCAATATAAAGTTGAACAGGAGGGTCTCAAAAGCTAGAAAAAGGAATTACTCAAAAGAACACTCGTTGGTATTTTGTTTAAAGAAGCGAATGCTAGGTAATTAAATGATGGCGATAACCTACCAGGCTTGGTAAAAGCCCTCATAAAAGGCTATTTATAGAATCTTAATTCTGAAGGGGGCTCCCTCTTCCCAGGAGTAAGGAAAAAAAGGTCCCAGCTGGCTGAATTTTTACTAAGAACACAGCACTAGCTGGGATAATGGCCAGGAGAGAGAACTCAGACCTTCTGGCTCCTGGTCTGGCTACTATAAAGAGTTTTGATCTCTTTAGCAGAAACTGTTAAGTAAATAGGTGAAAGGGCTAAAAAAAAAAAAAAAAAGAAAAAAGAAATTCAGTATTTATGATGCAATGAAAAATGGGCAAGATGGCCAGACGTAAGGCAAAGGAACCAGTGGCATCTCAGCAGGATTACTTACAGGCATTCTGACCAAAGACTACCATCCAAGAATTACTGATGACTGTGTCCTGGAAACCTCAGGGCCACACCCGTCCCTGGGACCATGGGATTACCCCTTACATACAGCCTCTGTGTGAGAAGAAGCAGATCAAGATGGTTCTATATTGAATGAATAATATATGAATACAGCTTAACATTTGTAGGGAATATTTTTGGGGAGTTAGGCTATATTCTCCTTATAATGAAATGCAGCATATTTTTAAATAGGATTTAAATAGGCTTATTTTAAATAGGCTATATTCTCCTTATAATGAAATGCAGCATATTTTTAAAATAGGATTTAAATGTTTTTAATAACAGTGATACAGACCATTCAAATTTTTTTAAGAAAAAAAAATTTTGACAGGAAAGTTTACCAGATTTTCTCCATGGAACCCAGAGTCAGGGATCCTCTCTAACCAAGGACACCACTTATTTCTTCAACCTGCCTGTCCTGGATTGCCAAGGAGACTAACTTATGGTCTTAATGGCGTATCTGAACATACACCCCCGCATCTTGTTTGCAATTTGTTCATACCTTCCACAAATAATTTTTGAGCACTTGTGATCTGCCAGCCAACTTTTCAAGCTCTGGGATAAAGTGGTGAAATAAAGAATCACCAACTTGGACTCTTGCAAGCTGGATTGTACACAAAGACCCCTGGGGAGGAAGGAGGCCGCACGCTGAGGAAACTGGAAGAAGAACCAGGGGATGAGCAGAGAAAGTGAAAGGGCTCCTGTGTTACGGTAGAAAATGCGAGCAGGAGGTGCTAATCCAGGGCTGAAGAGACAAAGAGTAAGCACCCATGGGTTCATAGAAGAAGGACTCCCTTGATAGGGTAGATCTACTCAGTACAAAGATGTTCAAGGAGCTTCTTTTCCTGAAGGGCCAGAAATATTGTGGAATCTAAAAGGAAGGAAGATAGGAGCCTTTAGCATGAAGGCTGGTCTTGCCCAGTCAGGGCCTTTAAACATCTAAAACTTTCACCAGAAAGTGCCACGTAGAAAAATTATAGATTTCAAGAAAAAGTGCTGGAGAGCTTCAGAGGGTGGTGATAGTCCTTCATTCATTTTCCTATCCCCAGTGAAGAGCACCATGTCTAGTATAGGGGAGGTGCCCAGTCAAGTTAAATTCACTAAAGAGTGGAGGTGAATTAACATAGGATAATCAGAAAGGGTTCCTTAGAGCAGGTGTCCCAACCCCAGGCTGAGGACCACTACTGGCCTGTGGCCTGTTAGGAACTGGGCTGCACAGCAGGAGGTGAGTGATGTTCGGGAGAGCATTACCATCTGAGCTCCACCTCATGGCAGATCAGCATTGGCATTAGGTTCTCATAGGAGTGGAAACACTACAGTGAACTGCACTTGCAAGGGATCTAGGTTGTGTGCTCCTTATGAGAATCTAATGCCTGATGATCTGAGGTGGAACAGTTTCATCTGGGAACCAACCCTCAACCCCTGCATTCATGAAAAAACTGTCTTCTAGGAAATCAGTTGCTGGTGCCAAAAAGGTTGGGGACCACTATCCTAGAGGGTCTAGGGAGCTCTTAATATGGACCACTGAAGATGGACAACATTTAGCCAGTGAGTCTTACTGATTCTTTGGTAGAGGCTGGAGGGAGAGTGGTTGAAGTAGAGCAAAGGGTTACAGAATAAATACAGAAATAGGCCAAAGCATCATTTTAAGGATTGGATGAGGAGAAGATTAAGTGTGGAAACAAAGTGACAGTTTCAGCCCCAGACGTTCAATCTGCCATGATTATGTAGATGAGCTTGGAGGGTCACTTGTCATGAAAGTCTGCTCTGTCACCCATCATAAAGGACTGCTGCCACTGGAAACCCTAAATGCTGAGGCCTTCCCTTCTCCCAGCTTCCTATGCCCACTCATCACCTTACAGATTTTTGCTATTTGTTATCCAAGCAACAAATAGGTGATGTTGGTGATGACTATCCAAGTAATGGACACCTTGGGCTTAACCAAGTAAGTTCTTTCCATATGACATAATTGGCCTTTACCTTAGGCATTCTGAAAACAAATTATCTTAACATTCAGGCGTTGCTCAGATGAATGTCTTTGTCATAGCAGTAAGTCAGGGAGAGGGAGGAACACATGTGGTTAAGGTAGTCCTTTGTCATTTATCAGATAGAATGATGGAAATGGAAGCCTCTGTTTTTTTTAATATGTACTTAAATGCAAATATGGGAGCTTGGGCAGGATACTGAGGAAGTAGGTCATTATCCTCTTCATGTATTCTTTCCATCTTAGTTTGCAGATTACATTCACATCTATAATCCCATTTTTTATTTATAAAAGTCCTGTGAATCCACGATGGAATAACTGAATCCAGTCTAGTTACCTCAGTATGAACAACTAAACAATCAGACAAAATATACAAAACTGTTTTTAAATATTCGACAACAACCAGCTCAGTACTCTGGTGCCTGACAGAAGGGAATCAAGTAAGGCAGCCTCACACCAGCATTTTCTTTGGAGCCACTTCCTGGTCAATGGCTCAGGAAAGAAGAACCAAGGAAGAGCCAGGTATTTACCATCTTGTTCTTCACAGGACAAGTTTGCCAACCCTTGGATTAGATTCAGAACAAAAGAATATAATTTTACACAAGGCTGTGTTTGTCATTTGAGTGCAATAATAATTCTAACTGAACTGACAAGTCAGAGCTCAGCATTTGGAGTGGCTGAAACAGCTAGAAATTTTGGAGAAGAGTAGAGAGATGGGGAGCCTATGCGAAGACAGAGCTCAGAAAATCTTCATACAGATCCCCTTGGGTCTGTAGCTGACTATTGAGCTATGTGTGCAATACAGTGAACCACAAGGCCATGAAAAGAACTACTAGGGATTTATAAGGTAAACAATTTCCAGAGTTTACACAAGGCTGACATACAGCCAAACTCCATACAACCCCAGAAGTGCAACTTATGGAATGGAAAGGCATCCACTAGTGAGCCCATCAAAATCACTTTTTTTTTTTTTTTCAGACAGAATCTCACTGTCACCCAGGCTGCAGTGCAGTGGCCCAATCTCGGCTCACTGCAACCTCCACCTCCCAGGCTCAAGTGGTTCTCATGCCTCAGCCTCCAGAGGAGCTGGTACTGCAGCAGTGCACCACCAAGCCCAGCTAATATTTTTGTATTTTTCGTAGAGATGGGGTATCACCATGTTGGCCAGGCTGGTCTTGAACTCTTGGCCTCAAGTGATCCACCTGCCTTGATCTCCCAAAATGTTGGGATTACAGGTGTGAGCCACTGCACCCAACCCAAAGTATAAAATTCTAATTATGTAACTTCTTATTTTTCCTCTTAAAATCTTTGCCTGTTATAAAGGTTATCATTTGGGGGTGCGCATCAGAATCATCTGAGACTTTTTAAGGTTTGGCTGCCCAGGTGACCTCTGAGCCACCACATCCGGCCAGAATCATTGCTTAATATTAGGACTAAATTTGGCCTAGAGTCCAGGCTGGTCTAGATGCAATCGTACAAAACACAAATACAAAACTTGAAATTATCAAGATGATCTTCATAGACTTAACTGCCAATCAAAGAAGAATTCAATGCTCTTTAAAGGAAGAGAACAAAATCCAGACACTCACGACATAACATTTACAATGTCCAGAATCCATACAAAAATACTGAGCATGAAGAGAAGCTGGTGAGTATGATCATTTCCCAGGAAAAAAAAATCAGTAAATAGGAACATTTAAAAAATGGCAGAGATGATGCAATTATCAGACAGGACTTTAAAGCGGCTATTAACCCTTTTCCCATTTGCCCCAAGAATACTTGCCAGTAGCGCATGCAGCTGCAGTGTTTACCCGAAGAAAACTTTGCCACAAAATATCTCACTTTGATTATTATTTTCGTGTCACTCTAGTATATCAACTTTGAAAACAAAAGATATCATTCTATTTATAGAATTCTGTTTTTAGTAGTAGTATTTCCATTTACAAAATATAGTAATGCTTGATCGCTGAAAATGTCAAATCCTAGAAAATGCAGCGTTCCTACGCATGATGCTAACATCATTCTTGAACAGTTGTGGGCCAAAAATTCATTTGATGAATCTGATTTTTCTGAAATAGACAATTCTGATGATTCAGACAATTCTGATGTTAGTACTGTTTAGAAATAACTCCAAGAACAGTTTTTATATTTTATTTTCACATTGAAAATCAGTCAGATTTGCTTTAGCCTCAAAGAGTGTGTTTATGTAAAATTAAATGAGTGCTGGCAGTGAGCTGCACTTTTTTTTTCTAAATGGGAAAAGGGTTAAAAATATACATGAGAATTTAGAGAGAAGTATGAACATGAGGAGCAAATTTAAAAACAGTACAATTTCTGGAGCTAAAATATATTTTAAATAAACACCTTACCTAATAGAATTAACAGCACATTGGGAGTGCAAAATAAAAGATCAGTGAATTTAAATACATAGGAGGAGGAAAAAAAGCTAAAAAGCAAACTAACAAAACATTAATGTTCTGTATAGTAACCTAAAGCAATAACATATGTGTATTTTGAATCCCAGAATGGGAAGGGTGGGGAAGAGGACAGAATTTTTTTTTTTTTGAAAATGTAAGAGCTGTAAATTTTTCACATTTGATGAAAACTATAAACTCTTAGAGCCAAGATGCTCAAGGAACCCAAGTATTACAAATGAAGAAAAACCACATGAATGCACATCGTAACCAAGCTGATAAAAAATAATAAGTCCTAAAAGTAGTAAGAGTGGGAAAAAGGACCTATTAAATACTGGAGTGCAAAAGTAAGAATCAGCAGACTTAATACAAGCCAGAAGATGATGGGCTGATATCTTTAAAACACTGGAAGAAAAAAAATAATCCTCTAAACCTAGAACTTTATATATAGTGAACATAGCCTTTGAAAACCTTTCCAGGCAAAACAAATCTGAGATATTTTATCACCAGGATATCTGCACTACAAAAAAACAAAAAACAAAAACCTTTTGTGAGGCTGAAAATAAAATACCAGGTGAAAACTTGGGTTTAAACTGAGGAAGGAAGAGTACTGGAAATGGTAACTAGGCAGTTACCATTAAAAACTCCTTTGGTTTTTAATTCATTTAGAAGATAATTAACTGTTAAAATTGAAAACAATCCAAAGCAATTGTATTAAAGCATTCACAACATAGGTAGAAGTAAAATCTATGACAATAGTAGCACAAAAAGGGAAAATGGAAATACACTATTTTATGGCTCTAATATTATAAGTGAAATATTAATAACATAATACGATTTGAAGATATATAATGATTAATTAAAAATTCATATTTTATCTACTAGATTACAGGCTTTCAACTGGGGTATAATTTTTGCCCCTCCTGGGGACATTTAGCAATATCTGGAAACATTTTTGATTGTCAGGACTGGGAAGAAGTCCTACTGGCGGTCTACTGGGGTAAGGTCAGGGATGCTTCTCAACATCTTCAATACACAGGATGGCCCCCCATAACTAACAACTATTCAGTACAAAATCTCAACAGCACTACTGTTGAAGAACTGTTCTAGATCACTTGATAAGTCAATCAATCAATCACAAAAGAAAAGCAAACAAACGAACAAAAACATTAAATCTAGGAAACAGCAAGGGGATGTTTCAAGGCTTGCAATGAAGGCAGGGGTACTATCATCCCCAAGGGCTTTTTTTTTTTCCATTATAATGACAGCAGTGGGTCACCTGGGGGAGGAGGTAGGACCAGCTATGCTAAACCCCGACATGCACAAAGAATGACCGGCTCAAAATGCCAGCAGTGCATCCACTGAGCACACACGAGATGGGTCGTGGCCCCAGTTTACAAATGAAAATTGGAGCTTTAAAAACCACTTGAGATTTCTAAGAACTCTGTGAGAAAGGAAATGGTTATCCTCCCTGTTTTAGAGGTAAGGAAATTGCATTTCTAAAAGGTTACATGGCTAAGTGGCAGAGATAAAATTCAAACCTAGATGGTTATAATAGGCCTGGCCATTTCTTTCTGCTCAACATCTGAATCTGTTTTATGTATTTGCACAACTCCCCACTCTGAATTTTGGTAGGAGGCCAGGCCTTTCCACTATTGAATATGCTGATGTTGATATACCAAAATCTTGCTTTCTCAGCCTTCTGTGCAACTACCGTGGGAAAGTCATTGGCATAAACTATTCGAGTACACAGAAACACAATTTTGATTGTGATAATGCAGCAATGAAGTATAGTCATTTCAAAATCCATTCTAGAAATTTTTAAAAATATAGCTACACAGAAACATATACACAAATGCTTATAGCAACATTACTCATAATAGTCCAGGAGTGAAAATAACGTAAATGTCCATCAACTGATAAATGGTAAAATTAAATATGATATATTTGTACAATAGAATATTATTTCACAATAAAAAAGGATAAAATACCAATACATAGTACAACACGGAGGAATCTTGAAATCATTGTGCTAAGTGAATGAAGCCAGTCACAAAAAGCCCCACATATTGCATGATTCCATTTATATAAAATGTCCAAAAGAGGCAAATCTATAGAGACAGGAAGTAGGTTAGTATTAGCCTCGGGCTGAGGGAATTCAGGGGGAAGGAGAAGTGACTGCTATGGGGTACTGCGTTTCTTCTTGGGGAGTTACAGACATTCTAAAATTAATTATCATAATGGTTGCACAGCTCTGTGGATATGCTACAGACCAAACTGTACAATTGAAAGGGGTGAAGTTTAGGCTATATAAATTATATCTCAATAGACTTGTTATTTAAAAAAAAAATCAGTTTGGAAGAAGTTGGCGGCAACAGAGCAGGCCTGTGTCTGTGGTTGTCTTCAGGGCCATAGCGTCCTCACTGAGTGGGAGCAGTGGTTTTGGCCATGGTCTCAGTTCCTTCCCAGAGGCCGCCGTTCCTGTCCGTTTCCTGAACCTTGTTCTCCTGACTTCCTTGGCCTTTCTGTGCACTACTCAGGACACATTGAATATATTTCCTGTCTGGTTAAACCATGCATTGTCAATTTCTCTTGGATGCCACCAAGTACTTTGCCAGATACAGAAATTAATACCAGGCATGTTTACTGATAACAGATGTAGAGAAATAATAGGAATCAGGAATTTATATTTTGGGCTGTTTTGGTTAGGTAATAAATGTTCAAATGTTATTAAGAGAGAACTTTGGCAGCACATTAAAAAGGACCTAATGGAATTATTGATTGTAGTCACCTAGAATGAAAGTGACATTACAGCCAAGGATTTAGGAGAAATAGCAGTCACTGCCACAGATGTATTAGGTAACATGAGGAGTTCAAGTCCTCTAAGGCTGCCTGGCTTCTTTTAATGGTGCTGGTTAGTCTCGCTTATGAAAAGAAAATGAAACGTTCAGACTTGTAAATCCTTAGATCAAGACATAGGCTGAGTACCAGGGACTTTTAGTAACCATGCTGAAGGAATCACTGGTCATATGTAGCTGCAGGAATACGTGTGCTAAGAACTAAATAGCTCTAATCCTGCACGGGGTTAGTTTACCATACATTAAATTTATATTAATGTCAGGTCTCTTACTTGAACGTTGGGGCATCTGGTAGGAAAATATGGATGCCAAGGATTGGGATACGGCCATACAAAAGAATATAAAAAATTCAGCATGGCTTCCAGCTTTCCCCTTTCCTAATACTTTCTTGGCCAGCCAAAGCATATTCTTCTACTCATGTAATGGGACTATCCCTGCATACATTAAAGACTCTGAGGAAAGCTCACCCAAGGAAGGTCATTTACAAAGGGAAGCCACTTTGTCTCATGTCCCAACATCACAGTACTTAAGGTCTACAAATCTCTAGCAACAGTCAGACTGGAACATGCTGCAGGACAGGATGGCTTCAAGTACAAAGTGTAGCACAGAAACTTCAGGGCTAACATAATTGCAATTCCTAGCTAATTTCTTTTGGCAATAATCTAAGAAAACTTGCCAGAATATTATCTGAGCAGCTTAGTCTAGAGGCCAGTAAATATTGTCCACGGACCAAAACTGACCAGCTGCCTATTTATGTAAGCAAAGTTTTACTGGAACACAGCCATGCCCATTTGTTTATATATTGTCTATGGCTACTCTCACACTACAAAGGCAGAGTTGAGTGGCTGTAGCAGAGATCACACGGCCTGGAAAAGCTAAAAAGTTTAGTGTCTAGCTCTTTAAAGAAAGTTTGCTCTTCCCTAGCTTAGACCAAGGAGAAGAAAATAATCTTATACCAGACTGTGTTTATCACATGGCTTCAATAATCAGAATTCTAGTTTCAATGCACTATCTAGGACAAATAGAGGTGGTTTGAATTGTTTGACTAGTTGCTTTGCAAAACTTCAACATAATTGCACCCCATTAAAATAAAGCTGAGAAGCCAGAAATTTCTTAGAAAAATGAAGAAGGGCTAGTGAAAGACATAGGGTGGCAGGATGTTTGGCAAAGATGTATCACATGCACCCTACCCACCTGCCATCTGACTGTCCACTACTTCCTCTGCCAAGGCTTTGAGAAAGCCATTGGTTATGGTAGCACCAGCATCTTTGAAAATTATCCTAGTGGCTGTTCTCTATAGATCTGCCATACACTTCCATGGGGGAACAGAGTGTATATTATTTAGATGGTCACCAAAATCTCCTATTGTAGATGAGGCTTTCAGTGTACTTGGGAACAATATGATCTCCCTTGTAAATATCAAGCAACTAGTTCTCCCGCTGCCCAGTGATGGCCCAATAAGCTGAAGGAAAAGGTGACTATTGAGACATTGATGGAAGGTAGTTATGAGTGAAGCAAAATAAACTCCCCTTCCCTAAAGCTGACTTGAATCCTGCTCTTTGGGGTGCCTAATTTGCCTTGAGCAAAGATGAGCCATGAGCAAACACGGAACTCCTTCTTACTGAAAGGGCAGTGATTTGTCTTAACTTAGATAGATGCTTCATCTGGATAAGCATGTACTTGACTTTTTAACATCACTATCCATAAATACCTGGACATTCAGTATATCGTCAAAGTCCACTGAAGTTTTCTCAGTCAGTTATAGCCATTTGTAAGAATTGCTATTTCATGCCTTACTTTTGCCTAAGATCCTTAAAAGAACAAAGAGAAACTTCACTCATTGTTCAGACAGAAAAAAAAAAAACACACATTCTACTTTGCAATTACCATATGGGTCCATTGGATCCTTTTATGAATCTAAAATACAATATTAAATCTTAGGGGTTTTTTTACAGTATGAAACATTTTGGTGTTTTACCATCCTAGGATTACTTCCTCACTCATCAATTATTTCCAACTATGCCAAAAAAAAAAAAAACCCAAGTGATAAGAAATCAGAAGAATAATGTGATCACCTAGAAGAATAATACAATGAAAAAAATTGTCGTCTTTCAGATGTTTTGTTTCTCCATTTCCCAATGATACCACCTTTCAAGAAAGAAAATAACACTGGAGATTCTGTTTTTGCAGTCTGCTAATAACTTCCATTGAACTTAGCCAGTAATTCAGCATTGTTCCTTTTTGCCACAAGTGGTCGTCAAAAATTAGAGTCTAAGATTTTACCACACTTGCAAGCTACCAAGTTGGCTCAGCACAGTTTCACAGCTGTTCGTAGAAGATATAAGACTCCCATGTCTGAGATTTTAAAAACTATTCCTCAAAGTGCAGAAAGCAGTGTAGGCTTCATGACTGTGTTAGTTCCCCTTGCTGCAGGGGATTCCAGGTGTGCACTGTCCCAGCAGTGCATCTGTGCCACAGCTTCAGAGCCTCAGGCTTCAGGAAACCATATACTTTATAATGGGCTACAAGCACACCCATCCTAGGCCCCAGGGAGAAATATTACCTTTATTATACTGGATAGTAAAGATGAACTGGCACATAAAGACAAATACCACATGATCTCACCTATATGAGGCCTCTAAAATAGTCAAACTCATAGAATTAAAGAGTGAAATGTGGTTGCCAGAGGCTATAAAGACATAACCTTAGGCTGGGTATAGTGGCTCACACCTATAATCCCAGCACTCTGGGAGGCCGAGGCAGGTGGATTGCTCAAGCTCAAGAGTTCAAGTCCAGCCTGGGTAACATAGAAAAACCCCTTCTGTATTAAAAATACAAAGAAAAAAAAATTAGCCGGGCATGGTGGCACGTGCCTGTAATCCCAGTTACTTGGGAGGCTGAGGTAGGAGAATCACCTGAGCCCAGGAGGTCGAGGCTGCAGTGAGCCAAGATTGTGCCACTGCACTCTAGCCTGGGTGACAAAGTGAGACCCTGTTTCAAAAAACAACAACATAAAACAACAAAGCATACTTGAGACTGGGTAATTTTTAAAGAAAAGAGGTTTAACTGGCTCATGGTTCTGCAGGCAGCACAGGCTTCTGCTTCTGGAGAGGCCTCAGGAAACTCACAATCCTAATGGAAGGTGAAGGGGAAGCAGGCACACTTCCCATGGCTGGCAGGAGAGAGAGAGTGAAGGGGAAAGTGCTACATATTTTCAAACAACTAGATCTTCTTGAGAACTCACTCACTATCAGAAGAACAGCAAGAGGGAAATCCACCTCCATGATCAATCGCCTCGCACCAGGCCCCTCCTCCAACAATGAGGATTACAATTTGACTTAAGATTTGGGTGAGTACACAGAGACAAACCATATCCCTCACATAATGTCCCCAGGGATAATTTAGGTATCATATATTTATTCACAATAGCCAAGATGAGAAAACAGCCTAAATGACCATTGAAAGACAAACAGATTTGAAAAACGTGGTATATACGTGCAGTGGAACATTATTTAGCCTTAAAAAGAGGCAAATGTAACAGTGCTTCTGCCTTGAGATGAATGCTGTTTATCTGCACTGTCCGTAAAGTATCCACGTAGGGCTGTTGAGGACATCAAATGTGGCCAGTGTGACTGAACAACTGAATTTTGAATTGTATTGAGTTTTAAGTCATCTCAGTATAAGTAGCTATATACAGCTAGTAGCACAGCTTTAGACTATAATGCTATATAATCAGGACATTGATTATATAAATGAAGTCTGATGCTACAGGCTTTCAAATGGAAATAAACTATCATCATTGAGTTGCTCATTAGCAACAAAGACGTCCTCAATCTTGATTTTGTGGCAAGAACCTGAACCATCCCACTTTGACTGAAGGACATGTGACAGTAATCCTTTCTTTATTACAATGTTTGTGTGCTGAAATTCACTTGAAACAAAAAGGTAGGCTATGTTTAGATTCTTATAGCATTTTCTACTAATTTTTTTACCATCCTACTCTTCTTCTGTAAATTCTCCCTTCTGATTTCAATATACATATATATGTTTTAAAAGTTCTATTGGCTCAGATGGCAAATAGTAATGGCTGCTTTTCCTGGTTTCTGGAGGATTTAATACCATCCGCGTAGATCACACAGCATTTCTTCAATCCACTAATTTAATCTCTGGTGAAAGATATAAAGCACTGGGTTAATGCTCATGGTATTATTCACTGTAGTACCACATACTCCATGGATTTGAATGAATGACTGAAGTTGAAAACCTTGTGAGGTTGGAGAGGGTCTCTCCTATACAAACAATATTCTCTTTCTCCCACACATGGTTCTAGGAAATGGAAAGGGGACCTTTATTATTATGCTCAATGATACACTCAAAAAAAAAATTGGATGCCACACCCTGTTGCTCTAGGTTCTGTTGGTGTCAAGATGTTGGTCCCCGGGAGAGGAATGTTTCCATAAGAAACAGCAATAATATGACTAACGAGTTTGTGGTGAGGCCAAACACTGGAGGAACTGGGCAAAAATGAGGTTGCTGTGTTGGCTGAGTAATTGATGCAAGCTATCAATCCAATGCCCTATCAATAGATTCCCTTTCTGCTTGGATCAGTAGGAGTTGTTTCCTATTGCTTTGAAGAACCATGATTGAAATAATCTTCTAAAGCGAAACTCAGAGACTTTTTCACTGCCAGATGTTGACCGTCAGCCACCAGCGAATAAGAAATGGCAATTAAAATATTCATGCTTTTACAATATATCCTACATGTCTATTGAGAGCATGTCTTTTTAAAAACCTGAGCTCTACTTGTAATTTTGCCTTTTCCATATTTATTTATTTATATTTATTATTTTATTTATATTTATTGTAAACCAAATGTCCCAATTCACATTTACCTTTCTTCCTTAAAGATATGAAATATTTTTCCTGCTTTACGTCTAAGTCCTTTTCTTTTGCTTGTATCTTTCAAATCAATTTCTTTAATCAATTGATTATATAAACAGAGTTTTAAATTCTCTTTGTGTCTATTGATCTTTTTTTCAATCTTCCACCTATTGATCAAAGCATTTGATCAATAGAATAAAGTTACAATATCACCTGCCATATCCCATACTTGGGCACTTTTGCTTAAAGAAGAAGAATGCAGAGGTTTGTTTTTATTCTCAAAATGATTACAACCTTAAATGCTGCATTGGATATGTGCATTACCTTATCCGATAAACCTTATGAAATCATCCCTCCCTCTGTTTTCCAGGCTGTCTCTAGGGTTCCAAAGCCCAGCAAGGCTGGACATTAAATTAAAATGATTTGCTATTTACACAGAGCCTTTCATTTTCTAAGCAGCAAGCTCAGTCTTTAACCTTTTATTTACCTCCATTATAACACTTAGCAAACTGTACTAGGTGCTTGCTTTTCTATCTCATTATACTGTGCTCTCCTTAAGATGCTCAACATATGTGATGGAGCAATGATGTATAAAAAAGAGAGAATAAATAGAAAGAGAGAGCAATGGAAAGAGGAAGGAAGAATTTATCATAACAAAATTATGACCTCTGTTCTGATCCAGTTACATTTAAAAGCAGATAAGAATGCTCACACTATTTTATTCTAATACTTTCACGAATACTGTTGTGTCCTTCTTTCAAATAGCACTTATCTAAAAACAATTGGGCAAATATTACGAGAATATTGGTTGAAGGGTATTCATATTATTAGCAATGATGTCATTCTAGCCTTAATTTCTCTAAAGAATATGGGTCAAGAATGTGCCAGAGATGGCCACTACTAGTGCCTAATGAATTTCATTGTCCCCCAGAAGGCAGAGTTGGCTGAGACCCACATGGGCTCCTTTACTGTGTGCTCGGGTGTGATTCTTTCAGCAGGACTGCTCTGAAATCTCAAGCCCCACAGAATCATCTGGAGATTCTCGGATTGAATCTCAAGTTCCCAGTTTGTAGTGAATGCCTAAGAGTTAATAGTCGCCATTCTGGAAAAACACTGACTTTTTGCTTCATTCATTCATCCAGCCAGTAACTAAGTTACTAGTATATGCCAGGCACTGTAGAGTACTGAGTAGAAGACGCAAAACTTCTGACTTCTTCAAGTTTCTCATAGCTTGCATTCTATGGAAAAAGATAACCAATAAGCAAAATGTAAATCAAATATATGTAATATTAGATGCTGATTATTTCTATAAACAAAAATAAAGCAAGAAAGAAAGTCAAGGAGTGTGTGAGTTTGTGGTAAGGAGAAGTATAAACAAACAAAGTAGTGAGAAAGGGTACTATATTCCTGTTGTACTCATGTAGACTATACATTATGCATATTATATAAATATATACATATGATGATTATATATGCTATGTGATTACATGTAATATATGTGATAGGGTATATTATATATGGCATATAAATATGTATGTATACTTTCATATAGATGAAAAATATATACATAATATACTATATAGTCATATATGATAATATATACTATATATTGCATATGTACTATATATACAAGTATATATTGTCATATATATGATAATATATACTATATATAATGCTATACTACATATGATATATATACTATATGATACATATACTATATATGAGATTATATATGATATACATGAAGATAACATACATATGAGGTATATGTGAGCTATATATATAGAATTTACAATATATATTATTTATGTATTATATATCTGGAATACAATAAACACAATGATGTCCAGGCTAGGTTTTCAAAGATTCTTAGTCGAATGGGGGTAATGACATGTACAGACGAGCAAGTCCTAGTGTGCAAATCACACTGAGTTGGCCAGGGTGTAAGGGAACCAAGAAGCAGGCCCCTAGTAACCTCCACAGGCTCTGTGTCCTCAAGGACGGCAGAGATTCATTTGAACTATGCATAGAGACTCAGGAGTTTCTGAGTTATTCTGGAGCAGTATTTTCCATACTTCAGGTCCTGATCCAGGGGGTGATGAAATCAATCTTCTGAGTTGTGACCAGACTTCCTTAGAATGAAATAAAATAAAGTACAATAGAAGAAAAGAGAGTGAAAGAGAAAATACTAGAGTGTGGTGCAAGATTGTGTGCGTGTGTGTGTGTGTGAGTGTGTGTGTGTGTGTGTGTGTGCGAGAGAGAGAAATATTTGTTTGCATTTGTGGACAGTAGGTTAAAATGTAAATGTGAAATGTGTCCTAGTCTGGATATGTCAAAATGAGTTTATAATCCAATGTTCTAGAACACATGGAGGCTAACTCCAAACGTTAACAATGACAACAAGGCAGTCAGAGCCCTGGAGAGAGATGCACTCCTCAACATTGCCTGTTGCTGAAGATTCAGAACTAGCAGCAACACCAAAACAAAAAGATCAAGCTGGGGTAACCTGGGAAGGATGCCTCCTCCCGCTCCCTCTCCTCCTTATCCAGGGTCCCTTCCAGCTTCTCCAGGGTGCCTTCCAAGGTCCCTTTTAGCTTCTCCAGGGTCCCCTTCAGGAGTGAAGTGGACTGGGTGCACAGCCTGTGCTCCACCCCAGGAGCCTGGCAGTGCTGAGAGGAGAGTGTGTCACACCCCACGGGAGGGACCTTTTGCCACTGGGGACAATGCATTTGGGACACTTATCTATCAGCAGGAAGTTAAGATACCCCAGCTGGGAACAGCTTTAAAAGTAAAAAGTTATCTATTATGACATCCGAGGGGATTGCATCAATTAATTCGTTAAATCTATTGGTGCTCCTGGAACTTTGGAGACTTTGTGTACAGTGGAGAAAACTCTGGACATGAGTTACTTAACCTGGTTTTGAACCTCATTCCTGCCTTTAGAGATCTAGTGTGTCTGGGCAAACTACTCAAACTCTCTGGGCCACACTGACTTTATCTTGTAATGTGGGCAGTAATAACTACTTCCTAAGATCTTTATGAAGATTCTCTTAAAAGTAGTGTCTATAAAACTCCTGGTGTAGTGTCTGGCAAGCAGAGGTATACTAATTCAAGTCCTGATTGAGTTATTAGGGCACATTATCTTACCAAAATAGTAAGTGTTAGAATCTTACAAGAACTCAGAATCAAGGTTAAAAAGGAACAAGAAACACCAACCGTTCAGGACAAAGACTCTCGATATTATTTAACTTGAAGGTGACATTGTAACGAGAACTTCTCAGCTGGAGTTAATTGATTTGAACAATTCAAGTCCACCAGGCAAATCAGCCCAGGACAGCTTACCACGCTGGCCGAGTTAATTTTTTTTTCACATAGTTTTTGAACGGCTGCGATGTTAAGAGGAGACCAAAGGCTGTGAGGTGAGTAAAACCTACCTGATCTCACTGTGAATATTCTATGCTGAGGGAATTGCCTTTGTTGCTACCAGGGTTTAAGCAGCATGGTGTATTTAGGTCACATTCAGGGAGCCGTATTTCCCCTGCTGCGGTCATTGTCACTAGAAGTTGGCATATACACATCTCAGCAAGGACAGTCCCTGTCATCCTAACACACGATTCAAATACTCATCCCTGCACGATGTACTGACCAAAATACTTCTGTGTCTGTTACCCCATTTAAACTTCACAATTCATCTTGCTGTGGGCCAGATACTGTGCTAGGTACCCAGAGGGTCACTGGAGTTGTGTATTTTTTGCCTCATTTTACAGATGGAGAAAATAGAATTCACTGAATGTCAAGGGACTTGCCCAGGGACACACAGTGTGTAAGTGAAAGATTGGGATGTGAATCCGTGTCCTGATTTCAGGCTAAGAGCTCTCAGGTGTCATTCTTATATACCCAGAGACAAAATAAAGGCCAGACATTCTTCTGGATTTCTCCTTTTTGTTCCTACAACTTGACAAAATAATATGTTCTCCAGCAAAATGATAATACTTGATATTTCCTGGAAACATTATGCTATGTTCTTGTCTCATTTTTTTTTCCTGATCCAGTCCCTTTTTAGGAAATGTTTTTATATTTATCTTCTCCGTGTGAGTTGCTACTCCTTCTTTTCTCTTTCAAGACCCAGATCGGAAGCCCTCCTCCTCCAGGAAGACTTTCTTGATCCTCCCAATTGTACATGTGCTCTTTCTTTGTGCTCACAGAGAACCTGACATTTCTCTCACATCTTTTAACAAATTATGTTGTCATATTTCTATTTTGCAGTGTGCTTTCTCCATTACACAGTCACCTAATTGAAGATTGGCCCCAAATCTTATTTATCTTGGTGTCCTATTGGCTAATGGCCATGCCTCACACATAATAAGTATTGAGAAAATGATTGTTGATTAAATGAATGAAGGTAAATTATGTTAATCAGTCTGTGAACATATTTAATATAGAAGTCAACTAAGATCAAATTATTAGAGGTACATTAAAAATGCAAAAGGAAGAGAAATAGAATTTATTGGTTTGATATTTCATATCAGCTTGGACTAGAAGAACACTAAGATTTGTTCTGAATCAGAAAGTCTATGGTTCTGTGATTTTTGTCAGGGGGCAGTGCTGTGGTTTGAAAGCATGTTCCCTCCAAAATTCATGATGAAACTTCATCCGCACTGTAATAATAAGAGGTAAGGCCTTCTGGGAAGGACTAAACCGTGAGAACTCCACATTCATAAATAAAGCAATGCCATAAAAGAGGCTTCAGAGACAGTTCACCTATCTTGCTCTTCTGCTCTTCTGCCACGCCACACAAGGACACAGCACTCCTCCCGGCTGAGGAGGCAGAAACCAGGTGCCATCTTGTCGGCAGAGAACAGGCACTTTCTAGACATGGGACCTGCAAGCACCCTGAACTTGGAATTCCCAGCCTCCACAACTGTGAGAAATAAATTTCTGTTATTTATAAATTACCAGTTTCAGGTATTTTGTTATAGAAGCACTAATGGACAAAAACAGGAAGGTTTTTCTTCTGTGTTATAATGTGGTGGAATTGAATTTCTCATCATTTTCAACGGAACTGAAGATTCTGCCTTGTTATTTGATGGAGTTGGCCAGAATATTATAAATTATGGAAAAACAGGGCTGGTTAATTTATTTCTCTGTGGTATAAAAAATGCTAGCATCTATAGCATACATTTCTGAAGTTACATTTTGGGGGTTTTGTAATTTTTACTTTTATAAGAAACTATCACATGATAAATAGTTCATATAACATGTATTATTTAAGAAGAACACTGATGGGCATGGTGGCTCACTGTAATCTCAGCACTTTGGGAGGCCGAGGTAGATGGATCGCTTGAGGTCAGCAGTTGGAGATGAGCCTGACCAACATGGTGAAACCCCATGTCTACTAAAAATACCAAATTAGCCAGGTGTGGTGGCACACGTCTGTAATCCCAGCTAACTTGGGAGGCTGAGGAAGGAGAATTGCTTGAACCCGGGAGGCAGAGGTTGCCATGAGTCGAGATCGAATCATTGCACTCCAGCCTGGGCAACATGAGCGAAACTCCATCTCAAAAAAAAAGGAAAAAGAAGAAGAACACTAAGTCTCCAGAGTTTGAGAAATACCCAGCACGGAGCTTGAGAAATGAAATATGACCAATAATTTGGAAGCATCCTGGTGCTACTCCCCAGTTGCAAACTCTAACTTCCCCTCAGAGAAAGGTTGACACATCATCAAATGTAAATTCAAATTTCTTGCTTTCCTTCAAAATTTTACTATCTGCCATCCTACTATCTCCCCAATTGATCTATTGTTTAATTTTGCATTTTCCTCAATTGACTGTACTACTTGTATTACTCTGCAATTTACCTCTTTTAGCCAACATGGTGTGTTTGAGCTTCATCCACACTGATATGCTCAGCTGGGGTTCCTTCAGTTTTCCTGACATGTAGGACATGTAGTTTTCCTGTTTGGCCATGGTGTCACAATGCATTCATGCAACAGTCCATCAAATATTTCCATTAATGCTTCCATGAACATCCTTGTTCATGTTTCTTTGGCACGTGTGTAAAAGTTCCCAGGACAGGCTGTGAGGGGAGGAATTATGAAGCTCAACTTTACTAGGAAGTGTCAGGACAGCCTTGCAGTGTGATCATGCCATGCTATACCTATAGCAGGTAAGAGAATTCCCATGGTTACACAACCTCCTTGACATTTGGTATCGCTTGAATTTATTTTTGCACTCTGGTGGTTTCAGTGTGGTTTTAATTTGCACATCATCATTATGGTTGAGGGTGAGCTCCCTGCTGTGTAGATGGAACAGGAATGAGACCCTGTCATGTCAGTGGCCGTGGGTTGGGGTCCCCTGTGTCTTCTCATACTTACTTTTATTGGTGGGAAGATGTGAATGAGAATGATCCCCCATGTTATGAGGTTATTGTGAAAAGCAAAGGCAAGATCACATGTAAAGCACATAGAATACAGTAAGTGCTTGAAAGGTAGCCATCATTCTTTCTGGTTGCTGTAATATTCTGTCACATCTCTCACCGTTTACTGCATTCTCCTAACTCAGGACAAGCATGCCTGATGGACTGCAGATTAGATATCGAGGATATATGTTTCAATGTTGACCATCTACTCACTGATAAAGGAAGTTTCACCAGTTATAGCTTCATCAGTTCAGCTGCAAACTGGGAAACTTTTAAGAGAGGACCCTCCTTGGCAGAGGAAGGATTAGGCTGCTATCCATTTCTCACCTAATTCTCAGGGCACAGATAAGAAATAAAGGTCAAGATGGAAAATGCCCTTCACTCAAGAGGAGGAGGTGGTGCACGGTACCTTGACTGACCTGCTTACAGGCGAGGTTACCTTGTGCAGTAAGCCAGGGAAGATGGAGATAGGCTGGGCCATGGCCAAGCAGCATGGAAGCTTTGCACAGGTGGTCAGGACCTGGTGCATTAAACTCAGGGGCAGGCAGAGTTGGATGGAGGGGCAGATACTGAGTTCACACAGCAGGGCAGCAGTGGACATCAAATTCCTCCAGAGTCCAGCTTAAGAATCTGACTCCACTGGAAATTACCAAAGTCAGCAGAGACTGACCAAGGTAAGGCTAAAAGTTGGTGGGGAAATGATGTCTGCATCCCAGCTATGTGTCAATTACCTTCCTAAGCCCTGGGAATATAAAACTATCTTGGTCCCCACCACCTGGGACTTAGAATTTAACAGTTTAATTAAACGCAAAGCAAACAATGGCAAACAGTATAGCCCACATTTACAACCACATGGTGTGATAAAAAAAAATGTGGAGGATTCCATAAGGTTAGAGAAGAGATACACGATCTGGGGAAGCACTTTCTAAGAATGGGCAGGAAGAAATCACATGTCATGCATGGGACGCAGAAGGAAGCAGCTGGTGGGCACCAGTCAAGGGAATGAAAACAGTCAAGTGTCAGAGAGGAAACAGCAAAGGGAGCTCAACATTCCCAGAGGCTGGCAGGTTGCTGAGGCTGGATCACAGGGAGCCTTGTAGGCCGCTCAAAACAGCTTGGACTTGGCCAGGTGCAGTGGCTCACACCTGTAATCCCAGCACTTTGGGAGGCCAAGGCGGGCAGCTCACGTGAGGTCAAGAGTTTGAGATCAGTTTGGCCAACATGGCAAAGCTCCTCCTCTACTAAAAACACAAAAATTAGTCAGGCGTGGCTATGCACACCTGTAGTCCCAGCTACTCGGGAAGCTGAGGCAGGAGGATTGCTTGAACCTGGGAGGTGGAGGTTGCAGTGAGCCGAGATCACGCCACTGCACTCCAGCCTGGGTGACAGAAAAAGATGGGGGTGGGGGAGGTGGGGGGAAGCACAACGACAACAACAAAAAAACAGCTTGGACTTTATTCCAAGAGAGATGGAAAACCAAGGGGCTTTTGAATGGAGAAGGCTCATGACATGGCTTGTGTGTTTAGGAGAATCCCGGAGCCCAAGTGTGAAGAGTGGATTGGTGAGAGGCAGGGGTGAGTGCAAGGAGACCCTGTGAAAGGCTTCTGTAGCAGTACAAGGGGTGCCTCATTGTAGCCTGAGCAACAATGTAAACAGATGGTAAAAGTTCCACGTAAAATCTCAGATAGTCCAGAAAAGGTATTATGAATGCAGACTGTATTCTGCTGCTACTTAAGCATTAGATTATTCTTGTATTATAAATTTTCTATTTTTTTTTCTTTTTTGAGATGGAGTCTCACTCTGTCACCCAGGCTGGTTGCCATGGGGTGACCTCAGCCTACTGCAACCTCTGCCTCCCAGGTTCAAGCAATTCTCCTATCTCAGCCTCCCGAGTAGCTGGGATTACAGGCAACTGCCACCAAGCCCGGCTAATTTTTGTATTTTTAGTAGAGACGGGGTTTCACCATATTGATCTGGCTGGTCTCGAACTCCTGACCTTAGGTGATTCACCCACCTTGGCCTCCCAAAGTGCTGGGATCACAGGCATAAGCCACTGTGCCCGGCCCGTATTATAAACTTTTAAGATGAGGAGACTTAAATTACTCATGTTTATGAGTTAGAATCAAATCTTCTTACGCGTGTGTATATGAGAAAAAATTGAGGAAAACAGGACAATCAAGGAGAGGGCATTAGCCTGGCACGAATGAGCACAGGCTTTCAGTTCTGACTGCTACGCGTTTTCTCCGTAACTTGAAGTACGTACTTATGCTTTGGCCCTGGTTCTTCTTGTTTGAAATGATAGAATTTGACTGCATTTTTTTTTCAGGTTTCCTCCAAATAAAATTTAAATATAGGTTTAGAAACATTAATTGTGTTTGTTTCAATGTAATATAGCATTGAGGGAGGTGCTTTTGTTTTCCATTTGAAATTATGAAGTACTACTCTAAGATCACGAGAGCACTTATGAGTTTTTTTATTGTAAAATCTGAGCAAAATGCAAAGAGTATATCATTATTTTAGACAGTATAAGAGAACATTTCAAGCTCAGAATTGTACTACTAATAATACACGCTATGATAAAAATATTTCTCTGTGTTTGGTAATATTATTCATAACTGGACACCCACAATTTCTTTAGTCCCAGACCCCAACAGTCAGCATCCAAGCATACGGATAGAGGACACTAACTATGCAACAGAATTTCACAGGATTTTTATGCACATGGTCCCCTGTCACTCCTATACCAGCCACCCATGATAGTGGAGCAGATGCTACTACTCCTACTTTATGGAGAAGCCAGCTGATGGTCAGCAGGAGATGAGGTTATTTGCTTTGCTCAAGGCTGGGGAGATGAGAAGTGGTAGAGAAAGGCATTGGTTCTGAACCCAGCGCCCTTTGCAGGAATCCTATGACTTTAATGATTCCACTGGCAGAAAAGGGCTTCAAAGGCATCCTTAGAAGAATGAACCTCACTCTTGCAGATGCACAGACATACATACCCCAAAATTTGCCAAGAAATGCAAGCAATGATTAATCTCCTTGTCGTTGAGAAAGTCAGAATGGTTAAGTGACTCCAGCAGATGAGACCCTTGGAGAGGAATCTTCTGGAACTCAACTTGAACTAACAACATCCTCTCATTGTCCCTGTCACTGACCTGGATATATAAGACATTTGTAGCACCTCTATGTTCAGAATGCTCCACATAAGATATCAACCATTCCAGATTCTAGACATTTGGCTTTTCTTGACAGCTTGTAGTAACATTCCACATGACTGCAGATGCTGGCAGGGAAAGCCTACCATGGAATATTCATTGGTAGAGGGCAAGCGGAATGAGGAAGACAGAGCAGGGTCCTTTGAGAGGAGCTTGAGCAGAGATGTGGATGGAGCCAGGATACAGAAGCAAGATATGAGATTGGTGAGGGGACAAGCTTCAGGGTGGCAGAATGAGTTTACATGAGAAGGCATTGAACGGAAAGGGCTGTAACTGGAATAACAGGTGAGCAATGACAGAAAATGGGAAGAATGTTAGCTGCTGGGGGGCAAAGATGGGTTCTTGTAGAAATTAGAGAAGTACTGGTCTCCATGAATAATAACCAATAAAGACAGAAGAGCATAAAATTGGAAAGAATTATACTAACTGAATTTGACCGACTCAATAAATAAAACGTCTGTACATCCTGCCCTCCCTTTAAGATTGCTCCGAGGATAAAACGGTCTAATATATATAAATAGGCTTTGCATGCTATAAAACATCATGTGGCTATAAGGTATTATGCTTGAATTTCCTATAAACTACTTGGTTTCTTCCCCATTTATTAAATTATACTATCACCGAAGGTGTTATGGACATCTATATTTGCAGTGCAAACTCAGAGCAATCCCACTCCTGGCTCTAGAGGGAAGGCTCTGCTTATGTGAAGGACTATGGCCCGGGAAAGAGTGGGTTGAGTTGCCTAAGCTGGGTATGAGGAAAATGCCCCAACAAGGAAGACAAGAGTGATTCTGAGTAAAACTCTTATTTTCCTCAGGTCCATATTTCATAAATTAATATCTGAGTCTTTGGAAAAGCAACCGTATGTTAAAAACAAAAAGAACTGTTTGAGTAAAATATCTGTGATATGGGATTAAGACATTGAGGGCACGAGGCAGGCCTGCTTGGCGGACTATGTAGTGGGGCAAGGAATGGTGGTGCCCAGGATAGGGTCACAAGTGGAGCTTGCAGCTGCTTGAGTAGTGGGCCAGCCAAAACTTCGCGGGGAGAGGAAGAAGAGCACAGAGGTCAGAGGGCATAAGCACGGAGACAGCCTCAGCGGCTTCAGCAGTGAGATAGGGATACCTTCTTCAGCTGGGACAGTGCCTCTGCATCCCACGGAGGAGGAGGGTGCCCTGTAAAGACCCAGTTTTCTGGGTCAGTGCATGTAGGGGATCCACATGGAGACTCTCAGGATTTGTTGAGGACAATTGTGACTGTGAACTGGAGTTTCAACAATTCTCAGAGAGTGTAAGAGAAATCTGTTTTCCAGCTCTTGTTTTGGCTCTCCAGGCTGAAAGGGGTATTCAAGATTTTTGCTCATTTGAAACCTGGCAAGACAGGTTTCCCTGTCTTGATTTTACGTGCTTGAGGCTTGTCCTTCATGCTGCCCATTCACATTTTATCCATTCAGACTAATCACGTTAGCTCAGTTACAATTTCCCTGGTCAGCTCAGGGCCGGTCTTGGCTCCTTCCTCAGCCCCCGTTAAGCTGTCTTTTGATCAAACACCCGGGAGCTCGTGGAGTCATACAGGAGTGTGTAATCCATGACTTCTCCAAAAAGGAAATTGCTGTTGCCTGCTTTCTTTCTGACTCATCCCTGCTGTTGTCAGATCTTCTCATGGGGGATTATTTTTGCATTTATTTTGGGTCTTCTTTGGAGCGGACTAGTAGATGCCAGTCCCTTTCTCATATCCTACTCCCCAAGCAGCCTGAAATACTTGGGATTCCCCCACGGGCCAGGCCTCCTCTTCTCATTGTTCATGCTGCTCCATTCACCAGGCTCGTAACTGGTGGTCCTTTTTAGCTGAGTTATTGTCACCTCTGGGAAGGCATCCTGACGTCCCTCCCCTTTTCTCTCAGTGGGGTTTAATGCTTCCCTAAATGTCCCCACCTCACCTTTAGGAAAATA
This sequence comes from Homo sapiens, assembly GCF_000001405.40. Lineage (NCBI taxonomy): Eukaryota > Metazoa > Chordata > Mammalia > Primates > Hominidae > Homo > Homo sapiens. Next base: position 5,803,455 of record NC_000002.12, on the reverse strand, counting down.
TTTATTCATTAATCTTTCACTCATTTATCTATTTAATCACATATTTACGGAGCACTTACCCATGCTAGACTGTAGATATAATAAAGGAAGCTCAGCTCCACCTCCCATAAATTTCAAAGCTCATTTGTTCATTCTGTAAATATTTGCTGAGCCCTCCCTTTCTGTTAGGCACTGTCCTAGCCTCTAGAATGGAGCAGTGAATGCAACATTCTGTCTTCATTGACAGGAAAAAGAGGTTAATCAAAAAAGCATAATGAGGGATATGTGATGATCTCTCATTGATGAAAAGTAACATTTCTATGAGATCACATTCAAATTTTATCTGAGAAGACGATGCTTGAGTTGCTGTCAGAGGAGACTAGAGTTAATTAGAAAACATAGTTGGGCTAGGGAGGAATGCCATGTTCAAAGACCCTGTGGTGAGAAGGCACCAATACATACCTGTGTAACTGAAAGGGGTTTGTAGAGGCCTGGCCGGGGCAGAGAAAAAAGAGAAAGCAGAGTGGGAGGCTGGGAAAAGCAGATTCAGCAAGCACACACTGTCTGGTAAGGAAATTTATTTTCACCTTAAGATCAGTGAAAAGAAAAGAGCTGTCTTGCTGCAATAAAGAAAATGAACTCCAAGAACCATGAGAAGAAGCTGGTGTATTCATCTGTTCTCATACTGCTAATAAAGACACACCCAAGACTGGGAAAGAGGTTTCATTGACTCACAGTTCTGCATGGCTGGGGAGACCTCAGGAAACTTACAATCATGGTGGAAGGGGAAGCAAACACGTCCTTCTTCACAAGGTGGCAACAAGAAGAAGTGCCGAACAAAAGGGGGAGAATCCCCTTATAAAATCATCAAATATTGTGAGAACTCACTCACTATTACAAGAATAGCATAAGGGTAATTGCCTTCATGATTAAATTACCTACTACCAGGTCCCTCTCATGACACATGGGGATTATGGGAACTACAATTCAAGATGAGATTTGGATGGAGACACAGCCGAACCATATTAGCTGGCAACCTAGTCATAGTAGAAATACAGGCAAGAAATGACTGGGGCTTATTCGGGGTATGGCAATAGAGAAGAAATATTAACAAGCAGAATTGGGTAAAATTTAGATTAAAATTTAGAGCACTCAGCTTTGGATTACATGTGGGAGAAGCATAAGTAGGCATGTCACGAGGATTATTCCAAAGTTCCTGGTTTATACAATTGGGAGATAGTGCCTCTGCCATAAAGACAGAAAACGTGTACTAGAACCAGGTTTAGAAGAATTTAAAGTGCCATGTTGGATGTGTTGAATTTGAGATACGCATGAAATACTGAAACTTAAGTAGGAGGCTGAGTTTATAGATCTGGAGACTAGAGAAAAGATCTTGGCTGAATATACAAATGCAAGAGTCAGTGGTTTATATACAGGATTTTAAGTGTCAGTAAGGAGTCAGTGTCACAGCGTAGAGACTCTTAGAATGATCTACCTCTACTCTACACCCTGTACTAACCTCTGAGATGATTGAAATCAGAGATCAAATCGTATTCATCTTTGAATATTCAGCTTCTAGTACAATGTATTCATACATTGAATAATAAATAATAAATAAATTATATAAATAACAATTCACAGCCAGGTCCTATATCAATTACTTCCCAAATACCTTAGTCCTCAAAGCCACCTAACTTCACCATCTTTTTCTGAAGAGGAAATAAACTAAAAAAGGTAAATAATTTGCCCAAGGTTAATACCTAGGGAATGGCCAAATTGTAATTCAAAATAAGGTATATCTAATGGCAGACTCCATGCTACAACTACACTCATCTATCTCTGTTGTAATGGAAAGGAGTCAGCAAAACAAAGAAAAATCCAGGGACAAGTCTTCCATTGACTGAGGTACCTTTGCTAACAACCAGCAAAGAAAGCCTGAGCCCTGTTCATGACTGAATCAGGCCAGAGGTGGCCATATTGGTTATAGTCTATTAAATATCAAGTCCATTTGTTCTCAATGAAGTCATCAGCAAGTACTGATTTCATGCTTAAGAGCTTCAGTTAAAATCAACTAGTTTTATGGATGTTTAAAAACAGCAAGTTTTATGGACTTTTCCTTTAAAGTTCACCTGCCACTGAAAAACTTTAATCCAGTATTGGCTTTAAAGCAAGCTTAATTCAAAAGAAACAGACAAAGAAAACACTGATGGAAAACACCATCACCTTTTTCCTTGTTCTGATCATGGTTTTGTTTCACACGTCATCAACAAATTGCTCATTTGATTGTGTCTCTCTTTTATTACTTCTACCAGTACTCTCTTTCCCTGACAAATTAAAAAATCAGATGGAATATGAGAAACAGGCTTTGAATCTGGTTCTGGATTTCAAGAAAACTCACTTCTTACCAACTGGGTGTCCTCAGTAAATTTTATTCAATTTTTTCTCCTTTGTTTCTCCATCTGTTATGGAAAAATAAATAATAACTGAGCCCGCAGAGAACTGGATACAATATATATAAATCAGCCAAGACAGCATTTGACCTATAGGGTAATTCACTAACTGATAGCTGTTTTTACTATGCTTTTCAAGGATTAGGCTTCTTGAAATTGCTATGGTGGAGTATATTATTTTTCTCCCCCAAAACCTTCACAGCTAAAGATGTTTTGGGCAGATGTTATTATTGCTTTTGTAATAAGAATCTGGATTAAAACAAACACTAAAAAATGAGAATTACTTGTAAGTAAATGGTAGATTGAACACACACATATCTACTTTTGTTCCCTCCCATCCCTCCACTAAAATTACACTTAAAATAGATTTTTAAAGCCATAAGCCTACAAAAATGAAGCAAATGGAAGAGGAGATAATTCTACATTTTAGTAGCTGGAAAGCAAATGGATGAGAAATAACTGACTTAGCAGATTCAAAAAAGCCAAATCCTAAACCTGCAATGGGAAAAGCCAAAAACTAACTTAATTGTACACTGAGAGTCCCCAGAAGGCTCACTAATTCACAGGGCCAAGTGTTTGTCCTCTCCATGCCTCTGGGAAAATGCCCGTCTCTGCCTTCTCCCCCATGCCATGGAAGACTGGAGGATTTTACTCTTTGAAGCTGACAAAAGGAAAAATCTTCGGTTGGCAGATGCACCCTCACATAAAACAAGAGTGCAATGTGGACGTGCACCTCCTGAACACAGGAGGCTCCATCCCTTCTGTGCTCCTTCAGCTGTACTTCTCCAAGCAGAAGTCTATGTCTTTTCAAGAAACCTGAAGAGCCTAAAAAACAAAAACATAGAAATATTGACTTTGGGGGGTCTTCAAGCAATGCCTCAGCAAGACTACACTGTGAAGAAGCTCAGCTGTCACAATCTGCCCAAGAACCCAACGTATACACTCAGGTTTTTAATATCGTGACTTCAAAAACATGCAGATGACCAAGGATTCCTGAAGAAATTCCCTAACCTGAAAGAGATGAAAATACCTAGCAAAAACAACTTAGAGGAAATAGAGATGGTGCTGAGAGAAAAAATAAAAACAAACTATATTATTGGAAGATATATATATTGGAAGATAAAGTTGAACAGAAAAGTAGAAAAAATAAAGACTTAGGAGGTGAATAATAGGAAGGAAGAGAAAATCAGAAACAAGTCCAAGAGGTACAATGCTGGGAAAACAAGAGTTCCAGAAATCAGGAATAAAGAATATGGAGTGTAAGAAAACATGAATACAATTATTCACAATAATTCCTCAGAACTGCAAGACATGAGTTTGCAGCCTGAAATGGCCCATCAATACCCAATTCAAGGGATGAAACCAGATCTACACAACATGAAATTGTGTGATTGGTTTATGGTTCTTTTCCCCTCCTCACTCTTGTGTTAGTTCACTGTGGACAGGGAAACCTCATTGCTCCTTTGACTTGGACTTGGCCATATGACTTGCACTGAGCGATGGAACACAACTGGGTTTGATATACCCTACATCTGGCCAGAGGCTATAAGTGTGCCCATGGTGTTTGGATGAAACTTAAACACTCTTGCCTGGTGCCCTGAGAAGTTTACCCTGCAGGTAGCAAATGTTCCTTCAGCCTGGGCTCCAAGCTGAGAAATGCAATGCCTGAACTTGACCCATAAATACACACGGAGCCAAAGCAGTTGACCTGCAGAGCCGTGAGTGAGAAAAGCCACTGACATTCAGGGTCATTTGTTATGCAGCATTATTGCAACAATTATGGTCTATAAATCCACCAAGAAGCATTAATATCAATTTCAGCAAACTAGGGACAAAGAGAAGATCATAAAAATGTTCACAGAAAAAAAGCAGTTCATACACAAATAATTAAAACATCAGAATAACTTCAGATTTCTTTAAAGGAACCCTGATGCTAACCAAAAGACAATGAATGCCTTCAAATTTCTTTTCTTTTTTTAAATTTTTATTTATTTTTTATTTATTTATTTATTTATTTATTTATTTATTTATTTATTTATTGATATAGAGTCTTGCTCTATCACCCAGGCTGGAGTGCAGTGGTGCCATCTTGGCTCACTGCAACCTCTGCCTCCTAGGTTCAAGCAGTTCTTCCTGCCTCAACCTCTAGAGTAGCTGGGATTACAGGCCTGTGGCACCATGCCTGGCTAATTTTTGTATTGTTAGTAGAAATGGTTTCACCATGTTGGCCAGGCTGTTCTCAAACTCCTGACATCAAGTGATCTGCCCACCTCAGCCTCCCAAAGTGCTGGGATTACAGGCATGAGCCACCTTGCCCGGCCAAATGCCTTCAAATTTCTGAAGAAAAAAATATTTCCAACCTAAATTTTATACAGTCAAAGGATGTTTCTGACATGCTAGGTCCCAAAACGTTTACCGCTCATACTCACTTTCTTGGGAAGTTGTTGAGGAAAGCAAAAATAAAATAAAACAAAAAGGATAATCTGAAATAGAGAAAAGAGGAATCCAATATGAGAGAAGATAAATGAATCTCTAGGATAATGGTAGAGGGAGATCCCAAGCTACTAACTCTTCTCAGGCCTGGGAGCAAACTGCCTGGGGAGCTGTGGCACACAGGACACCGACACACTGAGCAGACTATGCGCATGCCTTTTGCTTGATGCCATCCCGTTAACCTGATGATGCAACTGAAAAAATGCACCAACAATATAAATCAGACAGCAAAAGAAAGAAGACGTAAGACTCAGAAAGCAGGGATCTGATTCAGGAGAAGGGGACTTCCTGGGATGACTGGGTGGGAAGTCCCATGATGAGGCTGCATGGATGACCTCATCCATGAGAAACCAATCCTGGAAGACAGGCACTGGTGATCTCCCTTGTGTCCCAGGAAGGAACATATGAACTGATCCTTTACTGATGCAATGAACCTTATTGAAAACCAGAACAAAGAAGATGTGGAAAGACTGAACAAGGGGCACAAAATTCTAAAGAAATGATAAAACAAGATACTTGCTAACTTCAGGAAGAACATTTTTAAAAATGTAATCATAATACCCTACAATGCACAGCTATATATAATATTTGCATAGCATAATAATAACACTGATATTCATTAAACTAACATTTTTATAATTGCTATTTAGGAGGATTGGTGAAAGAAGATGAGGGAAAGGGAGTATAAGAGGATTAAATTCTTATCTGTCATGATAGGAATTAGATAATATTTAAAATTAATGAATCAAAAGATAGTAGGCATATAAATATTTTTTCAAGACCAAGAAAAAGCCAAAAAAGGTGAAAATGGTTGCCTCCGATAAGGGAGACAAGATGAAATGGGAGGCAGTGAAACAAGGAAGTGTTATATTCAATCATAGAACTTTCAGTAATATTGAATAAAATGTTATTTTTAATTGTAAAACTAAAAAGACATTTCAAAGATCAAGAATTTAAAAGTACATATGACATAGTGTAATGAATCAATATTCAGTCTGGAAATTTTTATCAAGCTGTGGATGCTGGATGGTTTGTTTTCATTTGTCCACTCTCTTACAGCTGAGTAAATGGTGGAACTAGCAGGAGAACCCGCTTGCCACCCTCCTCAGCACAGGTAGGTCCCCCCATTTCGCAGAATATAGGCTTGCTTGGAGTGAACAGCCAGGGCAGTGCCCCCACTTGGACTGGTCCGTTCAGTGTTGGCTTTGGAATGGTTAAACCAAGGACACAAGGTCGAGGTTTTCACCTATGGATTGAGCTCTTCGGCTTCATGGGGCCTCAGAAATTCCCACTAATCCCAAGCAGCTGCCTTGCAAATGTCTCTTGAGTTCTTTATTAATTCTCTCATGAAACAAGCAGTTATTCAGCACCTGCTACTCTTAAGGCACTTTACTGCATATTGGGAATTTCAAAAGAAGCAATGATTTGGATGCGAAGAAAAGGGCATTATTTGTGATGATTTTCTGTGAGAATAGGGGAACAAGATCTTGAAATTGATATGTCATATTCAATTAACAAAATGATTTTACATCTACTATTTCATCTGATTTTCATCAAAAAGGCTGTTTAGTATATATCTGCTATGCTCCTTTGATACATGAGAGAGCTAAATCTCATGAAAATTAAGTAGCTTTGTGAAGTTCGTAGGGCTCACATAGAATGGATCCGAAGCTTCAAATTCATGTTTTCTCAGGCCAAGTCCGGGAGTTTTAAAATGACATCATACTGCCTTTGAAATTGACTCACTCACTTTCCTCATTCAACAGATCTGAAAACAGAACGGATGTAGCTTGAACACACAATGAACACAGAAATCTAAGTCTGTCTGATGAATGCCCACACCACCAGCTCCCTTGATCCCTATCAGCTCTGCTCACTGGTATCTTCAATGATCTCCCAAGACTGACTGTAAATACCTTCGCTGGGCACTGTGGCCACCTCCAGCAATCCTTCCCTAAGTTAAGATCATGACAAAAGTATTAGTTTTCTAGCTTCCCCATTCTTCCCAGAAGAACTTAGCATGGCTGAATGGGCATATGTGTGACCCAAACTGGTAAACTGCTGTTGTGATTAGATGCATGTCTGTAGTACGGATGGCTGGGCCTGCTCATCTTAATACTCCTTTAAAGCTTGATGTTTAGATTCATTAAATTGGGCAGCTCTCCAATAAAAATGCTTTTACACTGTTGGCGGGAGTGTAAATTAGCTCAAACCATTGTTGAAGACAGTGTGGTGATTCCACAAAGAACTAAAACCAGAAATACCATTTGACTCTCAGCAATCCCATTACTGGATATATACCCAAAGGAATATAACTGATTCTATTATAAAGATACATGCACATGTTTGTTCACTGCCACACTATTCACAATAGCAAAGACATGGAATCAGCAAAAATGCCCATCAGTGATAGCCAGGATAAAGAAAATGTGGTACGTATACACCATGGCATACCACACAGCCATAAAAAGGAATGAGATCATGTCCTTTGCAGGGACATGAATAGAGCTGGAAGCCATTATTCTCTGCAAACAAACGCAGGAACAGCAAACCAAACACTGCACGTTCTCACTTATAAGTGGTAACTGAACAATGAGAACACGTGGACACGGGGAGGGGAACAACACACATTGGAGCCTGTCAAGGGGCTGGGGAGAGGAAGAGCATCAGGATAAATAGCTAATGCATGTAGGGCTTAACACTTAGATGATGGGTTGACAGGTGCGGCAAACCACCATGACACACGTTTACTTATGTAACAAACCAGCACCTTCTGCACATGCATCCTAGAACTTATATTAAAATTTTTTAAACAATCAAGCAGTTCTCTGAGCCAGGCACCTATAAGACTTACTGAATCGAAAGATGAGTCCAACTCTTTCTTTGTCTTTATCCTCCAGGAGCTCACGATCTAGAATGAAGAACAGAGAGGTGATTTCAACACAGCGTGATAGGTTATATTCTAAGGACACAAAGAGTCTCATGTGTGTATAAAGATTGACAGCAAGAAGAAACAGAATAACAAAAGGAGGAATGCTCATTTTATCCAGTTACTCCTTGTATATTTGAACTCTGTCACTAGAGATTTTACATTCGTTTTTAGTATCTATCATTCTAAGTGCATTTATTTTACCACATGGCACTTGTCAAAGTACATCTATATATTTATTTGTGTTTATTTGCTGAATGTCTTTCTTTTATACTAACTAGAAAGCTATACAAGGCAAGAATTGTGCCTATTTAATTATCTATTTTATGTAACCTGAAGGCTTACTTAGTGCCTGGCACACAACTGATGCTCAATAAATACGTGTTAGGTAAAGAGATGATTAAGGGCAACTGTGTGTGTTTATTCTTCCTTGTGAAAAAGCACCTTTTCAAGCCCAAAAATTTTGACTCTAATTATTAGGATTATGAGTTAAATATTTCAATTACGGTGTGTTACTTTGTTAGAAGACAATCACGATGTAGTGAATAATGAGGCTAACAGCAATCCTCAAAGCTTAATTTTCAATTAATTAAAAGTACAATTTGTTCTCTGAATGCTAGATATCATTGTATGCATGGTGAGTCCATGTCAATTGATGCTGTATCTGAGTGTAAAATGCTGAAGTCCTTCTGGGCTGATGTTGAATTTCAAAATATGGTAAAACCAGTAACATGGCATCTCTAAGAAGGTTGCCTTACCGGGTGAATCACTCGAGGTCAGGAGTTTGAGATCAGCCTGGCCAATATGGTGAAACCTCATCTCTACTAAAAATACAAAAATTAGCCAGACACAGTGGCACATGCCTGTAGCCCCAGCTACTCTGGAGGCTGAGGCACAAGAATCACTTGAACGTGGGAGGGGAGGTTGCAGTAAGTCAAAATCACACCACCGTACTCCAAGCCTGGGAGATAGAGCGAGACTCTGTTTTGTTTTTGTTTCTGTTTTTTTTTTTTTTAAAAAAAAGTTTGGCTTACTTACCTCCCCATACACAGATACACAGGCTGGCCTAATCATTTTTTTAATTCTCATGACTGTTTCAAGGGCATATGTTGCTTTTCCACATCCCACGGGAGCAGCTGTCTAATAACCCCGAAGCCTCCTTGCCTTCCACCCACCGAACTCCAGCAATCAATAAGAAGATTATATCAACCTGGCCTCTGCTAAATCCCAATTTCTACAAAACAAGAAAGGAGGCTGTAGTGGACCTGATCAGATTTCACCTGGATATCTCACAGCAAAATCTAAGCTGCTGGGGAGGTGGGCAGTTTTCCTCTGGAGAGAAGGTGGCTCTGGCAATTCCTCTGGGCCCTGTCCCTGGAATGCTACCCCACTGGCCACACCTGCGTATCTAGATTGAACTGACGGCAATCTAGTGACCGTGGTGAGTGATGAGCTGTGCTCAACAGCATGACCCTGGCCAACACCGCCCCAGAGTTCCAGCGCAGGGAAATCCACTACCTCCCCAGCGTGAACTGTTGATCTGTTCAGAGCATTGGCTTGGCTCTAGTGGGGTCTGAAATAGACATACTGTTGAAGATACATTATGGAAAAATCAGAAGAGAAAGATGCTGAAAGAGAAAAGGGCTTTTAAGGGGATAGGAGCAGGAGCCTAAATCTGATTCTGAGAGATATCTATTTAACCTAAACCTTAGATTTGTCAGCTCCCCTAAATCAACAAATACTTACAGATGCCAACTCTGAAGCAGGTAACTGCTGGAAGGAGGGATACAGACTCCAGTAAGATGCAGTGCTGACTTCTTGGGGGTGCCAGTCCAGCAGAGGACGCAGGACCACACATCACCACAAAACCAAGGGACCTGTGCACAGTGGAGGAACACACAGGAGCAAACAGCCAACCAGAGTTTGCATCAGGGAGGGGTGGTCAGAGAAAGCAGCCCTAAGAAAACTCTGGTCACTTCTGCTTTTAAATTTTATTTGAGATTCAGGACATGCATGTGCTTGTTCTCACTGTTAAGTGGGAGCTGAGCAGTGAACATACATGGACATAAAGATGGTCAATTCTTAGGCATATGGAAAGAGTTGCTAAGCGCTCGCCCTTTTGTGCCTGGACAGAGATAGTGCAGAGACTATGAAGAGGACCAAGGGACAGCTGTTACTGCTCATAATGAAGGCATTAGCAGTCAAGTGCTTCATGGAAAGGGAAGAGGAACCTCCAAAGCTCTGAAAAACAAGAAACGGCACAGATGCTGACTCTAGGAAGAGTCATAGGAATGCAGTGAGTCTGTCTCCTGCTCCCCCAGACATGAGTTCCCAGGGCTCTCATCCCAGGCGGTAAGTTTTCATTTATACGTGACTGAAATAAAAGTACTAGGCTTGTCCAAAGCTTGGAAGAGTCTGTGGCCATTCTCCATGTTCCAGGAGTGCCTGTGAGCCACTCTGTCCACGGCTCTCTGCTACCTGAAGCTGCACAACCCACAAAACCAAGGGATCTGTGCATAGTGGAGGAATCAGCTGTTCAAGGACACAGAGGAGCAAACAGCCAACCAGAGTTTGCATCAGGGAGGGGTGGTCAGAGAAAGTGGAGTCACTTGGCTTCTGTGACACCACGGCCACCAAGATCAGACACACACAAGCTCCAGCACGTCACACCTTCGCCTGTCCTCTGGTCAGTATCCCAAATCCATTTTCCAAAGAAGGAGACTAAGACTCAAAGTCATTAAGTACAAGTTGCAAAGCCACATACGTATTTAGTAGTATAATCAGAATTTAAATACAGCCTTGCATGATTCCAAATCTTATGTTTTTAAATGATTTTTTTTTTCCGCTAAGACCGTGCACCTTACAACTGCTTGCATATCAGTCTTTGGGATTTCGCTGGCCTTAAAGAATATTAAAAAGCATTCTTTCTCATTTTGTCATTGGATTTTTGTCCTTTTATATGATTAATTTTTAAAACTCTAGGTAAACAATGATGAAAATAGGATTTTAAAAATGCTCACTCTCAGCTGTTCTACTAGACAGTATTACAATTATTTACAGATCTGGACCTGAAAGACAAATCAGAGAGGTGATTTTGGACACTGTAAAACTAAGTACCTGAAGTCAATGAAAGTTGAGTATTTCAAGTCAATGAAACAGAACTTGAGATAAAGGAGAACATTTCATTGGGAAAATCAGGTTTCACCACATTTGGGCATCAACAGTCTGAAGCCTAGGTAGACACCCTGTGGTTATGAGATGCTTGGCTGATATGTCTTTCTTTGCACAGAGTCTACTTTCTTTACAATTTGTTTTTACTCTGAAAAAGAGAGCCACTATAGCCACTATGAACTGGAAACTCGTAGTCATTATAACCCCTAGTCAACCGAAAGATAAAATATTTTGCTTATGCTAGTTCACTTCACAGGTATACTACAAAAAGTACTAGCTTCATTAATGTTAATTTTTTTAAAAATTGCACAAAGCTTAAAAATCTCCAAATCCCTTCTTGACACAATAATACACAATATATTCCACGAGACTGAGCATTCCAGTTAAGGACCATGAAATACCATTTGGCAAGTTACTACTCTCTGTGGACAAGATGACATTTTAACACTTTACGAAAGGGAGTTCATCTCCTCCATGGAGGTGCCTGGCCACCTCCCCAGGCACTGCTTCCGGGGAGGCAGCCAGGGCCTGAGGATGGGGTCACAAAGTCACCTGTAAATATGTTCTATTGGGTTCATGCTGTTGTTCTTGTTGCTCTTGCTGGTTTATATTTGAAATAGTGAACAACAGTTGAAACCAGGCTCCTCCTGAAACACAGAAAGATCTGACGATACTGAGGCGCATCCCCTCATGGCCATCATTGCTGTCCCTGCAGGAGGCACCTGCGCTTGGGCTGTCCTCCACCTCTGATCTCCTCCACTGCACTTCCACTTATCTTACCGAGGTGGGCCTAGGGAATGCTAGTGTTTGTCACCCTGGTTAGTCAGCAGTCAAGGTCTGCTGACTCAGAGGCTGCAATGTTGGGTTTTGTACAAGTCCCTGATGGAGGATTGGTCCCTAGGCATGTGACACATAGCCTAACATTCTTCGCTAGGGGTGACAGATCTTGGGATAGGTAGAGGGGCAGGGTGTGCTGAATGAACAGGTGGAAGGCAAAAGTCCATGTTTAGATCACACAGATATTTCCTTAGCGCCCACCGTGTGACCAGCCCTATGCTAGATGTGTCCCAGCAAAGAATTACTTATCCTCTGCTTGAACACCTCGGTGAACAAGAAACTCACTACCTGGTCAAAGGACCTTTTCCCATTTATAGGCATTTAATACTGTAAAAAGTGAAAACACACACACACACACACAGCCCCCACTCCTGAGTATGTACTATAAGACAATGCTGAGTGTAAACATCTTATCTAATTGGAATACTTACAGTTGCCACATGAAGTACCTGGTTTTTTTTTTTTTCATCTTATAGGGAAAAAAAATGGGGAAGCTTAGAGGGATTAAGTGATTTGGCCAAGAACACAGCAAGTAAGTGCCCGAATGAGCCCTCCATCCTTGTCTTATTCCAAAGCCTATACATACGTTGTTGGCTGGAAACCCATGGCCCTGCAATTAGCACAGATTTACTAGGTGGCCAGTGTGTTAATCCCTTACAGACCAATTGACATTAGAATGATAACGGTCGGAAATGGTTTATTGGGTTACTCACAGAGGTACTTACATCTAAAAGGGGGCTCCTGGATTCACTGGGCTTTAAATACAAAGGAATGTACCTTTAATAGTAGGGGTTTAGGTATTGGGGAAACTCTTGGCAACCGAAGCCCTGCAGCAGCAGGTCGAATACACCCCATAGAATCCCCTCCCCTGACCATTAGCTGTGCACGCGTCCAGGACAGAGGATTCGCCTCTCTAGGATAGGTTTCCTTTCCTGTCCAGCGAGGAGACTGTTCTGGATTATTTCCTGAAAGATTCGCAGCTACGAGTCTTCAAAACTGTCGACTCTTACCCGGTGACACTCTGCTTCTTCTTACCCCTCCCTGAAAATGATAATGGAAATGTTCAGAAGATTAGAGGCAGACATGAACAAATGGGTGAACTCATGAGTATTGGGAGGCTGGAGAGCTCTAATTAGAAGATCTTAGATTTGGAAAAATAAGATCAGCATGTTGCTTATATTTTCAAAGTTGTCTGAGAAGATCAGTTTCTCCATAAAACCACCTACTCACCCCAGATCCATATCCTTTACCATCTGTACTATGAGAAGGGGAGCATCGCTGTGATCAAAAAGGTGCTGCCTTAACTATTAAAGCCAACCTCACATGTGGAAAACAGGATGGGTTTTGATGCAGACAGTCAGACTTGGGTTGGAATGCTAGTCTTGCTTTTGAAAACCTCATGATCGTTCACAATTTTCAACCACACTAAGCCTTAGTTATTGTAATATAATAATTGTATATTATTTAGAGTTGTGATATTTAAAAAGTCTATGCCTTGTAATGAATGGAGACAATAAATGATGAATGTATTATACTGTAGGATGTACAACTTTGAGCACTGATGAAACTCAGAGAAATAGTCATGTGTAAATGAAAAAAAAGACAATTACAGAAGCCAGGTAACAACTATTTTGTGAGATTATATATATATAATATGCCTATATTTCAGGTAATCACTGTTGAGATTTGTCTATGCACTTGTATCATAGATCTACTCTACTAGTGATTACTAGTAATACATACGTGCTTAATCTTTATTTTTCTCAAAAGGTATCCAATTAATCAAAATCCTCATTCTACTAAAAAAAAACTAGAAAGCTTTATTACCTTCTTCTAGCTTCCATGTTGTTATAGAGTTCAACATTTTTATTTAATCTCATTACTAATATTCACAAAATAAGTTTTTTACGCTAAAACGCATTTACATATTTCTAATGTACTTTTACTGCTTCCATTTTCACCATTGCTTTATGTTCCCCAATATGGTTTGCCTGCTTCCCCACCCAAATCTCATCTTGAATTGTAGCTCCCATAATTCCCTCATGTTGTACATGGGATCCGGTGGGAGATAGTTGAATCATGGGCTGGTTTCTCCTATACTGTTCTCATGGTAGTGAATAAAGCTCACAAGATCTGATGGTTTTATAAAGGGTAACCCCTTTCCCTTGGTTTTCATTCTCTCTTTTGCCTGAAGCCATTGTAAGAAGTGCCTTTCACCTTTCATCATGTTTGTGAGGCCTCCCCAGCCATGTGGAATTGTGCATCCATTAAACCTGTTTTTCTTTATAAATTACCCAGTCTTGGGTATGTCTTTATCAGCAGTGTGAAAACGGACGAATATATTCCCCCTCCTTCCTTCTGCACTCATGTTTCTTCTTGTTGAAGAATGTCTTTCAATAGTCACTTCTCCAACTTCTGTGAAAGCCATGTTAGACTTTGTATGTTTTAAACCAAAGAGTACTCACCCCACTCTCAGCTGAGAGTTTGGCTAACTGCAGGATTCCAGCTTGGCTTTTATTTTTTATCAGTACCTTGAAAGAACTATGTAATTTTTTTTCTGTCATCTTTTGTTACTGATGAATATTCTACTATTATCTTTAAGGGTAATCCATTTTATCTCTCTTTTCTTAATTAACCTTAATTAATATTTCTCTTAATTATGATTTTTTAAATATTTTACTATGGTAGACTAAGCATGGATTGATTGATTTATTACAATTGGGATTAAAGGTACAGTTTCTTTTTGTCTGAGGGACCCTCCTTCAATTTGAGAAAGTTCTTAGCCTTTATCTTTACTAACATTATTCTTTTAACAATCCCTCTATTCTTTCCTTCTATTAGGTATATGCAAGATCTCATTCCATCCAGCATGTCTCTAAATGTGCCTTTCTATTTTCCATTTCTTTACCTCCCCATGCTGCTTTTGGTTATTTCCTTAGATTTTTCTTCCAAGTCAGTAAGTCTTTCTTCAGCTGTGTTTAATTTATAATTTATCTCTTTCAATGAATATTTCAATTTTAAGTTTATTTCAGTAACTGTTAGTAAAATTTCTATTTATTTATTTCTCAAATACACCTGTTTATGGTATTCTCTGCTCCTATTTATGAATTACCTTGTTTATTTTATTATCTTAATTTTTTAAATATACTTTTAAAATATTTTAGATCATTAAAACATTTTGATTACTTTTATAGTTTATGTGGTAAAAATTCTATCTTTCATTATTCTGAAGAGATTCTTCGTGCTTTGTGTCTGTGAGTCCAGCTTCAAGGGGAATTATCTTCCACTGGTGCCTGCATATGATCAAAGTTATAGAGACATCCACGTGCAGCAATTTAGTCTTTGCTTCTGCCAGACTTATATGGGATTTACTGAGTCCAGACCTGTTTGCATGTTGGTTTCTTAGCTGGTTTTTACCTTAGTTAGTGGCAAAAATCCAAGGTCTATGTACCTGTAAGGCATATGTTTCATGTTTTAATATATTTCATGTAACTGTTTCTTTCCATTCTTTTCTTGAAGGGCTAAGGGTCTGAGAAGAGAGTTGAACTAGGGAACTAGATTTTCACATCCCATTTCACTTATCATGGTAGCATATTCCTGAAAGCTTTATGCAGAGAGTACAGTACTAGCACTCCACTATGACCAAAGTTTTTGGCTTCAACTCTATATCTGTATGTGAGCATTAATGCCCTATTAGGGCCATACCTCTCTTGGTAGCCCCATTGTAGTGATGGTCACAAATTCTTTATGAATTATTAATAAGAGATGGAATTTAGTCTCCCTTTTCTTGAATCCAAGCTGGCTTTGTGACTTGATTTGACCAACAGAATGTTGAAAATGACACTGGGCCAGTTCCAGGCATACCTTTTTTTTTTTTTTTGATACAGAGTCTCACTCCGTCACCAGGCTGGGATGCAGTGACACCATCTCGGCTCACTGCAACCTCCGACTCCCTGGTTCAAGAGATTCTCCTGCCTCAGCCTCCTGAGTAGCTGGGATTACAGGCATGCACCACCACGCCCAGCTAATTTTTGTCTTTTTTTTTTTTTAGTAGAGTCGGGGTTTCACCACATTGGCCAGGATAGTCTCAATCTCCTGACCTTGTGATCCGCCCACCTCAGCCTCCCAAAGTGCTGGGATTACAGGCATGATTCCCCGCACCCAGCCGAGCCCTACCCCTTAAGAGTGTCTGTGCTTTCACTGTTCTGTCTTGAATTAGCTGCCCTGCCTTATGATGCTCTAGCTAGACTGCACAACCTCAGTGGCAGAAGACCATGGAGAGAGTAGGCTTGCATGATGAGTGGCCATCTGCCTGCTCCAGTCCCTGCTCATCCATCAGATGAATGCAGCCTCTGAGTGGATTCAGATATACTGGGTAGAGCAGAGACCCACCCCCTACCCCCGCCCCAGCTCAGCCCAATGAACTCACAGAATTGTGACAAATAATAAAGGATTTTTACTTTAGGCAGCTAAGTTTCAGGGTAGTTTGTTACACAGTAATACCTAACTGTGAACCCCAAGGAACGCCTGCTCCTCACGTCGGCTTTGAATTCTCACAGCTTTCTCTTCTGCCTTAATGTTTGTTAAGCTGTTTTACAGTATATTATTTATCTTATGCTTCTGTGTGAGTGGAGTGTGTTCCTATCAGGAGGCCAGTTGGTGTATGGTGTCCACATTTGCTCAATTCCCAATTTGGGGGAAATTCAAACACTCGTTGCACATAGAAAGTCATGTAAGCACCCTGTCTTGGCTTATATGTCCCTCCATGAGGCGATGCCTGCCTGATGCTTGAACCTCACTGCTTATATAACCCCACATTCTCACCTCTCAGGCCTCAGCCATGCCAATACACCATGGTCTTTTGTGCTCTGCAGCCACCAGGCATCCTGCCTCACGACCAAGATGGTCTCTTCCCAGCACATAACATACTCATTCTTTTTCTTTTGTCAGCTTAGTTGCCATTTTTCAAGTGAAGTTCTCCCAATGCTTCTTAGTAAATTGGTCCCAGCTTTAATTGTCTTCCTAAGGCACTTACTAGATTCCCTCATATCCCATTGCATTATTACTTATTTCTGTTTATTTTTTTCTATCTTGCTTATCAGACTGCAAACTCCTCAAAAGCAAGGATTTTGATTACCACTCTCTCCTCAGCACCTAACAGGTGGAGAGTAGGTGCTTCATCGAGGGTTGTTTTATGAATTGCAGCCACATAACAATTAACTGTAATCCAAGGCAGAAGGACAGAAGCAACAGAGAGCTCATTACACAATTCTTCATGGGAGCTCATAAAAAACGAGGAAGTAGGCGGTCTGAAAAGCCTGTTAGAGAAAGCAGACTTAGGTTTGCACTTTGAATTTAAAAAAGGATGCAAATAATGGAGGGAAGATAAGAACATTTAAGGCACAAAGAATATGGCAGCCTGTGGGCTCATGCCACAGCCAGGACAGTCAGTGAGAGCAGAGGGAAGAAGATGTAAAAATGTCAATATGGGATGGTAGAAGAAGCCAGAAATGTGGATTTGGGCTGGAGAATCAACGGTATCGTCCAAGTGAAGCTTTACTTTTCAACACCTGTTTTGTATGGCTCTCAAATGAGAAATCCATCCCCGTCTAATCCCCAAAGTACAATATGCACATATACTCTTACCTATCATTTTATCATTGGTAACATCTAATAGAGTGCAGATGTGCTATGTTTGATGGTGGTAAATACACACACAGAAATACACACACGCATACACACCACAGACTCCATGTATCTGCACAAACTCTAGCCCATATCTCATTATCCACATGGTCATTTATTGGGATTTCTACAGAGTAAGCTGTAGAAGAGATGGCAGAGTCTAAACAAATGATTAGGCACAGAAATGACTGGGACAAGAGCTGTCGGGGGGGAAGCCAAATGTGTTGTTTAACCAGGTTTTGCCAGTCCAGGAGCTGCCTGACAGGTCCTACTTCCATCCCATATCCACGCTGCACGGCCAACTTCCTGCCTGCATTTAGGATCTCAACAGAGGCGAACTCTCCTCAGACCCAGGAATTTTTAAAAGCCTTAGAACCTAACGGTCCCTGGTGTCCTGCTGGGGCTGGCAGTCAAAGCGTGCTATCAGACCAAGAGCGCTGACTACAAAGATTTAGGAGCCTAGCCTGACTTCCTAAGGAGAATTTGAATTGTGCTCTTTAATTCTGACAGCCTATCTGCTCAGTACTTGTCTGCTGGTCTATCTTTCATATATGGGATTTCAGAAGTGTTTCGACTAAAGTTTAACCTTCCAAAATAGGAGCATCTCTGTCAAAAATTCAATTTTGGAAAAAAAATTCTGTTACTTTTTCCCCTTGAGCCCAGTAGTCTCCTTTTTAATGTCTGTTTAAAAGATCGCTAGCCATTTATTAAGACCCATTCCAGACATTCCAAACGTTACAAAACTAAATGTTATAAAAGCCAGTGTATCCCATGCTCAGATCAGGAAATAATACATTACCGATCAAGTTGAAGGCTATGGTTTAACCATACCTAATTCTGTTTCTCTCCCTTACTGCCTGCCATGGGTCACCATTATTCTGAATTTGTTGTTTACATTTGACATGTATTTTATTGCATTTTGACTACATATATGCATGCAAATACACACACACACACACATTTTATGGGGTGAATTGTGTCCCTTTCAAATTTATGTGTTGAAGTACATCCCAGAACATCAGAATGTGACTGCGTTTGGAGACAATGCATTTAAACAGGTGATTAAGTTAAAATGACGCCATTGGAATGAGCCCTAATCCAATGTGATCCATGTCTTTAGAAGAAAAGGAAATTTAGACACCAGGAAAGATATCAGGGATGCAAGCACAGAGGAGAAAAACCGTGAGGACACAGCAAACCTTGATCTTGAACTTTTAGCCTCCAGAAAAATGAGAAAATAAATTTCTGTTGTTTAGGCCATCCAGTCTGTGGTATTTTGTTCTGACAACCCTAGCAATCTCATACAACCCACAAACCAGATATGGTATTAGATATGGTATTATTTTCATATTTTTAGTAAGTGAAAATTTAATCAAAAGCAGGATTGTTGCATAGCTGCCAAAACAAATAAGTATTAATTAAAAGGGAAAAATAGAAACTTCACAGTGGGGAAACCCAACAGACAGCACTTTAACCAGGTGCTCAAGGTTACTAAAAAGTCATAAGTCATATTGATATCATGTGCCCCCATAAGATGCCCTGTGAATGGCCCATCATGGCTGCAGTGTCCTTCTCAATACAGCACGGTCTCAAGTTAACCACAGGAAAATATCAGGCGAAGCCAAATCGAGTAACATACTGCAAAATACATGACCAGTGCTCTTCGAAAGTGTTAGTTTAGGCCATGGAAGATGAAGACCAGGGAGAGGCCATTAAATGTGAGGTGGGATTGGGGGTTGGAACTTGGAAGGACAAATGACTCTAGTGGGAAACTGGGGAAATACAAATACAACCTGTAGTTTAGCAAATGCTACTGTACTAAGGTTAATTTCTCACTATACTAATGGTGCAGTGATTATGTAAGACACTAACATTAGGGGAGGCTGGGTGAGGAGCCCCCAGGACTACTTCCATGCTGTTTCTGCAGCACTTCTATAACTCTACCATGATCACAATATAAATGGTCAAACAGGCAAACAAACCCAGTTATTTGGCACTTGCCACCTCATCGTTGAGATTTCAGAGGGCTGTGGACAGAGAAGCCCACAGGCTTTGCAGTCAGAGGCTTTGCAATTCTCTTTCTGGCTCCCTCACAGGTGTGTGTGAGACCTGCGGGCATTTTCAGTTATAAAATGGGAACTCCAATATTGGTCCCACAGGGTTATTATATGAAATAAATAAGTGAGTGTGTTTTGCACAGGGACTGGATGGCTCTTAAAATGTCCGTTTTGTTCCTCACCCACGTCCTCTTGAGCAGTCATACTTCCCTTAAGGACGGGTATATGTTCCAAGAAATGCTTTGTTAGGTACGTTAGTCATTGTGAGACCACCCCAAAGCACTGACATGCACCTAGATGGTATGGCTTACTGCACACCTGGGCTATATGGTGCAGCCTGTTATGTCTATGCTAAACACCTCTACAGCATGTCAGTGTGCTGAATACTCCAGGCAACTGTAACACAAAGGTGAGTATTTGTGCAGCTAAACATATCTAAAGATAGAAAGGGTACAGTAAACATGTGGTATCAAATATACGAAATGGTCTACCTGTCTAGGACATTTACCATGCATGGAGTTTTCAGGATTGGATGTTGCTCTGGATGAGTCACTGAGTGGGAGCTGAGTGAACATTACTGCACACTCCTGTAGACTTTATAGACACTCTGCACTTAGGAGACACCTAATTTATTTTAAATTGCTTCTTTCTTCAATAAAAAATTCACCTTAGTATATTGTAACTTTTTCACTTTATAAACTTTTGTGTTGTTTTAACTTCATGAATCTTTGTAATGACATTTAGCTTAAAGCACCACCACATTGTATAGCTGTACAAAAACATTTTCTTTCTTTATAACCTGATCTGATAAGCTTTTTTCTATTTAAACAATTTTTATTTTTAATTTTTACTTTTAACTATTTGTGTAAAAAACTAAGACATAAGGTTGGGCACAGTGGCTCACGCTTGTAATCTCTGCGCTTTGGGAGGCAGAGGTGGATGGATCACCTGAGGTCAGGGGCTCGAGACCAGCCTGGCCAACATGGAGAAACCCCGTCTCTACTACAAATACAAAAATTAACCAGGGGTGTAGTCCCAGCTATTCGGGAGGCTGAGGCAGGAGAATTGGTTGAACCTGGGAAGTGGAGAGGTTGCAGTGAGCTGAGATTGCACCACTGCACTCCAGCCTGGGCGACAGAGCAAGACTCTGTCTCAAAACAAACAAACAAACAAAAAACAAAAACAAAAAAACTAAGACGCAAACACACACACTAGCCTAGGCCTGCACAGGGTCCGGATCATCAGTATCACTGTCTTCCGCCTGCACATTTTGTCCCACTGGAAGGTCTTTAGGTGCGGTAACACCCATGGAGCTGTCGTCTCCTGTGATAATAATGCCTTCTTTTGGATACCTCCTGAAGGACCTGCCTGGGTCTGTTTCAGAGTTAACTTTTCGCATACATGTAAGCAGAAGTGTACATTCTAGTGTAACAATAAAAAGCACAGTAGGTTTGTTTACACCAGCATCACCACAAACACATGAGTAATGCCAGCTCCATTATAATCTTGTGGGACCGCTGTGGTCTCTGTGATCCTTGTTAACCAAAACGTCACTGGGTGGCGCGTGACTGTGTTTACACTAAAAATAAAATAAATAAATAACTGAGCATACTCCACTGTTAAGACAAATGAAGATGACTACATAAAACAAACTTCTTTAGAACCATGATAAAGCTTTAAGAAGGAAAAGTGATGTCACTAACAGAAGCAATAGAGGTGAAAGTACAACCTCCCTGCAGAAGGGGCAGAGCGTCTTCCCTGTGCTCCTCCCCAGCCCGCACTCTTCCCGGGTGGATCCCTGGAACCTCTTCCCCTGCCTTCAGGCTTCGGGGGCGGGGGGGCTCAGCCTATTTGAGGCCCTGGCAGAAAAGCAAAGGGTCCAAGGGAGAGAAAGCGGTGCGTCTCCTGCCTGCTGCCTGCGGGCTCACGCCCTAGTGGGCAGCCCTCCCCGCAACCATCCCTGGGCTCCAGATCCAGGCTGCCCTTTCCTCAGTGTTGCTGGACGGGTGCTTTGCCAGGCCTTGCTCGCCTGCTCCCTTGGAAATGGTTCCTCAGAGCTTCCTCAGTAGCCCGAGTATGCTGTTTCCTGCCGGACCTGCACAGCACAGCCCGAAGGAAGTCTTTCTGAAAAGGTTAATTTACCTCCCATTAGTACTTTGTTTACAGCAATTTCCCCCTATTTCCGATTACTTTTTCTCCTCATGGTGAACTTTACAATTGAGTGGGATTCAAGACTAAAAATAAAAAGGAATCAATTAGAGCTGTTTGGCATCAACCTCAAACCTATGCAATTTTATTACTCCTACATCTGTAGCAGTGAGGAAAGGGGGCGGGGCGATGCTTGCGGAGATCTGGGGTTGGGGGTGAAGAGCCCTGTGCAGCAGGTGGTGCATTGTTTTGTGGCAGCCATAAGGACTCCATGACTCCCCTGGGTAGGAGGCTTCGTGGGCCCTGTGGCTCATGTCTTCAGGTAGCAGCTTTAAAATAGTTGTGCATCTTGGCCGGGCGCGGTGGCTCACGCCTGTAATCCCAGCACTTTGGGAGGCCGAGGCGGGTGGACCACGAGGTCAGGAGCTCAAGACCATCCTGGCTAACACGGTGAAACCCCATCTCTACTAAAAATACAAAAATATTAGCCGGGAGGCTGAGGCTAGAGAATGGCGTGAACCCGGGAGGCGGAGCTTGCAGTGAGCCAAGATAGCGCCACTGCACTCCATCCTGGGCGACAGAGCGAGACTCCATCTCAAAAAGAAAAAGAATTGCCACCTAAAATGTCATTAAAATATTACACTTTGTTCTAGTGTTGCTATTAAAAAGGCATGGTATACACAGAAGGCTGCATGTCACATACTAAACAATGCAATTAAATGTAGCAACGGCCAAATATCTCTGAATAAATCGTGGAACTTTCTGTGCTGGGAGAACTTAAGTCAACTCTCAGGCACCAGATATCCATGTTTGAAAAAGTTCCCAATAACAATGACATTTTTGGACTGGAGAGAGTGTGGACGTACTTGTCTCAAAAATGAATATGTTTTTCACTGTATTTCTTGATCAATTTTGTTTTGGAATTTGCTAAGAGATCATTAATGGGCTATTATTGGTAAATTTTTTTGTACCTCTCCCATTTGTGTTTAAAAAGAATAAATACATTTTATGGAGTGTTCATTTCTTCATCTTTTAATTTCTTGATTCATATGCATGTATAAATACACCTCCAAAATATATATTCAGCATATATGTATATATACATATAGATGATTCAAAATATTGATTCACTATGGCTTTAAAAAGTCAATCTCCTTAATCATGTTAGTTAAATCTTCTGTAACCGTATTAAATTATTATCTTCTTTGTTGGCTTCTTAGCTATGTTGTATCTCTAGCACTTTGCTTTCTGTATTTTGAAACTATGTTGTTGAAAATATAAAGTTTGTATCTATTTCATATAAATATGCTTCTTTGTTCTTGGTGACACTCCCTGCGCTGGAGAAATATTTGTTAGCATTTGAAGCATTCTTTCCCTGGTGTCTAGTTTTCTGACATTTTGAAATTTTATTTTAGATATTTATCTTTGACTTTCAGCTGCTGACTTGAATCCTTTCGTATTTATTATGGTTCTGACATATTAGGAGTCATTTCTGACAACTTTGTGTTTTCTATTATCCATGCTTGTTTTTATTTTCCTTTTTTCTATATTCTGTGATCTGATCAAGTTTATTTTTTCATTTTTTTCTTTGTGGGAAAAGAATGTTTGAATGTAATACCCTCTAGCTCTATTTCTTTCCAGCTGCTACTGTTAAATGTTTGCCATACATATGTAAAATGATATTTTTCTAAATCCATTTGTTTATTTTTAAATTTATTTTCAATATATCTACTTTTATTTCCTAATTCTCTAATAGTATTCTTTTTCTTATAGTGCCTATCCTGGTTTTATAGCCCCCAATTCTTTTTTCATGGGTATCTCTTTATTTCTCCAGTGATCTCAGATTTACTTTTTTTTTTTTTTTTTTTTTTGAGACAGAGTCTCGCTCTGTCACCAGGCTGGAGTGCAGTGGCATGATCTCGGCTAATAGCAACCTCCAACTCCCTGGTTCAAGCGATTCTCCTGCCTCAGCCTCCCGAGTAGCTGGTACTACAGGCATGCGCCACCACTCAGCTAATTTTTGTATTTTTAGTAGAGACAGGGTTTCACCATGTTGGCCAGGATGGTCTCGATCTCCTGATCTCATGATCTGCCCACCTCGGCATCCCAAAGTGCTGGGATTACAGGCGTAAGCTACCGTGCCTGGCAAGATTTACTTATTTATAAGTACTGTTAAAATTTATCTTTTGTTTGAGTTCTTTCATTTATCGAGCCTGTTTTCTCTTGTTAATGGTGTTGGCTTTCCTCATACTATTACTATGGATTTAGTACTTAAGAGGGAAAGCTCAGTTTGTGTTCATTCTCATTTTGAGACCAGAAGTCTTCATTGGTTGACTAAGAAAAAGCTGTTTAACTGTCAGCAATGTAGAATTTTATTAACAGGAAACTTGAAAGTGTAAGTTCAAAAGAAATGTAGACAAATCATCATATTCATTTTGACTCAAAATTAAATTGTTGACATAAAGTTGTTAAAGAAAAGAACATGATCATGGGTTATAAAAAATTATTATTGATGTAATATACAACTTCCTGTCATAAAAAAATTCTGATGAATCTTATCACTGTAAATGAGAAGAAAGTTTAGATTCATATGTTGATTGTGATGCTACAGAAGAAAGTGGCAAGAAGTGTTATGAGTATGTTAGTTGGTTGAATATATGTGTATGTGTATTATAAAATATTCCTTTATTTGGACAAGCTATTTATTAAATCTATGCTGTCTCTTACAATAAATGGCTTTCTCTAATCAAGAAAGTGTGGTACCAACCCAGTTTTACAGAAGCAGATACTGCAGCCCATGAAGTTAGTTAATTTGGCCCAAATCACAAAGGAAGAACCAGAATTTGAAATCAAGATGTTTCATTACAAAGTTCTTTTTCTTTTCTTCATTGAAAAGAGTGGAAGATCATTCAGTCTTTGCATAGAGGTTAAGATGCTTCGTTTCTTTGCAGAGAGGAAAACATCGTGGCATATGAATACTACTTTTTACTTCTGTTTCCTGATACTGCAAGTGTAACCTCACTATTCCTCCTAAACCTTCCATAATACTCCCCTTTCTGCAATTGTAGCCCTTCTTAAGAAGCAAAACAAACAAAACTGTGCGATTGTTGCTTATGTATTTGTTGCATTTGATGTTCTACCATCTCACTGGGGCCAAGGTTGAGTTAATTGCTGTTTCTTCAGTGTTTAGCACTGTGCCTGATATATAACAGAACTTCAATAAATAGTTATGGGATGAATGAATACCACAATTAACAGAATGCAAAATACACATATTAACAAAAGGAGGTTGAAATGAAACAAATAATGGGCACCTTTTTTTCCCCTAGTTTCCAAAAATTTTTAAGATGAGATTCAATGTGTTGCAGGGGTAGGAGTTAGAGAAGGAGACATACAATCATCACTAGGGTCAGTAGATTTGGGTTTTTGTACCAGGTCTTCCACAAACTCTGTGGACTTAAAATTTTTGTCCTTAAGTAAAAGGCAAATTTAAGAGGTTGGATTAGATGCTTTTTCGGGACTGTTCTAACTATCACAATAAATAATAGTCAATACTGAATCTGTTTTTATTGATAAAATTAGAAATCTCTCTTTTACCCAAGCATAGCTTCCAAGATCTGATAGGTAGAAAACAGCTGCCAGAAAGACATTCAATTATAAATGTTGTGATCATCTATTTGCTTCCTTCATTAACATTAATAACACTATAAATCAAAGTAAAACCACCATAGGAATATACTTGTCAATAGACTGCCAGGAGAAAATACCATCAAAAATACGTTTGAATGTGAAGTTAGCACAAGCTTGGTGAATCATTTGACCTGCCAGGACCGAGTCAGATGTGGAACTGAATGAATTCACAATGGTATCATGGTTCTCACACTGAAGGTACCCACCCTGAAAAAGGAACAAGTTACCTTCCTGATTTTATTTTTTGACACAATCATGGAAAGTACTTTCTGAGGTCATTCAATCCATTTGCTGGCTTCCAGGTGCTATTTCAGAGGATTATTCCTTTCCTATTAAAGTATTTGCAGGACTCTCTCCTTTTCTCTAACAAAATCGTTACTTTCCAGAACATAATATGCCTCTTAGAGGCTGACATACTATAGGAAAAATGCTTAAGTACTCAGATTTCAGACTTTTTTTTATGGCTGGAAAGATTAAAGGGAGAAAATGAAGTCATGTATGAGAATAAAGAATACTCAGGGAAAGCTCCGACTGTCCCTATAGAGAAAAATTATTGAAAAGTGTGGACGGGATCCATTGTAGCTGTAGCAGTTTTATAATACTCAGGTTGGAATGTGGAGTGTGTGCGTGTGTGTGTGTGCATGTGTGTGTGTGTGAGTTTGTGTGTGTGTGTGTGAGTCACTTGCCTCCAAGGTAGAAGTTATTAAACAGGAAAATCCTGCTTAACTAGAAACGTAGCTAATTGGAAACCCCAAATCAACTGTTAGAGAAAGGCTCTGTAGTTTAGAAAGAGGAAGCAGGTGAGAAGGAAAAGGCTATGCTTGCCTCATGGGTTGGTGTGGTAGGCAAAGGCCCTGGCCCACCCCTTCCACAGGCACAGGCCTGCACCTTGATGCTGCTCTTCCTGAGGATACCCTGAAATCTGTCAAGATCCTCCGTTTCTGTGCAAAGATTGAGCTATAATTTTCAGATTTAGAGGGTGGGTGGGTGGGGATGGGGGCAGACAGACACAAACTTTGTAGAAAATGTTTTTGCCAAGTCAAAGATTATATGGTTTCCGGTGAACTCTTGATTCACTAGAAAATTCAGTGTCCCAGACCCCTCTTCTTTCCCCAGCCCCTTTATTTTATCCCTTTATGTATTAAAAGCAAAAATGAAGGTCAAAGTAATGTCAATTGTGATAAGGAAATGATGTTTTAATTATGGAGCTATGTGAGATTCTGTCAGTATATTAAGAATTGATGTTTGGTGCATGGATTAAATGGGAAAAATATGTGAACTACAGATTCCTATTCAAACATCAGATGGGTCTATAAAGCAGAATCTGTGAGCCTCAGTTTTCTTAATTATAAGGATAAGAATATCTGTTCAATCTATTCCTGAGAATTGTTTGAGTCAAAATGGTATTATAGTAACATTCCTTTAATATAAATTGGTAAATGGCACACGGATGTTGAAAATTATTATTAGAAGGAAACTAGACTCTTAAATATCAAGGTGTGACAAGAGGCTTCATCCAAGCTCATCTGACTCCTCCATCACACATACCTGCAAAGAGGTTGTTTTCAACGTCAGGCAGGGACATGCAATACCCCCACCTGCAAGCTCACAACTTTGAAGTCTGTGACCCAAAATGGAACAATGAAATGTAGTCGTAGAAAGGGACTAAGACACTGTTCTCAAATTAAGATTCTCCAACTGTGCTCCACAACATTGCTACCCAAAATAAGGTGGGCAGACTGCAGCGTGGGCATGCCCTGTGAGCTTCTTAAAAATGCAGAATCTCTGATCCCACTGCAGACCTGCTGAATCAGAATTTTGGGGGTGGAGCCCAGCAATCTGTGGGCCTTCCAGAAGGTTCCCTTCCCTGTATAAATCCAAGGATTTTTTCTTCTTTTTTTCCCTTTGGATAAATACGCAGTAGTGGGATTGCTGGATCATATGGTAGTTCTATTTTTAGGTTTTTGAGAAACCTCCATACTATTTTCCATTATGGTTGTGCTAATTTGCATTCCCATCGGCAGTGCATAATGGTTTCCTTTTCTCTGCACATTCAGCAGCATTTGTTTTTTTTTGTCTTTTTGATAATGACCATTCTAACTCGAATGAAGTGATATCTCATTGTGGTTTTGATTTGCATTTCCCTGATAATTAGTGATGTTGAGCATTTTTTCATACACTTATTGGCCATTTGTATGTCATCTTTTGAGAAATGTCTGTCCCGATCATTTGCCATTTTTTAATTGGATTGTTAGGGTTTTTTGCTGTTGAGTTGTTTGAGTTTCTTCCATATAATGGATATTAGTCTCTTGTCAGATGAATAGTTTGCAAATATTTTCTCTCATTCTACAGATTGTCTCTTTACTCTGTTGGTTATTTCCTTTGATCTGGAGAAGCTTTTCTGCACTCCCATGTTTATTGAAGCACTATTCACAATAACCAAGACATGAAATCAACCTAAATGCCATTAACAGATGAGTGGATGGAGAAAATGTAGTCTATATCCACAATGGAACATGATTAAGCCATAAAAACGAATGAAATTCTATCTTTCAAGGCAACATGGATTGAACTGGAAGTCATAATGTTAAGTGAAATAATCCAGACACAGAAATGCAAATACCACATGATCTCATTTATATGTGAGAGCTTAAAAATGTTGACCTCATAGAAGTACAGAGTAGACTGTGTTTATTAAAGGTGGGAAAGGTAAGGGGGAGGGAAGGATGATGATAAGTGGGTTAATGGATTCGAAGTTACAGCTAGATTGGAAGAATAAGTTCTAGTTTTGTATTGGCTTGAAGGGTGACTATAGTTAATAACTTACTGTATATTGTCAAAAAGCTAGATTAGAGGATTTTTTTCCTTAAGAGATGGGAGTCTCTCTGTGTCACACAGGCTGGAATGCAGTGGTGTGATCTCAGTTCACCACATCCTAGAACTCCTGGGCTCAAGTGATCCTCCCGCTTCAGCCTCCAGAGTAGCTGGGACTACAGACGTTTGCCACCACAGCTGGCCGAAGAGAAAATTTTGAATGTTCACAACACAAATAAATAATAAATGTCTGAGGTGATGCATATGCTAATTGCCCAGAGTTGAACATTACACATTGTATGCAGGTACAGAAATATCGCTCAGCAGCCCATAAATATGTGCAGTTATTACTTGTCAACTAAAAGGAAAAGGAAAAAGAAAGAATACCCTTTGAGTTATAAAATAAATAAAAATAAAATCCCAAGGTTCCTGAGTGGTGGCGTCAGGACAGGCTGCTAGCAGGAGGGTGAGGGTCGTGCGCTGGCCTTGGGAGGGGCCTTCTTCCCCCTCCCACCTGAGGAAGAGCAGTTTCACTTTCTTTGGAACAAAGAGAAACCTCTAAAAAGAGCTGGAAGCACAGAATAAATATCTGTGCTCGATCATCAGAGAGATTGTATAACTTTCCCTAAATCACACCATATTAATAGCAGAGATAAGAACAGAGCCCAGACCTCCTAATTTCCATTCTGGATACTTTTTAAAGACTGAATGTCCCCAAAATAAGCTCAAAAGGGAAACTAAAATACCTGTTATGCAAGGCCCAGGAAAGAGCACTGATGTACAAGACCTAAGTCTAGATTCAGGCTCTTCCAGCAACTGGCTGGGACTTTGGAGACTCCTCACCCCAGGAGCCTAATTTTTCCTCCCACTGAAGGGAGGATAACGTGGACAGCACACAGGTCAAGTGAATGGATGAGGGTGAACATTCTTTCATTCTTTATGGGATACATAAATGTGCTTTTTTTTTTTTTATCATTACGGTGTTGTATCATGAAAAGTGTGTTAGTTGAACCAGCAAAGCTGGATTTGAGTCCTGGCCAGGAGTGCACGGTCTGTGCTCATCCTATCTCCTTTCTGAGCCTCAGTTTCCTCTTTTGCAAAAGAGCATAATGCATGCTCTGCTTCTTTCAGTGACAGCCAAATAAAAACATGTATACAAGAGTAAGATAATAAATAAATATATATAAAAAAGAGTTCAGCCAACTGTGAAGTGGCACTTAAAGTTCAATTGTTGCTATGTTATTAACAATTTTAGAAAACACAAAAATGGACAGGAAAGAAAAGGGGATCAAGTTCCACACCACAGAAGACCCTAATAGGAGAAGCAAATAATTAAATAGGATCCCAATGAAAAGACATAGTCTCTATCATTAAGCCAATCAAATCCTGAATGAAGTATGATCATTAGTTCGCGATGGAGTGCTACTGGAGGCCAAGGCTGGCTGGAGTTAGCCTGACAGGTGTGGAGCCAGCACTCATTCGAAGAAGACTTTCTCATCCAGAAAGCAGAGGACAGGGCTGGGTGAGAGGGAGGCCGTGGGTTCTGCAGAAGAAAGTCCTGTTTCAGGACGCCTCCGCCTGGGGTAGATCGTGCCTCAGAATCCCTATTGGGCATCCACCGCGTGGATCTCAGGAAAGGTGCAGGAGGTGGTGCCAGGAACTGGGCTGCACAGCCTCACATCCTTTTCACGTTGCCACACAAAGAGGTTCCACTATGGGTTCTAAGCAGGTGTGGCCCTGGAAGGGATGCTTGGGGGTGGTTCTTCCATTCACTAAGAGTCAGGAGGAAACCATGGGCCCATTCTCAGGAAAAACACTGAGATACAACATTGCTACCTACAATTTCAAAGGATGCACAGACTATGAGAGACTGTCCATTGGCCACATGAGGCCTGATTAGAGCTGAGGCTTGGTTAAAAGATCCTCTCCTCTCCTCTGCTAACTCCAGCAAGCTGGAGCATATTGGCTCATCTCTGTGGGTCTCTCTTGCTGGTTTTGTCCAATGTTCACCGTTAAGTCTTGTTTTCTGAACACATGTGAAATTTCTAGAGTTTTTATTACCTTCACATCTGTGTCAATTTAGAAAGTTAATATACAAATAAGAAAGAGTAAATACTATAAATTATTTCAATATGGTAATGGTAACATAAATACTATAATAGATTATCTACATGCAAAAAAACCCTCACGAATTTCTAAATATGTGCACATTACTTAAAAATATAATTTCTTCCATGAAATGTGATACCCTATGAGGAAAGAAAGAAAATTAAGTTACTTCTTCAGAATTTTTATTAGGCTTTTTATTTTGAGATAACTATAAATGTACATGCCATTATGAGGTAATACAAGGACATCACATGTGTCCTCTACCAAGTTTCCTCCAATGGTAACTTTTGCAGAACTGTAGTCAAGAGCACATGCATGATCCTGCCACTGCTATTACAGTTCCATGACTACAAGAATCAATGGGGTCTTTTTAATGATGAGAAATACACGGTAGATTTAATTCACAGTTACTATACAAAATGTGTGGATACAAATTCTTTAAAGCTAATTCTCCTAACCTTCCCTCCTCCTCTGACAAAGTATTTGGTTAAACTAATATGTGAATAATATTTAGTTACTTTCTGGCTACTACCCAAATGGGACAATAATAAAATTTCCTCCCTTCCATTTTGTTTGAGAGATCTTAGTTAAAACAATCTCAGAAGATTTCCATATCAACAATGCAGAAAGTTGCTTCTCTGATAAACAATAGAAGCCACTGTAAAAATACAGCAAAGTCTCTGTGAGTTGGTGACTCCATGGAGCTCAGCAGGCGCAGAAATAGGTGCCCTTGTTAGATGTTTCATGATTCTACATGTAGGAAGGAAATTTTAAAAGTTATTATAATAGATTTTGTCATATCTGTAAACTCTCTACACTATACTATCTTAAAAACACTGGCCACAAGCTTAGCAAACGAAAAAAAGAGAGAGAGAGATGACTTGCATGTGGACCCAAGCTTTTTAGGAGGTTGCAAATATACAGGTATCTCATTCGTGCTGCCATGCTGCTCAGGGGCCCTGGACTTACCCATCACTATAAGGTAGAGGCATGTGTCTACTTAGCCCACCGACATCTCTGGTTCTCACATCGCCACCCTGCATGTGGGGTTTCAGAAGAGTCTTCTCCCAATAAAGAGCTGATCACATGCTCCACCTCAGCCTCAATCTCCTCAACCAGCAGCTCAATGGGCAGAAAATCTGTTTATGGCAATGGCAGCAGCTTGCGCCACCTCTCCTAACTTCACACTCTTGAAGACAAAATTCTTATGATTATCCACCCAACCTGTGTCAAGGTACGCAGCAGCTCAGGGGCTGTGCTTGTTTCTGCCCAGGTTGCATCCCAGATCCCAGCTTTTTCCTGAATCTTATTTCTGTCTACAGTGACACGTGCAAAGGAATTTTCTCTCTCCATGAGCTAATCATGTTCCCAACGTTCACTACAGATTTATCTCCCACAGATAAGCAATTTTTATACTGATTGGAATATGTAAGAATTTCAAAAAAAGAATTTCAAAAATGGCTTATTCTTGTTTCACGGAGCACATATGGTGAGCTCATTTAGGGTATAGGCCTGGTAGAATCGTCTACGTGGACATTCCACACTTAATATATCTAAACATTCTATTTTTAAAATGAAGAACTGTCATTGCTCAGATCCCCTTTCCACTGTCCCTTTATTTCTGTTATCAAGACAAGTACTCAAGTTTCTTCCACTGTTTGGATCCCTTCACCAGCATTTTCCTGGGCACGTTCAAGTGCAGATGCTCAGCGGGCAGACAGCCTCACTCAACTACTAAGTGACTGTTTTTTCTGGAACTAGACTTTTTGAGCAAGATCCAAATTTATGTATCAGAAATATCCAATATTAATTAAATGAAGAAACATTTATTAAGCACCAACTATGTTCTTAGAAAAGTAAAATGACAAATTCCTACATGTTGAGAACTATTGGCATCCCTTGGAAATAATCAATACTGAAAACGTTAAAATGAATCGTTTTACAGTTGCATAGCATTTTAGCATTTCAATGTGCTTCTCCAACTGTCATTTCATTTGGAAAGGGATATTTTCTTAGATTGTAGGGCAAAATAAATGGCTTGTCCTACTGTCAAATTAGGACATAAATAGTAATCTTTAATCTTCAGATGAGTATATGTATACAGTATTACAGACAGACGTTACTAAGCCCACACTGTGTGCTCTTGTCTCCTGAAGAATGGACTTGCTACCTGTTAATTCTAGTTTCATTGTTTATGTCATCCTCTTCCCCTCCAGGCTGTCCTGCACCAGTGTCCAGCTCACCAGCTGCTCAATGAAGAAGGAGATATTGTGGGAGAGTCATGGGAATTGGATTCAGAAAAATCTGGGATTGGATCTCAGTTCTCCAAAGACATTGCATCTCTAGCCTTAGTTTTCCTAAAACATAAAATGAAGCTAAGAATAGCCATCATAGGGCTATTTCTAGAATTGCATTAGCTTATAGTTAGACTTACATACTGCCGGCTACGTTTCAAGCACTCTATAAGTGCTAGCATCCCATGCCCTTGTGGAGTTCCAAAGTTTCATGGGGACCAAGTCCCTGACTAATTGATGGCAGTGGTGCCTCGTCCAGTACACTCCAGGCTACAAGTGACAACAACAAACCTGAGCACAGCTGTGGCATCCAAAGTCTGGGGCCTTGACTTACACTACACCACTCCTAGGTGAAACAAAACAAATTAAAATAAAGGTTGTTTGAAACACACAACAAGCTCCTTGCAATGCACTCTGTCTTTTGTAGGGAAAGTATTGTGCAAGAGAAAATATTCCCAGTGATGGAATTATCCTAAAAGATGGAGCCTGAACTCATCCTTCCTTAAAAATGGTTTGAGAAAAAATGTATGCATAGAAAATACTATATTGGATTTATGTGAAATATATCAGTAATAGCAAAAAGGGGTTATTGTTGTATCATAATTTTAACAGATAGTAGTTGAAGTGGTACCACCATGCAAAATGGAACTTAAATGTGTTTGGGGTCGTCCC
Source organism: Homo sapiens (assembly GCF_000001405.40). Classification (NCBI taxonomy): domain Eukaryota; kingdom Metazoa; phylum Chordata; class Mammalia; order Primates; family Hominidae; genus Homo; species Homo sapiens. The sequence continues at coordinate 5,770,127 of NC_000002.12, read as the reverse complement.
AGGGTGTAGAAATTAGATCAAGGGTCAATAATTAGACAAAGGGAGGGATATGTTAGCTTGATATAAAGACTGTCAAAAGATGTATCCAATAATTGATAGCATTGATTTTAAGAAGTAACAAAATTCCTGTTTACAGAGACCATGAAAGGAGGCAAAAGATAACTTTTTATCAAGGGTGCTGCAGAAGAGATTCATAAAAGTAGAGATAAGATCCAGATTCTACAATTATTTGAAATAATTGCACAAGGCATTACTTATCTGCAAAGCTATGGTCACAAAAAGTGAGAATTTGCATGAATGTACTTTTTCCTATTGTCATCATTATGACAGTTATTGGTTTATTTGTTTAATTATTCTGGAAATAGTATTGCAGTTCTCTGGCCTTAAGGGTATAGGTCAGAGTAGCTCAGGTGCGTACAACTGTGGGGAGAGCTTGTGACCTCCAGTGATCTCCAGTCCCCTTCTGACTTCCTGGTTGAGAGTAGATGCCTACATTTCCTTCTCTGGGAAGATGTGGAGAACACATTGGTCCAAGTGAAGCTGACGTGAAATAGGGAAAGACAAACAGAACTTTTTTCTTTTCATTATCACAGTTACTGACTCAGTCATATTCACTCACATGTTTTCTAAAGAATAAAGTTTCTTGCAAAACTTTCTCTTTTTTTGCACATTTTCCACCTAAATGGTTATTTGTTAAATTGAGTTATAAAACAAATTCTAGGAGAGGCTTTTCTAAGAGAACAGGCATTGCTATTCCCAAGATAAACAAACAGAGCTGCATGAAGGCCCTGTCGGAGGGAGGGATGCATGCTGGGATCTGTCCGGATCTGTGCCCACTGCAGGGTCTCTTGACCCCCACACGCCTCCCTCCTTGACTTCCCCATGTCCCCCAGGCCCTGGTTGCCAAAAATCCTCCCACTCACAGAGGAGCAATTCCCTCTCCCTCTCTCCTCCCTCTTCACTGCCCCTTCTACATCCAGGGCTTCTCACCTTAGCTCACCAGTGCCACCAAGACCCTTGGCTCAGTGGCCTCTGCCCTTACTGACGCCACCAGCTGTTTTATTCTTCCAGAACTCCTTCCCCTGGCTTTTCTGTAGCCTCACATTGGCATTCCTTCTCTTCTTCATGATTTTCATTGCAGTATTTGAAGGTTCCCATCCACAGGCATTCTACACCTTCATCTCACACATTTTTACTTCAACAACATTTAAATACTTATATTTTTGCCATCCCAGGACCACCAATAACCTCACTCACTTGAGCCCCACTTGTTCACTTAACAGTGACCCCCCAACCTCTCAGACTCTCTGTGTGTGGAAGGGCCTCCCTCCCGTGTCCCCGTGCCAACCTGACAAATTCAACTTCCCACTCTGTCTTCCCCAGCATGAATCTTCCCCTGTTGTACCTCCCCAAGGCAGCCTGAAGCATTTCATATGCTTTCCTGCCCAGTTTATTAAGGACCTGCTCTGCTGGATGGCTCGTGAGCTCTTGAAGGACAGGAAATGCATTTTTCTCATCATAGCATCCCTTGCACCGGCACAGTGCTTGGCAAATTTGAGTCGCAGAAATATTTTAGGAAGAAGGAAGGGCAAGTCTAGTCTTGAATTTAGAAGTCATGTGGGATTTGGCTAGGAGCTTTTAGAAAAGCTCCTACCAAATTTATTTTCAATCTCCATACAAAACCACAAGGGAAAAGAGGAAGTAAAACGACTAGTTTAAAAACACAAAACTAAACTAAACATTCTGCAAAGATACCTATAATAAGGATGAACTTTCTTCCAACTACAAGACCAATAGAATTAGAAAGAGGAGGGGAAAAAGAGATGTGTTACCCTTGTCTCATGAAATAAATCAACCCTACCCATCTGAAAAAAACATAAGAAAAAATATCCTCCAGATTTTGCTTTCCAGGTCAGACACTTAAATCAGGGAAAACATTTTTCAGCCATTTCTCAATTGAATATTTACACTGTTTTTAAAGTGTCCAAACACAGAGCCAAGAACACCCATGCATGCCATCAATAACATCCTTTTTTTTCCCGATGTTCACTCAGAGACTACACCAGAAGTCAAGAAGCAAGGAGAAGCCGTAGTGGTGTGTGAGATCCCGAAAGCAGTAGTAGCAACATGCAAAGAGTGACTTTACATCTACATGTGATGAGAGAAAACAAACGTATAAGAAAACAGGACACAAATTGTTAACATTGGTTCTTCATGGGTAGTGAGATTAATTTACTGTTTATTCATAGTGCATTTTTAACAATTTTCTTTAGTAACCTTTCTATTACTTTAAAATTTGAGTAAATGCATTTTTAGATTTTTATCAGTAAACAGGAAGCCACTGAAAAGACAAAAGGATGATGTTAATATCCAAGCCTGAAACTTAGAAACCAAAATCTTTTAAGTAGCATCAGAACTTTAAAAACCACAAAAATGTTCCTGTTGCCCCAAAACCTCATTCCAGTTTTTACCAAGTGTACCCTGCCCATAGCTGCCTGTTTTTCCAAGTAGATAAGATTTACAGTGAGGGGTTGGGCCATAAGAAGTGAGAC